>NC_000016.10:68804924-69107954 GCF_000001405.40 Homo sapiens | reverse complement strand
TGCCTAAATCGACCTGAGACTCCGGCACTAGCAGCCTTCCAGCAGCGTTGGCCCGAAAAGAGCTGCTGGCAGCCTAGCCTCTCCGGGAAGCGCGGCCTCCGGGCGCTCTGCCCCACCGTCCCGGGGAGCCCGCCGTGTGCTTCCTTCACAGGACTCCCAGCCCTCCCTGTTGCCACCCTACTGCTCGCGCCTGCGGCCCAGGAGTCCCCAGGCCTGCATCCGCAGCCTAGGAGCGCCCCCATTCCCCTCCGGAGCTTACATGCTGAAGGGGCGCGGCGGGACCCCCCTGCCTGCCTGCGCTCTGGGTAGGGGAAGGGGGCGCCAAGGCCAGCCCAGCAACCTGGGCGCTGGCGCCCCGCCTCGGTGCAGTGCCGGAGGCGGCGCCCACCAGGTCAAAGCAGCCGCGAACGCACTCGCCACGCTTCTCATCCCCGCTCGAGCCTCGCCTCTTGGCAAAGGCGGCGCCGGCCACACCCACGTGCCGCTTTCCCACGACCCAACCGGGAAGGAACGGAAAACCCAAGGGATCCCAGTCGGACCAGGCCCTGCTCTTCCTGGTACCCCAGCTACCTTGGCAAAGTGTGCCTGTAGACAAAGGCGCATCCCCGGTGTAGCCGGCCCTCTCCTTCCCTGGGCGGGACCCCTCCCCCGCAGGAATTAGAGGCATTACCCAGGTTACTACCCCCACCCCCAAATAGAGGCCCCCAAAATGTCCCTCAGCCAGATACCCCACGTGCAATCAGGCGCTGGTGCAGGCTGTGGTCGAGGTTCTCCTGCCCAGACCTGGGGCGGGGGGCTGTGTCACCCCAAGCCGGCAGAGGCTGTGGGGTGATCCTACAGCCTGGACCGCCGCCTCCTCATGCCCTTCGCTCATCCACGGGAGCCCAGCCCAGGCAAACTAACGCGCACTCGGCTTTCAAGGGCACAAGGTTGGGGGCGCTCTCAAGTCCGGCTCCCAGGACTACGGAAGGAGAACCCCCAGTCAAGGACGCACGCTTCTCCATCAAGCCTCCGAAACTTTGAGGGGCTGCTGGTGTGCAGCGTCTCTCCCGCTGACAGGTGCGCCCCGCGGCAGGGCCACACGCAGCGGCATGGAAACTTGTGCGCCCAACGGGGCTCCTCCTCTTGTGCCCGGCCGCCCTCCGGGCCCCTCCAGGCCGGCCAGGGGAGGGGAGCCCACTCCCCCGGACACGTGCTGCCGCGGCCCGGCTAACCCGCAGGAACGTGGGCGCCTGGTACCTTGGTGCCCGGACAGGTGCAAACCCCCGGGAGGTCGTAGAAGGTGCGGGGGAGGGGTACCCCAGCCAGCCTGGAGCCCCGCACCGGCGTCCGCCTCCTAATTCATTCACAAAACAGGAGCCGCCGGGGAGGAGGGAGGCGAGGCTGGAAGAGGAGAGGATGCAGGAAGAAAGGGAGGAGGGGTCAGTGGGGAGGGGGCTGCAGGAACGGCCGCCGGGAAGCCCGGGGCTGCCGCCGCCCCCAACCCGCCTCCCCGCGCCGGACGCGGCGCCCGCAGGGCTGGGAGCTGGCCGGGTGCGGGGGGCTCGGCGAGAGGCACCCCTGCCACCCGGCGCGCCCCGGCCTCGGCGCAGCCCCGCGCGGCCCTCCCCTCCTGGGTGCCGGCCGGCCCGCGCTCACCGTGCCGCCGGCTGCCGCGCTCCGGAGCTCAGCAGGCCCGCGGCGGCTCCATGCCCCTCCTCCCGCTCCGCTCCGCGCCGCCGCGCGCTCCGACTGCCGCCTGCCCAGCCGAGCCGCCCTTAAGTACCCGGCGCGTGCCCGCCAGGAGAGGCGCCTCCCCCGGCCCTGGGGCCGGGAAAGTTGACCAGAGTGGGAGGGCCCCCGCGGGCGCACCCCCGACCCCGCGCGGTCCCAGGGAGCGCCACAAGCCAGCGCTCGGCGGGGACGCCTAGTCCCGGGTGGACGCGGCTCCGGCTCGCAAGACTCGCAGCCCCTGCGCCCTCTCCGAAGCTGGGTCCCCCGAGTGGGGCCGAAGGCCACGCGGCTCTGCAATCGCCCTGGGACCAGCTGCCAAGGCAAGACGGTCATTGGGCTCAACCTAGAACCTGAAGCGTCGTTAACTTTCCAGATACCACGCAGGGACTTCCAAAATTGTTACTCTCCCTCCCCGCCCCCACGCCCCGCTCTCTAACCCGCAAAACCTACTCACCCTGCAAGGAAGGCGAGCTGAGAGCACTCTTCCCCGACTTCTGCACGCGAAGGGGCAGTTCGCTGTCTAGGGGGCTCCCGAAAGCCAAGGCAGCAAAACCTTCCTGCTGGCAGGAAAGAGGCGCTGAAGAGAATTGTCAAATGTAAAAAGGCTGGTCAAAGAAGGTGTTAACAATTGTGACAGCTTAGCTTTGAATTCCGCAGTGGGGCGCTGATGACTTTAAGGCGGTTTGCAAAAGCTGCAAACGGTTTTGTAGGAACCTTGGAGGTTCCGGTGTCTTAAAGCCAAAACAATTCCTCCTCTTCTTTTTCACACCTTTATTTCCGACATCCATGACCTCCTAAATTCCCAACTGACCTTATCGACAGTAGTTTTCAGGTCCCTAAAAGATAGTGCTAGACTCGAGTAAAGTGAGATGAAGTGAGTTGGGGTGCACTGGGGTGGGGTGAGATCGAGGAGGGGGGAGAGTTGTTAGCAGAGACAAGAAGTTTAGAACCAGCTGAAGGCGATGAGTTTTTACATCTCAGGAAAACTTGAAGAGAAATTATAATTAATAACTAGTTTTTAAAAAATGAGTGGCCGGGCGCCGTGGCTCAAGCCTGTAATCTCAGCACTTTCGGCGTTACGGGCACCATGCCCGTAATCCCAGCTACTCGGGAGGCTGAGGCAGGAGAATCGCTTGAACCCCGCAGGTGGAGGTTGCAGTGAGCTGAAATCGCACCACTGCACTCCAGCTTGGGCAGCAGAGCGAGACTCCGTCTCCAAAAAAAAAAAAAAAAAAAAAAAAAAAAAAAACCAAAAAACAGAGTTTACCTGTTTTCCAAATACACCTGATATAATTTCTATCACTTCTTCCCAAGCTGCAACAAATTTATAGGCACCTGAGCTGCAGTCTATAAACTTCTCCTCTCGCAAGTTTTAGGGGCTCAGGGACTTGCCTGCCCACCATTGCTCAGTCTGGGCCACAGACCTCACACCTCAGTCCCCGCAGGCAAGCAAAGACCCCAGGCACACCTACTCCACACAATCCCATCTTACATTATTGGCCAGGCACAGTGGCTCACACCTGTAGTCCCAGCACTTTGGGAGGCTGAAGATGGAGGATCGCTTGAGGCCAGGAGTTCAAGACCAGCCTGGGCAACAAAGCGAGACTTCCCCCGTCTCTACAAAAATTAAAATTAAAAAATTAGCCAGGGCCGGGTGCAGGCTCACGCCTGTAATCCCAACACTCTGGGAGGCCGAGGTGGGCGGATCACGAGGTCAGAAGTTAGAGACCAGCCTGGCTAATATGGTGAAACCCTATCTCTACTAAAAAATACAAAAATTAGCCAGGCATGGTGGCACGTGCCTGTAGTCCCAGCCACTGGGAAGGTTGAGGCAGAAGAATCGCTTAAACCCAGGAGACAGAGGTTGCAGTGGGCCAAGATTATGCCACTGTACTCCAGCCTGGGCGACAGAGTGAGACTCCATCTCAAAAAATAAAAATAAAAAAAAAAAGAAAAAGAAAAGAAAAGAAAAAAAAAAAAAACATTAGCCAGGCATGGTGGAGTGTGCCTGTAGTCCCAGCTACTAGGGAGGCTGAGGCAGGAGAATTGCTTGAGCCCAGGAGGTCAAGGCAACAGTGAGCTATGATCGAACCACTACACTCCAGCCTGGGTAACAGAACAAGACGCTGTCTCAAAAACAAATTCCTGGACTCCAGCAGCCCTTCCGCCTCAGCCTCCCTAGGAGCTAGTCCTATAGGCATGCTATCCAGCCCAGCTGCCAATGTGTTTTGAACTTCAGATGGCCTGAGGGGCCCTACCAGAGCCATTCCTACTTACACAAAGATGGAGAAGAAGCCTTAGGTTGGTGGAGGGGAGGGCTCTAGAGTCTGCCAGTAAGCCCCAGTGTCTTCATCCCACAGATGGGATTGCTAGGCGGACTGATAGGAAGTTTGAAGAGATTGGCTGAGGGTAAGCGCTCAGCAAGTGTTAGTAAACCAGACAGCAGCATCCTTTGCCCATGCCACGGGTTCTACATGGCCATCCCTCTAGAGCACTCAGTGACAGCAAGTTCAAGGATCAGTGTTTGAATAAAAGAAAACTGCCTGGCCGGGTGTGGTGGCTCACACCTGTAATCCCAGCACTTTGGGAGGCTGAGGCGGGTGGATCACCTGAGGTCGGGAGTTTGAGACCAGCCTGGCCAACATGGTGAAACCCTGTCTCTACTAAAAATACAAAAAATTATCCAGGTGTGGTGGCAGGCGCCTGTAATCCCAGCTACCCAGGAGGCTGAGGCAGGAGAATCACTTGAACCCAGGAAGCAGAGGTTGCAGTGAGCCGAGATCGTGCCACTGCATTCCAGCCTAGGCAACAAGAGGGCAACTCCATCTCAAAAGAAAGAAAGAAAGAAAAATGTCTTGTCTCTCTTGCATTATGAACCCTGGAGCCCTGGGCTACCTCCTGCACACCCAGAGGCATCACAGACCCCTGGAGTTGCTGCAGATGAGGATATCTCTGATCCTTCCTCCTTCCCAGATTTGCAATCTGCAACATCAGAGAAAATAAGCAGGGGCTTGGCAAGGGCAAAAATGAGTGCATCAGCCTGGTGGAGAGCAAACGCTCCGTTTAGAGGCTCATCTCCCTGTGGAGGGAGGGCCTCATGTGGCCAGGTGCTCTGTTGTCAAGAGAAGCCAGAAATCCAGATTTTGTATGTGAAATCTCCTAATTTTTTTAAGCATTGGTAATTCAAATGTTGAAGGAAACACACACACACACACACACACACACACACACACACACATGCACACTCCACAGGCCAGACATAATGTGTCTGAGTCATATCCAGCCAACTGGCTGCTTGTAAGTGACCTGTTTAGAAGCCCAAGGAATGGAGAAGCCAGTTTGGAAGGATCCCTTCCGTCCTCACTCAGCAGCAACATGACTTCTCTGGGTGCAAGTTTGTCTCCCTGGGGCTGGGCCAGGACCATCTCATGCCTAGTTAGTTTCTTAGACTCCAACTGTGTCCCAAGGCTTATTGCCCTTCTCACGCCGCCAGCTCCACGGAGTTTTCCAGGTGGTGGGGCTGGTTCAGCACAACCTCACGAGTCCATGAAAACCTCCTTAACCAACAGTGGGTCCAGATAGAACCTCATGAGGACAACAAACACCCTGCCTGTACCAATTAATTGGCTTTGCCCCCTAAATGGCCTGCCCTAGGGAGCACTCTCTTTTTTTCTGATCTGCAGGGCCAGGGACCTGGTGTTATCAGGCAGATAAGAGAGTCTTTACCTTTATGGCAGTCTATGCCAGGGAGGATTTGCCTGTAATTAGCATCCAGTTTGTGGTGTCCTATTTGCATTCATCCCTTCACGGGGAGGTGGGGAGGGGTTTCTTTAAGGGGCTGCTACAATCAAGCTCGAGTTTATCTCTGCTTACCACTGGGGATTTAGAAATAGGGCTAATTCCACACCCAATCACTTAAAAACATGAATTCAGATGTTGCTGAATTGGCTTTTCCACAGGTTCCAGAGGATAAATAAGCCTTCCTATTTGGCTCAGTAGTAGAAGATTCACGCTGCACTTACAACACTCATTTAACAAACGCTGAAGCCCTGCTCTGAGTAGAGAACACTGCTTTGGCACCTGGAGATCTCGGGCTGGTCCCTGCCATCTAGAACGTTACCCATTTTGAAGACAAATGTGCTTGAGAGTACAAGTATAGGCCGGGCACAGTGGCTCATGCCTGTAATTCCAACCCTTTGGGAGGCCGAGGCAGGTGGATCACGAGGTCAGGAGTTTAAGACCAGCCTGGCCAACATGGTGAAACCCTGTCTCCGCTAAAGATACAAAAAATTAGCCAGGTGTGGCAGCTTGCGCCTGTAATCCCAGCTACTTGGGAGGCTGAAGCAGGAGAATCGTTTGAACCCGGGAGGCGGAGGTTGCAGTGAGCCGAGATCGTGCCACTGCACTCGAGCCTGGGCGACAGGGCGAGACCCCGTCTCATAAAAAAAAAAAAGAGTACAAGTATAAACTGTACAAGGCAGTTTATAATTAAATATTGATGAGAGAATCCAACATGAGGAGTTTGAGGATTTCAGGAAAGGTCTCTGTGAGCTGGAACAGGCTGGGCAGTTTCATGGGGAACCTGAGCTGCTATGTAGAAAGGGAAGAACATTTTAGGTAGGAAGGATAGCTTAAGTACAAGACCAGGTGTAGGAATGGGGGACATGTGTTTAGAGGACAGCCAAGAGAGGCCAGGGTGGAAGAAGAAATCTACACTAAAGTTCCACCAGCCTGACCAACATGGTGAAACCCGTCTCTACTAGAAACACAAAAATTAGCCAAGCGTGGTGGCACATGCCTGTAATCCCAGCTACTCAAGAGGCTAAGGCACGAGAATCCCTTGAACCCGGGAGGCGGAGGTTGCAGTGAGCCGAGATCATACCACTGCACTCCAGCCTGGGTGACAGAGTAAGACTTTGCCTCAAAATAAAAAATAAAAATAAAGGAGCTTCCAGCAGGGCCTGTTCCAGCCGGGCCTGCTGTGTAGGAAGTGCCTGTTACCCTCTAGCTGCTGTGAGGAGGAGGATGCTAGGACCGGAGTGGAGGACTTGGAGTGACCAAATAAGGAGTTTGAATTGTATCCAGTAGGTTATGGGGAATTACCGAACATGTCTGAGCAAGATAGGAGTAGATTGCAAGTACTGTTTGGGGAAGGTTGGGCTGGCAGCATTTTGGGGTAAGGACTAGGAATGGGGTATGGGAGATCTGTTAGGAGGCAGATGCAACAATAAAAGGCTGAGGAGAAGCCACGATGAGAAGTGTGGGTGCTGCCTTCTGGAGGTGGAGGTGAGCACAGGCAGTGACAAGGAATAATCCTAAATGAGTGCCTTGCACGCCAGGAATAATCCTCCAACACTGGAGGCATAACCAAGAGAAAAGTACTCGACGGTGCAGAGAGTTCAAGGGGCCTTTCTCAAAGCTTTAGCAGGTTGGAGGTAACTGAAGCTGACAGTTCCACAAAGATTTCACCTTTCAATGAAATTCCAAATCCAAACTCACGAAATGCTCAAATATCCTGCACCCGTAACCTCTCTGTCATCACCAGTGCCGGAAGCTGCAGAGCAACCTTGCCAGGACCCAGGTGCTCCATCGTCCCACGGTTCTGCTCCGCTGTCTCCTAGTGAGTGGCTTGAGCAGGGGAGGCGGGAGGAGGGGCATCCAAGCTCTATAGGCTGCCCCCTCACCCTCTGCCCTTAACGCTTCACTGCTCCTCCCTGGCATCCAGCCCATCACTTCCAGCAAAGCAAAACAGAATGGAGGATGGCAGCCAAGCTACCCAGGCTGCCTCCAACCCTCCAAGTTTCATCCCCATCCACTTTCCCTGGGCTGACCACCATGAAAACCTCTTGAAGCTAAGGAGGGCGAACTGAAAATGGCTCCCGAATAGTAGCAGGTTATGTTCCCGCAGCTGCCCAAACAGGGCTTTCTCTTCAAGGCGGCTTCAGCTGCAATGCTAGTTAATACATAATTCAAAGTGGAAAGTGTGTGCCTTGACTACAGCAAGGCAGCTACCACCAAACAAAGTTATTCTTTCATAACTTTCCCCTCTTACTGACAAGCACTGTGTAATCAGGACCATTTCCAGGTGCTATGTTTGAAGAAGCAGGCTTAAGGACTTTCCTGTGCTGCCGTTAGAATGGTTCGATTTTAACTCCAGTCTCCCTCTCCTTTGATGGAAGAATCGTTTCATTTCAAATTAAGGGGCCTCTGCTCTGCTGGAGGCAAAGCGGTCAGCCCCTGCTAAGGGGCCAGGTTCTTTTATGCTGGCTTGAAGGTCAGGATTAGGAGGGGCACACTAGACCGATAACCGAATATCAAATCAGACCTGGAGATGCTTTTCTCAGAATCCTAAACAGAAAAAGCTCTTCCCAGCCATCTTTCTTTTCTCTCCCTCCCCTAGGTGAGTGTAGAAAAAAAAAAAAACCCAGAAGGCAATTTTCAACACTTATCTTTTTAGTGGAATATTGTGCAGCTACTAAAAAAACACGTTCATGAGGACAATGGAGGAATACTCCAGACACCTACGATGCAGTGTTAAGTAACGAACAGGAGACACAATCGTTATGTATGCATACCTGCATTTATGTTGTTGTTTTCTTTAAAATCGTATGAATTAGGCTGGGCGCGGTGGCTCACGCCTGTAATGCCAGCACTTTGGGAGGCTGAGGTGGGTGGATCATGAGGTCAGGAGATCGAGATCATCCGGGTCAACATGGTGAAACCCCACCTCTACTAAAAATACAAAAATTAGCTGGGCATGGTGGTGTGCACCTGTAGTCCCAGCTACTCGGGAGGCTGAGGCAGTAGAATCGCTTGAACCCGGGAGGCAGAGGTTGCAGTGAGCCGAGATTGCGCCACTGCACTCCAACCTGGCGACAGAGCAAGACACCATCTAAAAAAAAAATGAATTAAAGGCAGGTGAGAAGTTCACCCAAATATCAAGGTCAGGTTTGATCATTAAGATCAGGTTTGGCCGGGCGCGGTGGCTCACGCCTGTAATCCCAGCACTTTGGGAGGCCGAGGCGGGTAGATCACAAGGTCAGGAGATCGAGACCATCCTGGCTAACACGGTGAAACCCCGTCTCTACTAAAAATACAAAAAATTAGCTGGGCTAATTTTTTATTAGCCTGTATTCCCAGCTACTCAGGAGGCTGAGGCAGGAGAATGGCGTGAAGCCGGGAGGCGGAGCTTGCAGTGAGCCGAGATCGCGCCACTGCACTCCAGCCTGGGCGACAGGGCGAGACTCTGTCTTAAAAAGAAAAAAAAAAGATCAGGTTCAGGCTGGGCGCAGTGGCTCACACCTGTAATCCCACTTTGGGAGGCAGAGGCAGGCAGATCACCTGAGGTCGTAAGTTCGAGACCAGCCTGACCAACATGGAGAAACCCTGTCTCTACTAAAAATAAAAAATTAGCTGGGCATGGTGGTGCATGCCTGTAATCCCAGCTACTTGGGAGGCTGAGGCAGGAGAATCGCTTGAACCTGGGAGGCGGAGGTTGTGGTGAGCCGAGATTGTGCCACTGCACTCCAGTCTGGGCAACAAGAGTGAAACTAAAAAAAAAAAAAAAAAAAAAAAAAAATCAGGTTTGATAATATATTAATAGGTTTGATATTAAAATCAAGTGGTAGAACAATGGATTTTTTTTCTCTGAAATTTCTATTAATAAGTAAAACAATTTTGTAATAAAAAGGTATTTTAAGGCCAGGCACAGTGCCATGTGCATGTCGTCCCAGCTACTCAGGAGGCTGAAGTGGGAGGATTGCCTGAGTCCAGGAGTTTGAGACCAGCCTGGACAACACAGAGAGACCCCATGTTGTAAAAAAAAAAATGAAGATAAATTCTGAGTTCACAGGATTTCCTTTTTTTTTTTTGACACGGAGTCTTGCTCTGTCACCCAGGCTGGAGTGCAGTGGCGCCATTTCGGCTCACTGCAAACTCTGCCTCCCGGGTTCACGCCATTCTCCTGCCTCAGCCTCCTGAGTAGCTTGGACTACAGGTGCCTGCCACCATGCCCAGCTAATTTTTTGTATTTTTAGTAGAGACGGGGTTTCACTGTGGTCTCGATCTCCTGACCTCGTGATCCTCCCGCCTCGGCCTCCCAAAGTGCTGGGATTACAGGCATGAGCCACCGCGCCTGGCAGGATTTCCTTATAAGCCCGGGCAGGGTGGGGTGCAGTCTCTATCATACATGGATTCATGTGAAAAAGGTTTCACAACCTCAGTTTACAGTGAAAGCAGTAAATAAAGTGGGAGGGCCAGGATTTAGGATTAGTGGTAGCCAAAACCAGAGTGATTTCCTTTATGTAAATTCCTCCCACTGTTCCTTTGAGAGAATGTAGCAGGGAAAGGCGGAGTCTGCAGAGCTATGCCAGCTCTTTGGGCACCTTTGAGGGAATTATAAAAAGGCACATGGCTTGGCTGGCACACCCCAGCTGGGGCAGTCCACACTCACCTCCTCATTGAGGACCACAGTGGTCCTGGGCAAGAGGGGGAGGCACATGCTAAATACGGCTCTAGGATTCCCCTAGAAGGAGGCTTTTCCCTGAAGAAAGGATTTCCAAGCCTGGTGATGTCAGCAGCAATGTCCTCCCACCCAGGGAAGTCCCAGGGAGAGGTTCTCTCCTGTGCGCATTGTAAGCCTACTCCCACGCAAGTGTCTGCACCACACACATGTAGTTACGTGACACAAAATGGACACACAAGTGCACACTCCTTCCCAGAGTGGTGGAACACAATCCCTGTCTACACTTAAGGTAAGCTTGTTCCGAATTTGTTTGGCTCTTTTTTTTTTTTTGGAGAAAGAGTCTCGCTCTGTCACCCAGGCTGGAGTGCGATGGCCTGATCTTGGCTCGCTGCAACCTCTCCCTCCTGGGTTCAAGCAATTCTCTGCCTCAGCCTGCCACCATCCCTGGCTAACTTTTGTATTTTTAGTAGAGACGGGGTTTCACCATCTTGGCCAGGATGGTCTTGAACTCCTGACCTTGTGATCCACCTGCCTCGGCCTCCCAAAGTGCTAGGATTACAGGCATGAGCCACCACACCCGGCTTGTTTGGCTCTTGTTACAATAAAATCAACCATAATTCTTTTTTTTTTCTCAGTCTTGCTCTGTTGCCCAGGCTGGAGTGCAGTGGTGCAATCACGGCTCACTGCAGCCTCAACTTCTCGGGCTCAAGGGATCCTCCCACCTTAGCCTCCTAAATAGCTGGGACCACGTGCCACCATGCCCGGCTACTTTTTGTATTTTTTTGTAGAGATGGGGTTTCACCATGTTTCCCAGGCTGGTCTCGAACTCCTGGGATCAAGCGATCTTCCCACCTCAGATTAGGCTGGGCGCAGTGGCTCACACCTGTAATCCCAGCACTTTGGGAGGCTGAGGTGGGCGGATCACGAGGTCAGGAGATTGAGCCCATCCTGGCTAACATGATAAAACCCCATCTCTACTAAAAATACAAAAAATCAGCTGGGCGTGGTGGTGCTTGCCTGTAGTCTCAGTTACTCGGGAGGCTGAGGCAGGATAATCACTTGAACCCGGGAGGCGGAGGTTGGAGTGAGCCGAGATGGCGCCACTGCACTCTAACCTGGGTGACAGAGCGACACTCCGTCTCCAAAAAAAAAAAAAAAAAAAAATTGGTGTTGGGATTACAGGTGTGAGCCACCAAGCCTGGCCCCACAATTCTTTTTTTTTTTTTTTTTTTTTTTTTTTTTTGAGACAGAGTCTCCCTCTGTCATCCAGACTGGAATGCATGGTGTGATCTTTGCTCACGGCAACCTCCGCCTCCCGGATTCAAGCAATTCTCCTGCCTCAGCCTCCCAAGTAGCTGGGACTAGAGGCGTGTGCCACCACACCTGGCTAATTGTCAAAAAATATTTTTAGTAGAGACAGGGTTTCACCACATTGGCCAGACTGGTCTCAAACTCCTGACCTCAAGTGATCCACCTGCCTCACCTCCAAAGTGCTGGGATTACAGGCGTGAGCCACCGTGCCCAGCCATGTCCCCACAATTCTTTTTTTTTTTTTTTTTTTTGAGACGGAGTCTGACTCCGTCGCCCAGGCTGGAGTGCAGTGGCATGATCTCTGCTCACTGCAGTCTCGGCCTCTTAGGTTCAAGCGATTCTCCTGCCTCAGCCTCCTGAGTAGCTGGGATTACAGGCACGCACCAGTGTGCCCGGCTAATTTTTTGTATTTTTAGTAGAGATGAGATTTCACCATGTTGGTCAGGCTGGTCTCAAACTCCTGACCTCAAGTGATCCACCTGCCTCAGCCTCCAAAGTGCTGGGATTACAGGCGTAAGCCACCGCGCCCAGCCATGGCCCCACAATTCTTAATTGTGCTGGCACTTCTGCTTTGTCTTCTTTCTTGATGAAAGACATCATTAGTCACTGTCACACAGGAGGTCCAAAGTTAGACCCTTTATAAAAGCAGTTAGAGCGAAGCTGAGGGTAGGGGCCATTCCCATCGGTGCCTTTGTTGGAGGGGACCCCCTGCCAAAATATGTCCTACTTGCAGCAGTTAATTTTTTTTTTTTGGCTAGGACCCCCACTCCCTGATTTTCTTTTCTCATCAGATAAGCCAATGTAGTGATTCCCATGTCTGGCAGGGTGTTGCACAGTAGACTTTGAAAACCTGTAGAGCTTTTAAAAATCATGAATGCCTGGAACCCATCCCAGATCAATTTAATCAGAATCACTGGGGGTGGACCCCAGGCTTGATTAAAAAAAAAAAAAATTCCCCAGGCAATTCTATTCTGCATCCAGGGTTGAGAACACAGCCCGAGGGTTCTCCTCAGCGGAGACTTACAAGTGCATTTCTGGCACCGAGAGGCCAGTCAAGAGCCAGCCAGTCAGGCGGTGAGCTCTAGAGCACGTAAGAAGAGTGTCTGTCCATTTTCCTCCAGCACCAGGCCTGCCACGGTGTTGGCACCTGTTTAATTTACTAACCTTAAAAACTTCACAATGGGCTGGGTGCAGTGGCTCAAGCCTGTAATCCCAGCACTTTGAGGGATTGAGGCTGGTGGATCACTTGAGGCCAGGAGTTCAAGACCAGCCTGGCCAACATGGCGAAACCCTCTCTCTACTAAAAATACAAAAAAAATTAGCCAGGTGTGGTGACGCGTGCCTGTAATCCCAACTACTTGGGAGGCTGAGGCACAAGAATCCCTTGAACCTGGGAGGCAGAGGTTGCAGTGAGCTGAGATTGTGTTACTGCACTCCAGCCTGGGTGACAGAGCGAACACTGTCTCAAAAAAAAAAAAAAAAAAAAGTTAACAATGGACTAGTGAGCTGTCAAGCCAGAAGGAACAAAATAAAAGAAGGAAGGATGTGGATTTGAGCTGGAAATTAGGAAGGAGAGCCGGGGAGAAACAGAGGAACAGGATCAGATGGACGAGATGAGTCCCCAGGTCTCTCCGATACACCTGGAATTAGATTTCAACAACCGTTTTGTTCACTCAGTTTGCTGTCTGCCTTTTTCCAGAACTGGGAAAAACCCAGCCAGCCCTTGTCTGTAGGAGGACAGAACTGTCAAAACAACTTGGATTCACTTTGTTTTCTAAAGGACAGAACTTCTGCACTGTGGGGATTTCCCCACCCAAAGGATGGGGAAGGATAGTCTCTAGAGACTCATGAGGGGTCTGAGCTGCTCTCTTTTGGGGAATGGAGTCCCCATTACTCTGTCTATCACACCGCCCTGGTCTTGTCCACAGAGAAAGACACACAACTTAGCACCTGTCCTTTGAAATCTTGGAACAGCAAAAACCTCAGGTCTCTGAAACATTAGCATTCCCATTCGCTTCTCTTCATAGACAGCCTATTTTCAGGCTGGCCTTTCTCTAGGATTAACATGGTCGCCAAGTTTTGAAGTTTTGAAGGTGGTGTGTGGTCCAGTGAAGGTGTGTGTGTGTGGTGGGGGTGGCTCTAGAGACTCTGGGAGTGCAGAGCAGGCTGCTTTGTTCTCCCCAGCGCCAGGTGGCTACCTGTGTGTGTGATAATACATTAGAAAAACCCCACCCAGGAGCTCTCCTGAGCTGCCTCCTGCTCTTAAGGTAGACAGTAAAGACGAAATCTGACATCATTTAATAAACCACTTAAAGGCCCAGTAGCTTTCCTAGTTCCCCAGAAGAGGTGCTCCTGTGCTCCGGCACCACACCCACTCTGCAAACCACTCTCTCCTGAAATCAGCAGCTCCTGCCCTCAGCCTCCTGCAGCTCTGTGCTGGAGTTAGGGGCTGGCCAACTGACTGATTTTTTATTTGCAATAATTGACCTCTCTGGACCTTATTTTTCCCTTCTTCAAAGAGGGCCATTAACCCAGCTTCTTTTTCCTCTCTCAAGGAATGGTATGGGAATAGAGCTATTAATGTATTTATGCTTTGAGCTTCTTGCAAGGAATAACTGTTAAAAATGATACACTGTAGGCCGGGCGCAGTGGCTTATGCCTGTAATCCTAGCACTTTGGGAGGCTGAGGTGGGCGGATCACCTGAGGTCGGGAGTTCGAGACCAGCCTGACCAACATGGAGAAACCCCGTCTCTACTAAAAATACAAAATTAGCCGGGTGTGGTGGCACATGTCTGTAATCCCAGCTACTCGGGAGGCAGAGGCAGGAGAAATGCCTGAACCCGGGAGGTGGAGGTTGCGGTGAGCCGAGATCATGTCATTGCACTCCAGCCTGGACAACAAGAGTGGAACTCCGTCTCAAAAAAAAAAAAAAAAAAAAAAAAGATACACTGTAGGCTGGGCTCAGTGGCTCATGCCTATAATCCCAGTACTTTGGGAGGTCAAGGTGAACTGATCTCTTGAGGTCGGAAGTTCAAGACCAGCCTGGCCAACATGGTGAAACCCCATCTCTACTAAAAAATACAAAAAGTAGCTGTGTGTGGTGGCATGCGCCTGTAATCCCAGCTACTCAGGAGGCTGAGGCAGGAGAATCGCTTGAACTCGGGAGGTGGAGATTGCAGGTGAGCCGAGATTGCGCCACTGCACTCCAGCCTGAGTGACAGAGACCCTGTCTCAAAAAACAAAACAAAAAACAAACAAAAATGATACAATGTTATTCTGAGAATGGTATCTGAAAATTGAAGCCCTGCTTATAGGAAATGGATGGGAAAGCAACAATCTTCAAAGAAGACATTTCTGGAGTTCATGGGAAGACTTGCTACATTTTCTATGTTGCACATTTGCCACATGGCTTTCTGCCTCCTCTGCTCCCAGGAAGGCAGTCTTAGATGTTTACTATCTTGGCCACTCTACAAAAGAAGCCTTTCCATAAGCAATTTACCAAAGCTGCCAAAGTGCAGGAGCAGGTGGGCTGCGGAGCTTTCACACACCTCCTCCCAGCTTCTGGGCAAACTACAAGGTCAAACTCAAGAGGTATAACAAATTTTGGTGTCTGAGGTTGTTTCTGTGGTTGTTTTCCCAGAGATTATTTTGCTATGTTGCCCAGGCTGGCCTCAAACTCCTGGGCTCAAATGATCCTTCTGCCAAGACCTCCTGAGTAGCTAGGATTACAAACCACCGTGCCTGGCTTGAGGTTGGGTTTTGATGTACTAGGACACTCTTTTGAGGCTATTTGGGTTAAAGCTTAAGTTGACATAGGTGTTCCATTTAAACAAGCAGGGAATCACTTTTTTTTTTTTTTTTTTTTGAGACGGAGTTGCACTCTGTCACCCAGGCTGGAGTGCAGTGGCACGATCTTGGCTCACTGCAACCTCTGCCTCCTGGGCTAGTGATTCTCCTGCCTCAGCCTCCCGAGTAGCTGGGGCTACTGATGCATACCACCACACCTCGCTAATTTTTACATTTTTAGTAGAGACGGTGTTTCACTATGTTGGCCAGGCTGGTCTTGAGCTCCAGATCTCAAGAGATCCACCTGCCTCGGCCTCCCAAAATGCTGGGATTACAGGTGTGACCACCACGTGGGAACCACTTTCTTTATCCACACTTATACTAAGAACAGATTTTAACAATTTGGAAATACAGTATCTATGTATCGGTAGCAGCAAGCACGGTGGGAAAAAGCACAGCCTTTGGAGCCAGACTGCTTGGGTCCAGTACTGGTTTGGCTGCTTCTTACTGGCTATGTAATCTGAGGCAATTAGCCTCGTGTGTGCCTCAGTTTTCCTATCTGTAGAACAGGGTCATAGTAAGACCTATCTCACAGGCCCAGTGTGAGGGCTAACGGGATTAATATGTGTTAAGTACACAGAAGGGCATAATAAGCTTTTTAGTGTTAACTGTAACTGTGATCTTGACATACAGTGATGCAGAGGTACAACCATTCAACCTGGGCTTTCCAGATGAACCCGTACTTTAAGGGGCCATCAGACCTTATGTCCTGAATCTGGTTTGGGAAATATAGTCATTATTCTAGGGCCATTCCAAACCCCATGAGAAGGCATACCCTATACACCAAGGGCAGAGTCTCAGAGATGAGAAACCTCTTTTAAATAGACCTGCAGGGGCTCAAGATTTCTCTCCCGGATGACTATGTATAAGCCACGAACTAGTAATTATAAGCCACTAATTAGTATTTGCACCTGGGACACGGCTGCTGGTGGGTGTAACTTGCAAAGCATATTAGCGTGTCCCTGTTGTTGGTTTTGGTACACAGAAAACTCCAGCCCTGAAGGCTTCCTAGTCCTGAATTATTTAGAGAATGGTATCAACACTGCTTTGAGACTGAACTTGCATTTCATGGGTGTTAAAGCAAAGTCAGCTGAGGGTGGGGGAATGTAGATTGGTACAAACTTTTGGGGGGACATTTGGTACTAACATTTGAAATGGTTATACGCTTTTGATCTGGCACTCCAACCTTTTAAGACCTATTGCATAGAAACGTTTCGGTATGCAAAGTTATGTCTGAGAATCATTGAAAAACCATTGGAAATTAGAAACAAGTCAATGGAACCATCAATAAACAAATGATTAAGCTGCAGTTTACCCAAACAATGGAAGCCATGCCATCATCACAAAGGAAGAGATCTGTGAGTACTGATATGAGTGTCTCCAAGGTATATGACTCAGAAAAAATGATGCGGGGCACTATTTGGGGTAATAAAATATGGTAATAAATAAAGATCTAGAGGGATTTTGCACCAGTTGTCAGTGGTAATCTTGGGCAGGAGTTGAGGTGAGATCGTGGGAATTTTTCTTTCTTTGGAAATACGGTATCTCTTGGGCAGCAGCAATGCACAGTGTAAAAAGCACAGCCTTTGGAGAAAGACTACCTGGGTCCAAATACTGGTTTGGCTACTCCTTACTGGTCATGTAATCTGGGCAAGTAATTTGCCTCTTGTGTGCCTCAGTTTTCCCATCTGTAGTCATAGTAAGACCTATCTCAGAGTGTGAGGGTCAAGGGAATTAATATGTATCGTGCTGGGCACAGTGGTTCACACCTGTAATCCCAGCACTTTGGGAGGCCGAGGCAGGTGGATCTTTTGAGCCCAGGAGTTTGAGACCAGACTGGGCAACATGGCGAAACCCTGTCTCTACTTTTTAAAAAATACGAAAATTAGCCAGGCGTGGTAGCACGCCCCTGTAGTCCCAGCTACTCGGGAGGCTGAGGCAGGAGAATTGCTTGAACCCGGGAGGTAGAGGTTGCTGTGAACCGAGATTGCACCACTGCACTCCAGCCTGGACAACAGAGCAAGACTCCGTCTAAAAAAAAAAATTAGCTCAGTGTGGTGGTGCACGTCTGTAGTTTCAGCTACTCAGGAGGCTGAGGTGGGAGGATCACCTGAGCCTGAGAAATAGAGATTTCAGTGAGCTGTGATTGTGCCACTGCACTCCAGCCTGGGTGACAGAGAGAGACTGTCTCCAAAAAAAAAGTGCCAAGTGCACATATTACAAACTACAGATACATTAAACTTGTTCTAAGTCACATCACGTATCATCTGAAAATGTACACAAATACGCACAGCAGCCAGGCATTGTACCTGCGGGCTGTACCACTCCTCAGACTGGAGGGCAGAGGGCCAGCACGGGGGAGGTGGTAGGCAGCGCCGACCATGTGTCAGTGGAGCACAAACGCCTTCTTGGTGGGCCCCACGTGTTGGGATTCATGTGTATATGTGAGTACCTGAGTTTGCATCTCAAACTCTACTCTGCTTGAAAGGCTTGTACTTCTGTACTCACTTTGTGGGAAGAAGCTCCATTGTATTCAACAGATGTTCAAAACATTTCATGGAGGGTCTTCCGATGTAGTAAACAGGCTCCTGGCTGCGACCCAGCAGACTTGGAGCCAAATCCCACCAAGGGAGGATGTCAAGAGCCTGCCTCCCTGTTCTTCAAGATTGTTGTGAGAATCAGACAAGCTTATGGATGGAAAATGACTTTCCAAAATAAAGGAAATGCAAACACTGATCTTGCAACACTGTGTTACAAAGAACCGCAGAGGGCACTCTGGAGGAGGGGCACAAAAACTGAGGCCTGGTAGCGTGGAGCTACGGACTCCCTATGAAGAACTGGGGAGGACAACAGGGGATGACCTCCCTAATGATGTTTCAGCTTTCCAGGGCCGAAGGTGGGGTCTGCATTCCCCTCTCACCTTGCCAGCCTGTGCAGAGGGCGCTGAGCACAGCCCTGAGCTCTGCCTGCAGGAAAGAGGCAGCACCGGGTATTGTAAGGAGCAACACAGGTTCCCAACCCCCAAGCGGTGATTCAGTTCCAACAGAGTGGAGCATGGCAGGCAGAGGTGCCGCGCACTGCAGTGTGGCTGCTGCATGTGACTGCAGCATGTCTGTAGCTGCAGAGCTTGCTGAGGACACAGCCAGGCCCTCTGAGGTCAAAGCTGCTGCTGGGGGAAGGGGCGTATTGGGGAAGAAGACCCCTCATAGTCAGGGAAATGTGGCACCTCTCACAGCTCCGGTTTCTGACTCTCTCCCTTTGCCACAGAAATTCTGGCCGAGATTTTAGATTTCTGTGCAAAGACTGCAGAAGCTTATCTGGTTTTGCACAGGTCAGATGACTCATCTCTCGACTTATCAATTGATCCACTTTCACATGTTGTAGCCAGCCCTCCAATGCGGCAAACAGTTGGGTGAGAGGCACAGTCAGGTGGCAGGCAGCACTTCATTCAGTCACCCTCGCAGACAAAGAGACAAAACAGGTGGATGGACCCAGGGTAGATCAACACGCTTGCTCTCCTTTTTGAGCCAAAGAGGAGAAACTGCTGCTACCAGAGAAGAGGAGCTGAAACAACAGAGCCACCGAGGCCAAGTTGGGGGGTGGCATGAAAAGGGCTGGGGATCACTGCTTCCTTTTTATGGAGGGGAAAAAACTGGCTGGGTATGGTTATATGCATTTCTTTTATTTTTTCCATTTTGGGGACAGGGTCTCACTCTGCTGCCCAGGCTGGAGTGCAGAGGTGCAGTCACAGCTCACTGCTGCCTCAAACTCCTGGACACAAGCGATCCTCTTACTTCAGCACCCCTTCCTCCTGAGACCTGCTCTTACCTCTGGGCCTTGGCACTTGCTGTTCCCATTACCTGGAACACTCTTTCCCCATTATTTTAGTGCTCATTAATTCACCTGATCGTTATTCAAATAGCAACTTCTCAGCGAGGCTACCTCTGAACAACAAATCTCAACTTACTGTTCCCACGCTCCTCCCTCCTGACTTTATTTTCTCCATAGCATCTCTCACCACTTTACTTTTTTTTCTTGTCTTTTCTTTTTTTTTTTTTTTTTGAGATGGAGTCTTGCTCTTCATCCAGGCTGGAGGGCAGTAGCACAGTCTCACTCACTGCAACCTCTGCCTCCTGGGTTTAAGTGATTCTCCCGCCTCAGCCTCCTGAGCAGCTGGGATTACAGGCGCGCCCAACCACACCTGCCTAATTTTTGTATTTTTAGTAGAGACAGGGTTTCGCCATGTTGGCCAGGCTGGTCTCAAACTCCTGACCTCAGGTGATCCGCCTGCCTCAGCCTCCCAAATTGCTGGGATTACAGGTGTGAGCCACTGTGCCCGGCCCCACTTGACATTGTTTATCTTATTTGTTATCTGTCTCCCTCCACTGCCTCATAAACTCTCCCCGAGGGTAAGAGTTCTGTTTTGTTCACTGTTGTGTTCTCAGGGCCCAGTGCAGCATCTGGTACGTAATAGGTGCTCGATAAATCGTTGTCGTTGCTTGTGGTTTGCTTTCCTACACCCCAGTCCCTGGCACACTGGCTCTTACATGTGGATGAGCAGGCAGAGCCATAGGAAAGCAAAGAAGTGGAGGAGAGGGGTGAACAAACGAAGCAAGGGCCGGGTGCAGTAGCTCATGCCTGTAATCCCAGCACTTTGGGAGGCCGAGGCGGGCAGAACACCTGAGGTCAGGAGTTGGAGACCAGCCTGGCTAACATGGCGAAACCCTGTCTCTACTAAAAATACAAAAAAATAGTTGGGCGTGGTGGCAGATGCCTGTAATCCCAGCTACTTGGGAGGCTAAGGCAGGAGAATTGCTTGAACCTGGGAGGCGGATGCTGCAGTGAGCCAAGATCGCACCATTGCACTCCAGCCAGGGCAACAGAGCAAAACTCTGTCTCAAAAAAAAAAAAAAAAAAAAAAAAGCCGGGTGCGGTGGCTCATGCCTGTCATCCCAGCACTTTGGGAGGCCAAGGCAGGTGGATCATGAGGTCAGGAGTTCAAGACCAGCCTGGCCAAGAAGGTGAAACCCTGTCTCTACTAAAAATACAAAAAGAAAAAAAAAAGCAACAACAAAGCAAGGGACGTGGAAGAGGAGATTGGGAAATATGGGAAATTATGAGTGTGGAGAGATGATAAGGAGCAAAGCAAAAGTTAAGAGATTTCTGATTAAATAACAGAGAACTTGGAGAAGGGCAAGTTTGTGCCAAGGAGGAAGAAAAACAAAGCAGAGAGGGGAAACTCTCCAGAATGTTCAGGAAGTCTAACCTGAAAAAGCAGTTGAAGCTTGGGCAGAAGCCTGGGGTTTGGCTGTAGCCACAAGTGGGGCCTCTGCATGTCTCCTGTGGCTGAGCCATCCCCTGTAGAGCAAGGGGGTGGTGGATGGCGGGCCTGGGAAGAGGAGGAAGAGCCTAGAAGGGGAAAAAGGAGAGGAGGCAGCACGGGACCAAGCACAAGGCTGAGTGAGTGCCACAGAGGAATCTAGGAGAAAGGCTGCTGGGTGGTGGAGGACGCCGAAGGTGAGGGGCCAGCAGAGCCTCAGCAAGCCAGGTGGAGGCGGCAGCAGAAGGGGCGGTGGGAGGTGGGAAGGTGGTCTCTGAGGGAGAAGAGCAGGGTGGGGATGGGAGGCAAGACACACCTCACAGGGTCCATGTAGGGAAGTGTCACTTTTGTTCCCGTGTATTTCGTTTAAGTTTTTGTGCTTTTATTTATCTTCTGGGACAGAGTTTCGCTCTTGTTGCCCAGGCTGGAGTGCAATGGCGCAATCTCGGCTCACCACAATCTCTGCTTCCCAGGTTCAAGCGATTCTCCCGCCTCAGCCTCCTGAGTAGCTGGGATTACAGGCATGCGCCACCACACCCAGCTAATTTTGTATTTTTAGTAGAGACGGGGTTTCTCCATGTTGGTCAGGCTGGTCTCGAACTCCCGACCTCAGGTGATCTGCCCACTTCGGCCTCCCAAAGTGTTGGGATTACAGGCGTAAGCCACTGTGCCCGGCCGTTTTTGTGCTTTTATTATCCTAAAGTTTTAACATTCTTTCCCAAGGACTATCATTCATACACACACACACACACACACACACACACACACACACACACATAATATAGAAAATCTGAAAATTTTTAATAATTTGGTCATGTTTAAGAGGATTACATTAGGGCCCAGTGTGGGGGCTCACACCTATAAACCCAGTGCTTTGGAAGGCTAATGTGGGAGGACTGCTTGAGGCCAGCAGTTCAAGACCAGCCTGGGCAACATAGCAAGACCCTGTCTCTACAAAAAAAAATTAGCCAGGTGCAATAGTGCACACCTGTGGTCCCAGCTACTTGGGATGCTAAGGTGGGTGGATTGCTCGAGCCCAGGAGGTCAAGGCTGCAGTGAGGTATGATTATGCCACTTCACTCCAGCCTGGGTGACAAAGTGAGACCCTGTCTGTTAAAAAGAAAAAAAAATTGGCCAGGCATGGTAGCTCATGCCTGTAATCCCAACACTTTAGGAAACCGAGTAAGGAGGATTGCTTGAGCCTAGGAGTTTGAGACAAGCCTGGGCAACATAGCGAGACCTCATCTCTGCTAAAATTTTAAAAATTAGCCAGGCATGGTGGTGCACACCTGTGATCCCAGCTACTCGGGGGTGCTGAGGTGGGAGAATTCCTTGAGCCCAGGAGGTCAAGGCTGCAGTGAGCCATGACTGCACTACTCCATACCAGCTTGGGCAACAGAGCAAAACTGTCTTAAAATAAAGGTCAGGCACGGTGGCTCATGCCTGTAATCCCAGCACTTTGGGAGGCCAAGTTGGGCAGATCACCTGAGGCCAGGAGTTCAAGATCAGCCTGGCCAATATGGAGAAACCCTGTCTCTACTAAAAAACACAAAAATTAGCCAGGCATGGTGGTGCGCACCTGTGGTTCCAGCTACTTGGGAGGCTGATGCTTGAGCCTAGGAGTTGGAGGTTGCAGTGAGCCAAGGTTGTGCCAATGCACTCCTGCCTGGGTGACACAGTGAGACTCTGTCTCAAAAAAAAAAAAAAGAAAGAAAGAAGAAATAGATCAATAAAGAGCTAGGCATAATGGCACATACCTGTAATCCCAGGTACTCAGGAGGCTGAGGGGGGAGGACTGCTTGAGTCCAGAAGTTGAGAATAGCCTGGGCAACGTAGTGAGACCCCACCTCAAAAAAAATCAATAAAGAACAGATGTTTTCAGCCACTTGCCAAATAGTTCAAATTAAGAGGTGATCTATAAATAGAGATAAAGGTACTAGGATGCTTCATGAGGCACTCGAGGATTTTGGACTAGATAGTGTCTTAGACTAATCAAGGTGGTCAATCAGGATCTGTCCTCAGAACTGGAATGCGGTTAATGCAAATGAAGTTGTAAGTAAAATGGATTGTGCAACACATTCGATCTGCTGGTCTGAAGTGGGTTGCGTGGAGTCTAGTTAAAGGAAGGCCAAGAAACAAGCATTTTTATTGTACATCCAGCTGGCCCAAAGGAGATTCTTCTTAGATTTGAAAGCCACAATGCCCATTTTCTAGACATCCTTGATTTGGAGAATAGAAATTAATCCAGCTACACTAGCTGAATGGAAATATTCCTTAAACACACCTAGCTAGATTTGTTCTAACTCTCTGCTCACTAAGCTCACTTGTGATCCTGTTCATAAGATGGCCTCTTTAAAGGGATGCCACCAAGGAAGATCTGACTCAGAACCATGTCTGTGATCTGGCCAGAGAGAAATATCCTGTTGTTAACTAGCAAATAGCCATGTTTGTGTATAGATCCTTCAGTCACTCGAGCTTTTGGAAACTGCGTTTTGGTTCCTGTGGATCTAGTCACCCCAGAGAGCGTGATAAAATCCTGTGATAAAATTCTGTACCTAGCCCTGCAAAGCTGAGGACTGATCAAGCATCTCTGGGTTGGCCTCATCAAGGTGTTGACAACAGAGAGGGCTAATATGAAGCAGCCAGCCAGTATCTCCTTTCTGTTATCTCTTTTAGCTGCAATCAAAATGCAGCGGCCAAAACATATAAAGAAATAAAGTGGAGACCACAGTGCTATATCTGAAATTGTTTCAACAGCCCTGGCATTAGGCCACCAGCATGCATTCTTTCCAGCCTGCATTCAGTGTGAACCCATTGTCTAGGCATTCATCTTTCTGAAGGAGCAGAGGACAGAAGGCAGGATGTAAACTCTCTGGATGCTCGTGGTTCTTTTCTCCTGATAATCAGGGCAACTCTCTGCAAACAGCAGCAGGAGTGAAGAAGAATGGCCTGGGAGGATAAATACAGGGCTTACCCTTCTTCTCTGGAAGAGTCAACCAGCTTGATTGTCCTTTCTGGGCATCAGAGCCTCTTCAACTCCACAGTTTTCCATCTCGACACCAGAGGACCAGATTTAGCCCTGTTCTTTCCATCCAAGATAACTTTATTCCATTTTGCATTATTTGATAACTATTTCCTTCCCCTCCCCACCTCCAACTGCATCTCCTACTCTGAAATGCCTCTTGAGCAGCCAAGGGTGGCCAGTTCTGCTCCTCATTTTCCTGAAGAAGAATCTCAGCCTGAAAGAATATAGAGCTAGGTGACATATGGGTGGCCAACCGCTTCTCCTCAAGTTCCAAGAGAGTGGGCAATTAGTGAAATTCCATCAGTCATGTTAAAATATACTTTCACCAGGTAGACATCCTTCTTTCAATGCTAGAGGACAGTGAAAAATGTAGATTAATGAGATCTGTAACTGTCTTCTCTTAACTGTACACCCCTCAGGCTGAACGCGGGAGTGCTGAACACATGCCCTCGGAAGGGACCCTGAAGACCCAAGTGACCTGCACCATAAAACCACCCCGAGGGTCAGCCATGCTGCCAGCACTCAAGAGGCAGCAGGGCCACCTGCTGGAAGACCTGGGCACGGCTCTGGGTGCCTGGCCCTGCCTGCCTCCTCCACGTCCTTGGAGCCAGGTCTACGGCAGGACCATGATCTTCTTCTCCAGCTTCTGTGGAGGGAACAGGAAGTTTTTCATGATGTCATCCAGCTCTTCTAGGGCCAACTGGGCATGGAGCTTGGCCACGTCATCGGGCTCCAGACACACTACGTGCTTCAGCAGGTGGTAGAGATCCTTGAGGACGGCGCTCAGCACCTGCATGAGAGAGACAGCCATGACCGCCTGTCTACTGTGCCGGCATTTCTCAGTACGACTGAACTGCCCTCTCCTCCTGCCTGAGGAGATCTGTGAGGACATCCACAGACTTCCTGAAGATAATGTGGCTGGGTGCAGTGGCTCATGCCTGTAATCCGCACTTTGGGAGGCCAAGGCAGGCAAATCACTTGAGTCCAGGAGTTTGAGACCAGCGTGGGCAACGTGGCAAAACCCCATCTCTACAAAATATACAAAAATCAGCCGGGTGTGGTGGCGCATGCCTGTAGTCCCAGCTACTGAGGAGGCTGGGGTTGGGAGGATCATCTGAGCCTGGGAGGTCAAGGCTAAAGTGAGCCATGACGGTGCAGAAAAAAAAAAAAAAAAAAAAAGAAGATAATGCATGGCCATCTTGGGTTGGAGAAGGAGGCAGGGGTGGCGCTAGCCCTCGTACTGAGATAGGTTTCCCATTGTGTTTCTCACTCACCCCATGCCTAGCTACATGGCCTTGGGGCTTCTGCTCCCCTTTACTCCCAGGCCAAATCATAGTTCCCAGACTCCTTTATTCAGTCCCAAAGCATGGCAGAGACCTCAGGACCACAGACAGGCAAGACTGCCCAGATATGGTTGCTCCCAGAGCAAATGATTACCAGCATTTTCCTCCCCAGATCCCCATAAAGCCCTCTGCTGGCACCCACAGTACGGGCAATTATCTTATGAAACCCAGGAGGCTTTTTTTTTTTTGAGACGGAGTCTCACTCTGTTGCCAGGCTGGAGTGCAGTTGCACAATCTCGGCTCACTGTAACCTCTGCCTCCAGGGTTCAAGCAATTCTCCTGCCTCAGCCTCCTGAGTAGCTGGGACTACAGGTGCGCACCACCACGCCCAGCTAATTTTTGTATTTTTAGTAGAGACAGGGTTTCACCTTGTTGGCCATGATGGTCTCAATCTCTTGACCTTGTGATCTGCCTGCCTCGGCCTCCCAAAGTATTGCTATTACAGGCATGAGCCACCCCGCCTGGCCTAGGAGGCTATTTCTTGAGCAGTCATACCTTTCCTTGCCCCTACTTTAAAAATCTGTCACCAGGCCGGTGCGGTGGCTCATGCCTGTAATCCCAGCACTTTGAGAGGCCAAAATGGGCAGATTACTTGAGATCAGGAGTTAGTGACCAGCCTGGCCAACATGGTGAAACCCTGTCTCTACCAAAAATACAAAAATTTGCCATTTGTAGTCCCAGCACTTTGGAAGGCCGAGGCAGGCAGATCACAAGGTCAGGATAGTTTAAGACCAGCCTGGCCAACACAGTGAAACCTTGTTTCTGCTAAAAATATAAAAAATTAGCTGGGCGTGGTGGCAGGCACCTGTAATCCCAGCTACTTGGGAGGATGAGGCAGGAGAATCACTTGAACCCAGGAGGCGGAGGTTGCAGTGAGCCCAGTGAGCCGAGATGGCGCCACTGAACTCCAGCCTGGGTGACAGAGCTAGACTCCATCTTAAAAAAGTGGCACACGCCTATAATCTCAGCTACTCAGAGGGCGAGGCTGGAGAATCACTTGAACCCAGGAGGCGGAGGTTGCAGTGAGCCGAGATCGAGCCACTGCACTCCAGCCTGGGCAACAGAGTGAGTGAGACTCTGTCTCAAAAAAAAAAAAAAAGTCTGCTACTACAGTTTCCATTTTTCATGACCAATGCTCCGATTTTATGGTCTGATATGGAATTGGGAGGGTGTCAAAAGTACCTACTCACAGGAGCTCCTACTTCCCTAAAAAATCCTCCTGGCTTGGGAGCTAGAACTTCTAGCAAGAAACAGGTTTCAACGGAACAGGGAAACAAAAATAAGGGAACTGAGGCCGGGTGTGGTGGCTCAGGCCTGTAATCCCAGCACTTGGGAGGCCAAGGTAGGTGGATCATTTGAGGTCAGGAGTTTGAGTCCAGCCTGGCCAACAAGGTGAAACCCCATCTCTACTAAAAATAAAAATTAGCAGGTGTGGTGGCACGCACCTGTAATCCCAGCTGCTGGGGAGGCGGAGGTTGCAGTGAGCCAAGATCATGCCACTGCACTCCAGCCTGGGCAACAGAGTGAGACTCCACCTCAAAAAATAAAATTAAAAAAAAAAAGTAAGGAGATTTAGGGACCAACTCGTCCAACTAGGTACAGGAGGCAATTGGGCCACAGGGGGTCATGTGACTTGTCTGCAGCTACTTGTAAAGTTACTTCTGGTCCAGGGCTTTTTGCCTCAAATACTACTACTTTTTGGGTCAGGTACTATTTTAGGTACTTTCTATATATGATCTAATTTTTCTGCCAGTCCTATAGAGGAAGGTTATTTTTACTTATTTATTTATTTTTGGGACGGAATTGTGCTCTGTCGCTCAGGCTGGAGTGCAGTGGCGCACTCTTGGCTCACTGCAAGCTCCGCCTCCTGGGTTCACACCATTCTCCTGCCTTAGCCTCCCGAGTAGCTGGGACTACAGGTGCCCACCACCACGCCTGGCTAATTTTTTGTATTTTTAGTAGAGACAGGGTTTCACCGTGTTAGCCAGGATGGTCTCGATCTCCTGACCTCATGATCTGCCCGCCTCGGCCTCCCAAAGTGCTGGGATTATAGGCGTGAGCCACCGCGCCCGGCCTAGAGGAAGGTTATTAGCCCCATCTTATATTTGCAGAAACAGAGGGTTAGAGGGTTGAGGTTACTCAGCTAAAAAAATGATGGAGCCAGGTTTCCAACATCCAGAGCCTGTGTTCTTATTTTTTATTTTTATTGAAAAGATAATACAGTACAAAAGAGTACATATTAAAAGGTAAGGCTCTGTTCTACTCCAGACTCCTAGCTGTTTCCCTTCTCAGAGGACATCATTCATATGAAGACATTTTCTAAGTGTTTACAAGCACACATGTGTATATTTCTGTTTCTTGTCCCCTCTCCCCCAGTTTTTTTAGACAGGGTCTCACTCTGTTGTCCAGGCTAAAGTACAGTAGTGCAATCATAGCTCACTGCAGCCTCAATCTCCTGGGCTCCAGCAATCCTCCATCTCAGCCTCCCAAGTTAGCTGGGACTACAGGCATACACCACCATGCTTGGCATTTTTATTTTTTTGCTATGTTGCCCAGGCTGGTCTTGAAATCCTGGGCTCAAGCAACCCTCCCACCTCAGAGGTAGGGATTACAGGCATGAGCCACCAAGCCCAGCCTTCCCTTACCTTTTTAAAGTACAAAATTATATTCTACGCTCTGTTGTGTACCATATTTTTTCCCCCACTTAACATGTTTTGTAGATCCTTTGTATAATTGGCACATATGGAAATAACTTATTTTTTATAGCTGCAGAGGATGAATGTAATGCAATTTATTTAACCATCTTTCCAATGAAAGTAATTTAAATTCTTTTTATCTTTTGCTATTGCAAATATTGCTGCAATAAACATTTTTTTGAAGATGGGGTCCTGCTATATTGCGCAGGCTGGTCTTGAACTCCTGGCCTCAAGTGATTCTCCCACCTCAGCCTCCTGAGTAGTCAAGATTAGAGGCATAAGCCACTGTGCCCAGTGCAATATGCATTCTGATACTTAGGTCATTACAGACATGTACAAGTATATCTGTAGGACAAATATCTAGAAATGGAATTTCTGGCTCAAAGGGTAATGCGCATTACAATTTTGATAGATATGGCCAGAGAGGTTCCAAGAATTTACATTTTCCTCAAACACTGTGAAAATTCCTGTTTCCCCATATTCTTATCAGTGCCATGTATTGTAAACTCCTTATTTTTGCTAATCCAGTAGAAAAAAATAGCATTTTGCTGTTATGAATTTGCATACTTCCAACAAATATATAAACATAAATTTGTATTTTTTTCTGGTATGTATAATTCAGCTTCTCCTTAATGATTCGTAAAAACTCCATTTTTTTTTAAGTCCATTATCTGTCATATGAGTTGCAAATATTTTTCTCCCAGTTGGCATTTTTTCTTTGTGAAATTTTTTATTCTGGTGAAGAAATTTCCATTTTTGATGTAGTTAAATTTATCAAATGTTTTCCTTTGTGGTTTCTGGATTTTGTGTTTTGCTTAAAAGAAATAGGGCCTATAATTTTAGCCATTATACTATGCGGTTTCTTTATTTTCTTTTATATTTATTTATTTATTTATTTATTTGTTTTTGAGACAGTTTTGCTCTTGTTGCCCAGGCTGGAGTGCAATGTGCGATCTCGGCTCACTGCAACCTCCGCCTCCCGGGTTCAAGCGATTCTCTTGCCTCAGCCTCCGGAGTAGGTGGGATTACAGGCATGCGCCACCATGCCCAGCTAATTTTGAATTTTTTAAAAAATAGAGACAGGGTTTTGCCATGTTGGTCAGGCTGGTTTTGCAATCCTGACCTCAGGTGATCCGCCCACCTTGGCCTCCCAAAGTGCTGGGATTACAGGCATGAGCCACTGCACCCAGCCTATATTTTATTTTTGAGACCAAGTCTCCCAGGCTGGAGTGCAGTAGCCGAGACGGGCAGATCACCTGAGCTCAGGAGTTCGAGACCAGCCTGGCGAACATGGCAAAACCCTGTCTCTACTAAAAATACACAAATTAGCTGGGCGTGGTGGTGCATGCCTGTAATGCCAGGCTGAGATAGGAGGCTGAGATGGGAGAATCACTGGAACCAAGGAGCTGGAGGTTGCAGTGAGCCAAGATTGCGCCACTGCACTCCAGCATGCGTGACAGAGCAAGACTCTGTCTCAAAAAATAAAAATAAAAATAAAATAAAATACAGAAACGTATATTTAACTTAGTCAACTCTACGCAAAGACTTTGTAAGGCCATTTAACAATGGAAACATCTAGATCTTGCCTTTAAAAGGCTTCTGGTCTAGTGGGGATGAATAAGAAGATAGTCACGTAAAGACAGACAATACAGAATAGAACATGGTAAAGGTCACAGGGAGCAGAGAGAGAGTGATGAGACATCAGAGAAAAGAGAGGCCACATTTTAGGAATAGGAAAGTTCACTGGAGATGGCGAATGGAAATGATGGGAAATAGTTAATTCAGCGGGTAACAAGCACATGGTCTGGGCCCAGAGTCCCCTGAGCATTCCACCAAGTAGACTGTGTCTAGCACCACGTGTCTTGGACTTGCTATAAGAAGAGAGCAAGAGCCTTTCCATCTTTCGATATTCCTGATCAGCATGGACACTGGGGAGTGAAGGCAGGAAGTCAGGGGAAAGGGCTACATAGAACAAGCTCCCCAGGCCGACCCTTCCCCACAGCGGGCCTCCCTCTGGCCGCCTGTGCTCCAGCTGTGCCGGCCTTCTTTCTTTTCTTGCCTGAACAAAGCTCCTCTCAAGGCCTTTGCATATGCTAGTCCCTCAGCCTGGGAGGCTATTAATATTTTGCTTCCTCTTCCTAGGACTCTTATACCCTTGGCCTCCGGGATTCTTTCCCTAACCCCCGCACCTAGGTAAGTCTTCCTGCCCTTCCCGGAGTTCTGTTTGTAGCCCCTATCAGGACTGTAATGTAAATATTTGTTGTGGGGCAGGCTGGTGGTATAAAAAATAAACAAATAAAAAATAAAATAAATATTTATTGTGTACTTTAAAAGGTTTTCCTCTCTAGATGGTAAGTACTATTGACACTGAGGCCATGTTTTGCCTTTTTTTCTTTTTTCTTTTTTGAGAAAGAGTCTCGCTCTGTTGCCCAGGCTTGAGTGCAGTGGCTCTATCTCAGCTCACTGCCAACCTCCGCCTCCTGGGTTCAAGCGATTCTTGTGCCTCAGCCTCCCGAGTAGCTGGGATTACAGGCACGTGCCACCACGCCCGGCTAATTTTTGTATTTTTAGTAGAGACAGGGTTTCACCATGTTGGCCAGGCTGGTCTTGAACTCCTGACCTGAAGTGATCCACCCATCTCAGCCTCCCAAAGTGCTGGGTGGGATTACAGGCGTGAGCCACCATGCCTGGCAGCCTTGCCTTTTTCAATCTGGTATAGCCCCAATGCCTCAGAAAGTGACTGGTACATTGCTCATACCTAAAAAAAAGTATGAGTGAATAAAGGCATTCATGCGTGCCACTCCTGGCTAGTCTCTCAACTGGTAAAAGCAGAAACTCCTAAGAATGTCGACTGAAACACTGCCAGACAACTAGGGTTGCGACCTGCAGTCACACAAGGTCCCATGCTCAAGAGGGCCAGGTTTGCTTGGTCTAATGATCTGCTGTTGCCATCCTAAAATTCTTCCAGCCTGGGTAACATAGCAGGACCTCATCTCTACTAAAAAAAAATAAAATAAAATAAAATAAAAATTAGCCAGGCATGGTGGCACACGCCTGCAGTCTAGGGCTTGGAGGCTAAGGCTGGAAGATCCCTAGAGCTCAGGAGTTTGTGACTGCAGTGAACTGTGATCGTGCCACTGCACTCTATCCTGGGAGACAGAGTGAGACCCTGTCTCCAAAAAAAAAAAAATTCGTAATAATCTTATTTTTCAACTTGTGTGTGTGTTTTGTTTTGTTTTGAGACAGAGTCGTGCTCTGTCGCCCAGGCTGGAGTTCAGTGGTGCGATCTTGGCTTACTACAACCTCCGCCTCCTGTGTTCAAGCGATTCTCCTGCCTCAGCCTCCTGTGAACCTGTGTTTTGTAAATGAACTCCAATGGGACAGGGAGCGTGAATGTCAGTGGAGGAGGTAAGATTGTGTTCACTCCTCTTTGCCAGAGCATTTGCATCTGGAGTTCACTGTGCCCCATAAGCACAGGATTCTGGTGGACTCACCATATGGGGGAGGGCAACAAGGCTAGAAGCAAGTACAAGGCAGGCATGGCTGTTACATTTAAGAGTGGGCAAATGGAGGCCCCAACAGCTTGGAGAGGCGACACTTTTCATGCACTTTCCATGCGTTGCTTCGAACACAGAAAGAAGGCAATGGCTTTCTAAAAAACACAGAGGACCATGGAACCCGACTGCATCTTTCTTACTCATTCACTTCCTTGTTTTAGCCAGTCATTTACACTGAAAATAATGGCACAGCAGGGCAACCCATTATTCTTGTTCCTTTCAGTCCTTTCTTATCAGTAAATCAAAGGTAGACAGTGTTGGTCGAATGTAAATGTATCAAGAAATGAGGCTGGGCACGGTGGCTCACGCATGTAATCCTAGCATTTTGGGAGGCCAAGGCAGGCGGATCACCTGAGGTCAGGAGTTCGAGACCAGCCTGGCCAACATGGTGAAACCCCGTCTCTACTAAAAATACAAAAATTAGCCAGGCGTGGTGGTGGGTGCCTGTAATTCCAGCTACTCGGAAGGCTGAGGCACGAGAATCACTTAAACCTGGGAGGTGGAGGTTGCAGTGAGCCTAGATTGTGCCACTGCATTCCAGCCTGGGAGACAGAGCAAGACTCCATCTCAAAAAAAAAAAAAAAAAAAAAGAAATGAAATAAAAATGTTGAATTCAGGCCAGGCGCGGTGGCTCACGCCTGTAATCCCAACACTTTGGGAGGGCGAGGTGGGAAGATCACGAGGTCAGGAGATTGAGACCATCCTGGCCAACATGGTGAAACCCCGTCTCTACTAAAATACAAAAAAGTAGCTGGGCACGGTGGTGCACGCCTGTAGTCCCAGCTACTTGGGAGGCTGAAACGGGAATCGCTTGAACCCGGGAGGCAGAGGTTGCAGTGAGCTGAGACTGAGCCACTGTACTCCAGTCCGGGTAACACAGAGTGAGACTCTGTCTCAAAAAAAAAAAAAAAAAAAAGTTGAATTCAGCTGGGTGCAATGGCTTATGCCTGTAATCCCGGCACTTTGAGAGGCCAAGGCAGGAGGATTGCCTGACCCCAGGAGTTCAAGAGCAGCCTGAACAACATGGTGAAACCCCATCTCTACAAAAAGTACAAAAATTAGCCAGGTGTGGTGGGGTGTGCCTGTAGTCCCAGCTACTCGGGAGGCTGAGGTGAGGGGATTGCTTGAACCCAGGAGGCTGAGGCTGCAGTGGGCCATGATCTTGCCACTGCACTCTGGCCTGGGTGACAGAGTGAGACCCTGTCTCAAAAAAAAAAAAAAAATAAAAGTTGAATTCGTGTTGTGTAGAGTTTCTACTGTTCTGCTAAGAAGGAAATACATATGCATGTGTAAACTATGAAATACAAATTGTGTAATTTCAGTGATTCTGTGTAGGAGCTAATGCTCTTATATTTGCATTTAGAATTGGCATTGCACAATGTAAAGATGAACAGTAAAATTCATGCTAATAATTTAACATTTTAATTTTTCTCCAGCAAATAATAAACATCATGACAAGTTGAGAGAGAGACTTAGACCCCATCTCTTAAAAAAAAAAAAAAAAGCAGACTTTGGAAGGAAAAAAATTATATTTCAGGCCAGGCACAGTGGCTTATACCTGTAATCTGTGCACTTTTGGAAGGCCAAGCTGGGTGGATCAACTGAGCTCAGGAGTTCGAGACCAGCCTGAGCAACATGGCGAAACCCCGTCTCTACTAAAAAATTAGCCAGGCGTAGTGGCGCATGCCTGTAATCCCAGATACTCAGGAGGCTGAGGCAGGAGAATTGCTTGAACCTGGGAGGCGGAGGTTGCAGTGAGCCAAGAATGGCGCCACCTCACACTAGCCTGGGCAATAGGGCGAGATTCTGCCTCCAAAAAAAAATAATAATAATAATTATACACACACACACACACACACACACACACACACACACACACAGGCATTCGAACCAGAGTGACTCCATTTTGAGTGAGAGCTGGAAAATGAGGCTGAGACTTGCTGGGCTGCATTCCCAGAAAGTTAGGTATTCCTAACCTCTAGATGTTTATGGTTAAGGGAATGAATTAATAATGTTTACCAAACAGACTCAGACTTAGGAGTGTCCAGATATCCCGATATCTGGAGAACAAAGACATTCCTAATTTTGCTTTAAAGATGATAATTTGATACTTGTAAAGTATAGTAATTGAGAAAATTAATCCTTTATCACAAGTCCTTGTAGCAGAGCACATCGCCCCATATATACGAGTATTGTATCTAGGGTGGACACGTTCCTCCTCTTTCGGGAACGTCCTACTCTGTCTATGGAGCAGCTGTTCTTTCACTACTTTACTCTCTTAATAAATTTGCTTTTACTTTCCACTGCAGACTCGCCCTGAATTCCCTCTTGCACAAGATCCAAGAAGCCTCTTTTGGGGTCTGGATCGGGACTCCTTTTCTGTAATATATATATATATACACACACACACACAGCACTAATGGTACTTTCTTCTTGTTGTTGTTATTTGTTTTCCCTAGCAAGGAGCCCTGCATTTTAATCTGCACTGGGACCCACATATTATACGGTCAGCCTGCAAACAACCCTCAATGCTCCTAGCCCAGTGTCACCACGTGAAGCACCTGAGTCCTGTGAGCAAACCTCAGGAAGATGCTGCCTGGTCCCTGCTGGGCAGTTACCTCCTGGGCTTTCTCAGGGAGCTTCTGAGCCACAGTCAGGTCTCCTAGGTCGGGGGCCTGACTCTGTGGCCTCACCCGAGTGCCTTTTTTTTTTTTTTTTAAGATGGAGTCTTGCTCTGTGCCCCCCAGGCTGGAGAGCAGTGAATGGCATGATCTCGGCTCACTGCAACCTCTGCCTCCTGGGTTCAAGCGATTCTCCTGCCTCAGCCTCCCATATTGCTGGGATTACAGGCGCCCGCCACCATGCCGAGCTAATTTTTGTATTTTTAGTAGAGACTGGGTTTCACCATATTGGCCAGGCTGGTCTCAAACACCTGACCTTGTGATCTGCCGGCCTCGGCCTCCCAAAATGCTGGGATTACAGGCGTGAGCCACCAGGCCTGGCTTCGAGTGCCCTTTCTAACCTGTCTTTGGGCAAGGAAGTCTTATTTTTCCTGAGGCTGGCCGCATGAAAATGAGCTAATTCCCGGCAGAGGATGACTCTCCACCGCTATTGCCTCATGATTACTCACTCATTCAATAATCAGTACTATGGGCCTCTGTCATGCCCAGGCACTGTGCTGGCGATAAAAAAGATGAATAAGGCACGAACCCTCCCAGGTGGCAGCTACAGCCCTGTGGGGAGGCAGTACACACACCCCACATGGAGTGATCTCCGTTCTAAGAGAGAAACGCAGGCAATTCTCTGGAAGCAAAGGAAGTCATTTCCGCCTTTGGAGGTGGGTGGAGGAAGAGGAACCTGTACCTGCTCTGTGAAAGTGCCTTCACTCTGACATTTATTCCCAGCCAGTGGGTGGCACCAAGGAAATGGCTTGGGGGAACTTTAGTAAGTTCCAGCTCCCAGGCCATCACAAAAAGAAGGCAGTTTCCAAGCAAAACCAGCATGCTTGCTATGCAGGTACAGCCTAAAGACAAATCTCCCAACACTCTCTCCAATGGATTATAGCCCAAAGCATCTCTATATATAGAAATTCTAGAGCTTCCACTTTTTTTTTTTTTTTAAAGAAGGTCTCACTCTGTCACCCAGGCTGCTCTCCTGGCTTCCTGTGCCCCATCCTCCAGTGTTTGTTACAAGGTCATCTTTTTTTTTTTTTTCCTTTTAGAGGAATCTTTCACTTAGAAATATCTTTGAGATTTTTTTGCTAGAGCCTCCTAACATTCAAAGTAAAGTCAGCTTTTACTTGTTAAAAAGGGATACTCACAGGTATTCTGCTCTTTCTCCGTGTGGGTAGGAATTTCCCCCTGGGCACTTCTGTGTCCTTAAAATAACAATACTGCCTGTGCAAAACCCACTCCACACTTGAGGGGTGCTGAGCTCCCTGTTATCAGTTACCGGATCTCTGTTTTTAGTAACTGAGTGTTAAGCAAAGCCTCCTGCTTAATTAATGGGTCTATCTTAGCAACCCATCCTGGTATAGAGCTTCTTCCCAATCCCTGTGACTCTAGGGATCCCACACATCATAGGACTTCCTCTGGACTCCCCAAGGATCAAAGCTTCCTGCCAGCCAGGGATTGTCACCAAATCCCATGGATCAGGGGCTGAATACAAGGAGAGTTCAAAGGTAAAGTTACAGGAGCCTCTGTCGGGGGCAGGATATAGGCAATCCCACAGCGGAAACCTCTCATTATGAGTTCAGCACACCTGCTGTTCATCCCCCAACTGTATCAGGCCCAAGGACTCCAGGGCAAGGTGGAGTGGGTATGGCTGTGAGTAGGCTGGGTGCGTCTCATTCACAGGAAAGCTAGTTTAGCTGCTTGCAGTCAGTGGTTGAAACAAACACTTTCACCATCTGAGAAGCTTAGGCCAAGGATATCTTAAAGAAGTACCCAGACTCCTGGTCTGAAAACTCTTTGGAAGGGAGTGGCGTTCAGATTCTTTATCAAAAGAATTTAGAGAGCGCATGTGACACACACACACACACACACACACACACACACGGTCTCCCTCTCTCTTCACACATACACACACACACACACGGTCTCCCTCTCTCTACACACACACACACACACACACACACACACACACACACACACGGTCTCCCTCTCTCTTCACCCTCCCTCTTTCCAGGCGCCAGTTGGCCTGAAACACACAAAGCTGAAGCTTCAGGGACAAGGGCAGTCTTTAGGGTTAGACGTGGCTCAGAAAGGACCAGAAGAGGCTTGGCAAACTGAAAAGGGAAGGTGTGAGTAAAAGACTGCCTTGGGCACACAGGTGCACATTCAATGGAAAAGCAGGAAGACAGTGTTTGACTCTTTCAATGAGCTTGACCTGGAACATTTGCGGAGTGGTTGTATCTTTAAGATCAAAAGAAGAAATAAATGGCAAATATCTTTCTTCTCTTTACTTCCTAAATTGATTTGTTTGATTATAAAAACCATATTACCACAATCCAGAATATATGAAAATAGAGGAAGAAAAAAGGCTCTAGTTAGACTACCTCTCTAACACAAGCTCCATGAGTAAAGACGGTAATGAGTAGATTCATTTACACTTAAAAATTATTTTAATATTTTAAAGGTCATTTACATTTCAAGGTGTTTTTTACTACTGGAACTTGGTGAATGAAATGGCTATTCTGTTCTTATTGTGTGAGATCAACAAAACACAACATGAATGGTCAAAAATAAGACATTTACAGAAAAAGGACTCTGGACACGGTGATCTAGCAGAGGTTTTTCCATCTATAACTTCTTAATAGGAAAATGAGTTGCTAAATATAAAAGGACAAAAACGTTAAATGCTAGCATACACTCATTGTGTCAGAGGCGTTAAAACCAGAGTGACTGCATTTTGAGTGAGGGCTGGAAAATGAGGCTGAGACTTGCTGGGCTGCATTTCCAGAAGTTAGGCATTCCTAACTTCTAGGTGTTTATGGTTAAGGGAATAGATTGATAATGTTTACCAAACAGACTCAGACTTGGAAGTGTCCAGATATCCCAGTATCTGGGAACAAAGGCATTCCTAAATTTTGCTTTAACAAAGGCATTCCTAATTTTATGGTGGCTCACACCTGTAATCACACTTTGGGAGGCCAGAGGTGGGTGGATCACCTGAGGTCAGGAGTTTGAGGCCAGCCTGGCCAACATGGTGAAACCCCGTCTCTACTAAGAGTACAAAAATTAGCTGGGCATGGTGGTGGGTACCTGTAATCCCAGTTACTTGGGAGGCTGAGGCAGGAGGATTGCCTGAATCTGGGAGACAGAGGTTGCAGTGAGCCAAGACCACCCCATTACATTCCAGCATGGGCAACCAGAGCGAAATTCCGTCTCAGAAAATAATAATAATAATAATAATAATAATAATAATAATAATATTGATTCTTGCAAACTATAGCAATTAAGAAAATTAATCATTTATCACAAACCCTTGTAGCAGAGCACATCTCCCCAAGATCTTTTGTGTGTGTTTTTTTGTTTTTTTTTTTTTTGAGATGGAGTCTCCCTCTGTCACCCGGGCTGGAGTGTAGTGGTGTGATCTTGGCTCACTGCAACCTCTGCCTCCCAGGTTCAAGTGATTCTCCTGCCTCAGCCTCTCAAGTAGCTGGGATTACAGACAAGCACTTCCATGCCTGGCTAATTTTTGTATTTTTATTAGGGACGGGGTTTCACCATGTTGGCCAGGCTGGTCTTAAACTTCTGACCTCAGGTGATCCCCCCGCTTCGGCCTCCCAAAGTGCTGGGATTACAGGCGTGAGCCACTGCGCCTGGCCCCAAGATCTTTTTCTATCCTATATATATAAGCATTGTACCTAGGGTGGACGTGTTCCTCCTCTTACTTTCAGGAATGCCCTACTCTGTCTATGGAGTAGCTATTCTTTCACTACTTTCTTTTCTTTTCTTTTTCTTTTTTTTTGAGAAGGAGTCTCGCTCTATCGCCGAGGCTGGAGTGCAGTGGCACGATCTCGGCTCACTGCAACCTCCGCTTCCTGGGTTCAAGTGATTCTCCTGCCTCAGCCTCCTGAGTAGCTGGGATTACAGGCACATGCCACACCTAGCTTTTTTTTTTTTTTTTTTTTAGTACAGACAGGGTTTTGCAATGTTGGTCAGGCTGGTCTTGAACTCCTGACCTCATGTGATCTGCCCGCCTCGGCCTCCCAAAGTGCTGGGATTACAGGCATGAGCCACCGTGCCTGGCCCACTACTTTATTTTCTTAATAAACTTGCTTTTACTTTGCAATGTGGACTCGCCCTGAATTCTTTCTTGCGCGAGATCCAAGATCCCTTTCTTGGGGTCTGGAATGGAGACCCCTTTCCTTGTAACAGTTGTATTTAGAAATTCAATATTCTATAGAAACAAGAGATGAAGCAAACAAAGATCAAAAAGAAAGAAGGCTACATTCCACACAATCCTATCAACCACCAATTGTGACTCCCTTTGTGGTTGAGAAATAAATAAGAGGCACAAAGACAAAAACAGAGGAATAACACGCAAGTTATACACCGAAATAATAAGACAGGTGAAGACAGGGGAAAGAGGTGAACTGGAGCTGGTGGCTGGAGATTGTCCTGGCAGAAAAAAAGATTCTCTAGATTGAGGTCCAGAAGAGAAGACTCCAGAATCCGACTAGTTCTGTTTAAAAACATGTTGGAATAAGCATTAGGTGTGGTATGAATCTGTCAGAAAGCAACAGTCCAACTTCTAAGCACCTTCATCTTGCCCAAGATGTGATTTTGTGGCTAAGAGATGTGAGAGGGAACAGATGAGACTATTACGGGGCAGAGAGTCAAGAATTGTCAGTAGAGAACAACTCAGCAAAATTTCCCACATTGTGTGCAGGAGACTAGGCTAAGTATTCTGCTGAATGGCTCCCACACCCAGGAGCTCACACCCTGTTGGGGAGGCAGACACACAGAATTAAGCCTAATGGTCAGGAGGCAGGCAAACTGAGTGAAGTGGACCCTAGAGCTCCCAATTATTAGCTAGGGAATCTTGAACAAACTACTTCACTTCTAGGAACCCCAGTGATCTCGTCTATAAAATGGGAATAAGTTTGCCTCCTGAAGGTTGCAATAAGAATTAATGTATCTAAAGATCCAAAAACATGGCTGGGTACGGTGGCTCATGCCTGTAATCCCAGCACTGTGGCAGGCTGAGGCGGGTGGATCACCTGAGGTCAGGAGTTCGAGACCAGCCTGGCCAACATGGCAAAACCCCTTCTCTACTAAAAATAGGAAAAAAATTACCTGGGCGTGGTGGCGGGCACCTGTAATCCCAGCTACACGGGAGGCTGAGGCAGAAGAATTGCTTGAATCTGGGAGGCGGAGGTTGCAGTGAGCCAAGATGGCGTCACCGCACTCCAGCCTGGGCGACAAGAGCGAGACTCCATCTCAAAACAACAACAAAAACAAAGATCCAAGCACAAGGAATTGCAAATGGTGGGTGCTAAAGAAGTGATGGTTTGTCAGTGAAGACTGTGACCTCTGTGAGGGCCAGGACTATGTCCATCCTGTAACTCTTACATCACTGAGGCCTGGAAGAGAGCCTAACATGCAGTAAATCTTTGAAGAATGAATGAATGGCAACGGTAGCTAATCCTTACATAGTACTTGGTATATGCCAGGTATGATTCCAGGCATTTTGTCTACATTAACTCAATCCCCACAACACAATTATCATTTCCAATTTGCCCAGGTTCACACAGCTAGTAATGGGTAGATCCAGGATTCAAACCCTGGTAGCCTGACTCCAGAGTAGTGTTCTTTATTAATCACTATACTGTACCGTCTCTCAAAGCGGTTTTTATTATGACTATTACTATTATTGAGACAGAGTCTCTCTGTACCCAGGCTGGGGTACAGTGGCACGATCATAGCTCACTGCATGCAGCCTTGAAGCTCAGGTGATCCTCCTGCCTCAGGCTCCCAAGCAGTTGGGACTATAGGTGTGCATCACCATGCTCAGGTAATTTTTTTTTTTTCAAGACAAGAGTCTTGCTCTGTTGCCCAGGCTGGAGTGCAGTGGTGTGATCTTGGCTCACCGCAACCTCTGCCTCCCAGATTCAAGCAATTCTTCTGCCTCAGCCTCCCGAGTAGCTGGGACTACAGGCATGTGCCACCATGCCTGGCTAATTTTTGTATTTTTAGTAGAGATGGGGTTTATTTTCTTTTTTTTTTTTTTTTTTTGAGACAGAGTTTCACTCTTGTTGTCCAGGCTGGAGTGCAGTGGTGCAATCTTGGCTCACCACAACCTCCGCCTCCTGGGTTCAAGCAATTCTCCTGCCTCAGCCTCCCGAGTAGCTGGGATTACAGTCATGTGCCACCACACCCAGCTAATTTTGTATTTTTAGTAGAGACAGGGTTTCTCCATGTTGGTCAGGCTGGTCTTGAACTCCCAACTTCAAGTGATCCGCCCGCCTCGGCCTCCCAAAGTGCTGGGATTAGAGGCATGAGCCACTGTGCCCGGCCAGTAGAGACAGGGTTTCACCATGTTGCCCAGGCTGGTCTCCAACTCCTGACCTCATGATCCGCCCGCCTTGGCCTCCCAAAGTGCTGGGATTATAGGCGTGTGCCACGGCGCCCAGCGTTTTTTTTTTTTTTTTTTTGAGATGGAGTTTTGCTCTTGTTGCCTAGGCTGGAGTTCAGTGGCGCAATCTTGGCTCACTGCAACCTTCACCTCCCAGGTCTCCAGGTTCAAGCGATTCTCCTGCCTCAGCCTCCTGAGTAGCTGGGATTACAGGCACCCGCCAACACGCCTGGCTAATTTTTTGTATTTTTAGTAGAGATGGGGTTTCACCATGTTGGCCAGGATGGTCTCGAATGCCTGACCTCAGGTGATCCACCCGTCTTGGCCTCCCAAAGTGCTGGGATAACAGGCATGAGCCACCGTGCCCAGCCTCAGCTAATAAAAAAAAAATTTTTTTTGTAGGCCAGGCACAGTAGCTCATACCTATGATCCCGGCACTTCGGGAGGTAAAGGTGAGAGGATTGCTTGAGCCCAGGAGTTTGAGGCCAGCCTGAGCAACACAGCAAGACCCTTTGTCTACAAGAAATAATAGAATTAGTCGGGCATGGTGTCACGCATTTGTGGTCCCAGCTACTTGGGAAGCTGAGGAGGGAAGATCACTTGAGCCTGGGTGGTTGAGGCTATACTGAGCCGTGATTGCACCACTGCATTCCAGCCAGGGTAACGAAGCAAGAAAGACCCTATCTCAAAAACAAAAACAAATTTTTTGTAGAGACGGGGTCTTGATATTTTGCCGAGGCTTGTCTTAAACTCCTGGCCTCAAGCAATCCCCCCACCTCAGCCTCTCAAAGTGGTTATTATTTTCACTACCATGGAGTGGGAGGCATAAGGCACATATAACCACCTACCTTACGAGTATATTGTGGGGATCAAAAAAGATAATGTATGTGAGAGTATTTCACTATCATCAGCAAAGTGATAAATAATTCAAAGTATTGTTATTATTACCACCACATTAAGAAAATTGGGTTTACCACCAAGGAATAAGAATAGGAGGGGAAGTCCGGGCGCGGTGGCTTATGCCTGTAATCCCAGCACTTTGGGAGGCCAAGGTGGGCAGATCACTTTAGGTCAGGAGTTCAAGACCAGCCTGGCCAACATGGTGAAACCCTGTCTCTACTAAAAATACAAAAAAACTAGCCGGGCATTGTGGTGTGTGCCTGTAATCCCAGCTACTTGGGAAGCTGAGGCCAGAGAACTGCTTGAACCTGGGAGGCAGAGGTTGCAGCGAGCCAAGATCACGCCATTGCACTCCAACCTGGGCAACAGAGCGAGACGCCATCTCAAAATAAATAAATAAATAAACAAATGAATGAATGAATGAATAGGAGGGGGAAAGGCACAGCTCTGAAAACAAAGACTAGAGAGGAGAAGCCAAAGGCAGAGTGGCTGGGCAGATGAATAAATGAAGGCGAGTGAGAGGAAGAGGGAGGTGGCGTAGATGCGGGGAAATGAATTTAATGTAGTCTGAACACAGTATCAGGCCAGCGCAGGTCAGATGATGTTGGTAGCTGGCACACTGGAAGCTCTGATCAAGCTATGCTGCAGAATGGAAAGCATCAGGAAGAATTCTGCCGGGGAAGCAGAAAGGGGCCAGACTCCAAGGTCTTTGAGGCGAGTGGCCTCTCTAAGATAATGGGCAGGAAACAAATAAATTGGGGAAGCAGAATGGACACAGACAATCTGGACCTCATTCAGGAGCTCTGGACTGAAGAAGAATAATGCTTTCCTGATAAAACCCAAACTTTCACTTTGATGGGTCTATGAAAAAGAAATTAGGGCCAATTCAAACCTGAAAGACCAGGCTTTTGAGACACTTCACTGAAAGCGTCAGGACGGTCAGTAAAGAAAGGCAGGATTACTAATGTCTAAGAGATTTCTACCCATGCCTGACAGATAGAAAATCTCAAACACACTGAAGTTCACAGTGGCATTATTATTAACTGGAGGTTACTGAGCTTTTCAAAAACCTTTTATTTTAAGAGTATTTTTCTCTGCTAGACCTAGAGATAAATGGCACTTTTACCCTTTCTGGCTACTAAATGAGGAGAGCATCTAAAGTGCAAATTGGAGATGGGGTGGAAAGGAGATGAGGCGGGTATCATGTGTGGTTTTTCCTGAGAAAAAGGGAGAAATATTTAACTGGTCAAGTGCCAAAAATGCTACAGGGACATGGACAGTTTAGGTTGTTTAGGGACAAAGACCAAGATGGTGGGTAGCAGTTAACCCTTGGGAGGGATGATAGCTCAGGAGTCCTAAACAAAAAATAGGCGGTCAGAACTCCCAACACCTAACTGTGTGTGCTCCCTGGCTGGCTTATGCTGAGGCATGCTGCCCAAGGGCTGGAGTGGTCAGTGACCATGCAGCTCCCTGCAGCTGGGACAGGAGTGGCAGCTGTGGTGGCAGGAGCAGCGGTGGCAAAATGTTTCAGAATGTCTTTAAATAGCAACCTGAGGAAGGCGGCAGCTTTCCTACACCCCCACAAGCCCTGAAATAGCACAAAGCAGCAGGGAAAATGGTCGAAGTGTGTGCAAAGGCAGCAGGCTACTGCTTACGAGAAAAGAGATTGGGAGTGTTGTCCTGAGAGGGTGAGTACAACCCCAGCTTTCAAACTGTACTCAGTGATCACATATGGGGGAACAGGCTTCATTGTTTCCAGTCCTTCAAGATCTCCATGCAGACACCCCGCTGAGGGCACCACACTTCTATTTCCTTTCTGCATGGAAAGCCTCCCACGTGGGATTAGACAGCATCTGAAAAAGGCTCACTACTACTGCTGATTGAGTGTTTACTACATTTCAGTCATTGTGCTAAGCCCTGGACACACATTATCTCATTTAACCCTATGAAGCAGGTATTATTAGCCCCAGTTTATGAATTAGGGCACAGGAGGTTAGGGAGGTTTAGAGATTTGCTCAAGGACAAATAGCTAGAATTCAAATCTGCATCTGTCAGATCTAAGTTCACAAACTTTGTTTTTCATATGTGCATTACTAGGAAATCCAATATGCATGAGGACACCATGCAGAGAATTTGATCTTCCTCCTGCACCATCAAAAGTTGTTTATTTGGATGGTGCCTGGCTGGTGAGAGAAGATAGGGAGCAGCAGAAAGGCTGGTGGCTGACTCCATGGTTTAGGCTTCCTTTAGGATGCCAGTTTGCTTTAGGGCACTCTGAATCACCTCAGGCTTGCTCTGATCACACAGCCTCAGGTCATGCCTCTGTGGATAGGGGAAGTGCAGACTGCAATCCTTAGGGCATTTGCTCACTGGAATTCAATGCTCTGTGCAAGATGCTTCAGGAACATAAGGTGCTACAGTAGGATCAAAGGCCAAAAAACCCAGAGTCCCTGACACATCAGAGGCTCTGGTAAGGGTTTGTATTATGTGCTAATATACGCATGGCATGGACCAGACTGGAAAAAACAACCTCCCACCCACACCAGAAAAGTATGGCTGTAGAGCTGGGCGTGGTGGCTTATGCCTGTAATCCAGCACTTTGGGAGGCCGAGGCGGGCAGATCATTTGAGGACAGGAGTTTGAGACCAGCCTGGCCAACAAGGTGAAACCCCGTCTCTGCTAAAAACACAAAAATTAGCCACGCGTGGTGGCACATGCCTGTAATCCCAGCTACTCAGGAGGCTGAGGGAGGGGAATTGCTTGAATCCGGGAGGCGGAGTTTGCAGTTAGTTGAGATCGTGCCATTGCACTCCAGTCTGGGCGACAGAGGCTCCATCTCAAAACAAAATAATATAATAATAATAATAATAATAATAATAATAATAATAAGAAGAAGAAGAAGAAGAAGAAGAAGAAAAGTATGGCTACGCTGCCCAGAGTGAATACCATTGCCTCTGAATGATACCATCATTCTAGTTAATGATTCTCCATCCTCACTACTCATTAAAAATCCCCCAAAGAACTTTGTTTTTTTTTTTTTTTTTTTTTTTTTTTGGAGATGGAGTCTCACCGCAGCCTTTGCCTCCCAGGTTCAAGCGATTCTCCAGCCTCAGCTTCTCGAGTAGCTGGGATTACAGGTGCCCCCCACCACACTGGCTAATTTTTTTTTTTTTGAGACGGGGTCTCGCTTTGTCGCCCAGGCTGGAGTGCGGTGGCGCGATCTCGGTTCACTGCAATCTCCGCCCCCGGGGTTCACGCCATTCTCCTGCCTCAGCCTCCTGACTAGCTGAGACTACAGGCGCCTGCCATCACGCCCGGCTAATTTTTTTGTATTTTTAGTAGAGACGGGGTTTCACTGTGTTAGCCAGGATGGTCTTGACTCCTGACCTCGTGATCCGCCCGCCTTGGCCTCCCAATGTGCTGGGATTACAGGCGTGAGCCACCGCGCCCGGCCCCAGTGTTTTTTTTTTTTTTTCAGACGAAGTCTGGCTCTGTCACCCGGGCTGGAGGGTAATGGCGCGATCTTGGCTCAACCTCCGCCTTCTGGGTTCAAGCGATTCTCCTGCCTCCGCTTCCCAAGTAGCTGGGACTACAGGCACGCACCATTATGTCTGGCTAATTTTTGTATTTTTAGTAGAGACGGGGTTTCACCATGTTGGCCAGGTTGGTCTCGAACTCTTGACCTCAAACAATTCACCTGTTTCGGCCTCCCAAAGTTCTGGGATTATAGGCATGAGCCACTGCGCCCAGCCAAGTTTTTGTATTTTTAATACAGACAGGGTTTCACCATTTGGCCATGCTGGTCTCTAACTCCTGACCTCGTGATTCACCACCTTGGCTTCCCAAAGTGCTAGGATTACAGGCATGAGGCACTGCGCCTGGCTGATTCTTTTTTTTTTTTTTTTTTTTTAAATTTCTTTTTATGGGCCGGGTGCGGTGGCTCATGCCTGTAATCCCAGAACTTTGGGAGGCCGAGGTGGGTGGATCACGCGAGGTCAGTGGTTCCAGACCAGCCTCGCCCACATGGTGAAACCCTGTCACTACTAAAAATAAAAAAATTAGCCAGGCGCAGTGGCAGGTACCTGTAATCCCAGCTACTCGGGAGGCTGAGGCAGGAGAATCGCTTGAACCCGGGAGGCAGAGGTTGCAGTGAGCCGAGATCACGCCACTGCACTCCAGCCTGGGTGACAGTGTGAGACTCCGTCTCAAAAAAAATAAATAAATAAAAATTAAAATTAAATTTCCTTTTATGCTCCCCAGGTAACTCTTACAATCTAATAATAATAAGATGCTCCCCAGGAAACTAACAATCTAATAATAAGGATGCAGGATGGTAGGCAAAAACACTGGCTAGGAGACTGCAAGAGAGATACCATGGTTTCAAAAGGAGAGGTCACTTTTTTATAGACTTTGCCTATGAAAAGTCTAAGCCTCAGGTACAGGCAAAGTGATTTGGACATAACTTATTGCACTTCTTGGAATTTTCTGAATTATCCACAATGATTTTATTTTCCAGAAGGCAGGCGGTCAGAATAAGTTTTGACCCACAAATTAAAATTGCATCTTTTCCCCACAAATATTTTTAAAAATTTGTTCTTAAACATATGTATGTGAAGTATGAGTCTGAAGATAGAGAAAGTCACAGGCTACCGAAATGCATTCTTTTTTTTTCTTTTTTGAGATGGAGTCTCGCTCTGTCGCCAAGGCTGGAGTGCCAGTGGAGCGATCTCGGCTCGCTGCAACCTCCGCCTCCTGGGTTCACGCCATTATCCTGCCTCAGCCTCCTGACTAGCTGGGACTATAGGCGCCCACCACCATGCCCGGCTAATTTTTTGTATTTTTAGTAGAGATGGGGTTTCACCGTCTTAGCCAGGATTGTCTCGATTTCCTGACCTTGTGATCCGCCCGCCTCGGCCTCCCAAAGTGCTGGGATTACAGGCGTGAGCCACCGCGCGCCCGGCCGGAAATGCATTCTGTAGGAAGATGAAAAGATAAGATAAATGCAGTTTCCTCCTTGGCTGGGAGCAAGCATTATGGCAAAAACCTCTGCCCAGAGGGGATGAACTAAAGGAAATACATATGCTAAAATTTTGACAGCTAAATAAATAAATATAAATATAATGGGAAGATGACTTTTTTGTTTTTGAGACAGAGTCTCACTCTGTCGCCTAGGCTGGAGTGCGGTGGCGCGATCTCGGCTCACTGCAACCTCTGCCTCCCAGGTCCTGCTTTCAGCCTCCTGTGTAGCTGGGACTACAGGTGCATGCCACCACACCCCGCTAATTTTTGTATTTTTAGTAGAGATGGTTTCACTATGTTGGCCAGGCTGGTCTCAAACTCCTGACCCTCAGGTGATCCACCTGCCTCGCCCTCCCAAAGTGCTGGGATTACAGGCATGAGCCACTGCGTCCAGCCAGAAGCCAAATTTTGAAAAGCAGAGTGATTCTAGCCGAACATCAGTATTCATTCTGTCACTCTGCCTCAGGACTCCTTCACTCAGCTGATTTGGTGATAGCAGGTCCATAACCCAACTGCAACAACAAAAAAACCCTGTAGGTGTTTCCAAGTAAGGAGGCAAAATTCCCTCCTTAAGAGATCTTAAGAAAACTTGTTGAGGCAACTTTTGCTCTTGGGAAACCTGAATACTAGATTTTGGAAGTCCCAGAATTCCCAGTCTTTTATTTTTTTGTTTTTTTTGTTTTTTTTTTAGACGGAGTCTCCCTCTGTTACCAGGCTGGAGTGCAGTGGCGCTATCTTGGCTCACTGTAACCTCTGCCTCCCGGGTTCAAGTGATTCACCTGCCTCAGCCTCCCGAGTAGCTGGGACCACAGGCGTGCGCCACCACGCCCAGCTAATTTTTGTATTTTTAGTAGAGATGGGGTTTCACCATGTTGGCCAGGATGGTCTCGATCTCGTGACCTTGTGATCCTCCCGCCTCGGCCTCCCAAAGTGCTGGGATTACAGGTGTGAGCCACCATGCCTGGCTTAGAATTCCCGGTTAAAGATCAAGATCTAAAAAGTCATTTATTGCAAAGGTGGGTACGAAGGAATTTAAGAGCAATGTTCCATGCCTCTTTTTTTTTTCTTTTTCTTTTTTTTTTTAAGAGACAGAGTCTTCTCTGTTGCCTGGGGTGGAGTGCAGTGGCACAATGATAATTCACCGTAGCCTTCAACTCCCGGGCTCATGTGATCTTCTTGCCTCAGTTTCCAAAGTAGCTGGGACTACAGGCATGCACCACTATACTAAGCTACATTTTTTATTTTAGTAGAGATGAGGCCTCGCTATGTTGCCCAGGCTGGCCAGGCCTCTTACAGAAATGATTTCATTCACTCATAAACAGGGCAAAGTGCTAGCTTTTGGGAATATAAAAGTGAATGGAGGCTGGGGGCAGTGGCTCACACCTGTAGTCCTAGAACTCTGGGAGGCTGAGATGGGCGGATCACTTGAGCCCAGGAGTTCAAGAGCAACCTGGGCAACATGGTGAAACCTCATCTCTATTACACTTTAATTAAACTTAAAGAAAAAAAAGCCTTTTCATAAAAAGTATAACATGTAGCGGAGTCCTACAGGATTAATACAAACTCATCAGATGGATAGCTGGGGGAAGGAAGGCATTCGAGGCATAAGAAACAGTATGGACCAAGATGTGACCAAGATGTGGAGGCAGGAATCAGGATGGCAGATTATTCTGGGGCTGCCATGAGCTTCTCAGGGCATAAGAAGGCAAGCATGGGACAGAAAGTCATAGAAGGCAGGTGGGTCCAGATTACAAAGGGCCTTGTATGTCATGCAAAGGAGTCTGACCTTCATCTGATAGACCACAAGAAACCACTGAAAAATTATTAGTCGGGACCAGACTTAGCAGATTTGCATCTCAGGAAGATCTCTCTGGCTATAGTTCCCTTACCATCCCTGGGTAACTAAGTACCTGTTGACCCAGGAGAATTAAAGAGTAGAAAAGTGGCCAGGCCAACATGGTGAAACCTCGTCTCTACTAAAAATACAAAAATTAGCTGGGTGTGGTGGTTGTGCACCTGTAGTCCCAGCTACTCGGGAGGCTGAGGCAGGAGAATCATTTGAACCCGGGAGGCAGAGGTTGCAGTGAGCAGAGATTATGCCATTACACTCCAGCCTGGTGACAGAGCAAGACTCCGTCTCAAAAGAAAAGAGAAAAAAAGAAAAAAGAAAAGTGGCCAGGCGCGGTGGCTCACGCCTTTAATCCCAGAACTTTGGGAGGCTGAGGCGGGCGGAACACCTAAGGTCAGGAGTTCGAGACCAGCCTGGCCAACATGGTGAAACCCCCTCTCTACTAAAAATGCAAAAATTTCTGGGCATGGTGGCTCACGCCTGTAGTCCCAGCAGTTTGGGAGGCCAAGGCAGGTGGATCACTTGAGGTCAGGAGTTCGAGACCAGCCTGGCCAATATGGTGAGACCCCCATCTCTACTAAAAATACAAAAAATTAGCCAGGCGTGGTGGCGTACACTTCCCAGATAATTGGGAGGCTGAGGTGGGATAATTGCTTGAACCCGGGAGGCAGAGGTTGTAGTGAGCCATGATAGCGCCAATGCACTCCAGCCTGGGCAACAGAGCAAGACTCCGTCTCAAAAAAAAAAAAAAGAAATTAGCTGGGCATGGTAATGGGTGCCTGTAATCCCAGCTACTTAGGAGGCTGAGGAAGGAGAATCACTTAGACCTGGGAGGCAGAGGTTGCAGTGAGCCGAGATCGCAGCATTGTATTCCAGCCTGGGTGACAAGAGCAAAACTATGTCTCAAAAAAAAAAAAAAAGAGTAGAAAAGTCCAGTGGTTAAAGACCATTCTGGCTAACACGGTGAAACCCTATCTCTACTAAAAATACAAAAAAATTAGCCAGGTGTGGTGGCGGGCGCCTGTAGTCCCAGCTACTCGAGAGGCTAAGGCAGGAGAATGGTGTGAACACGGGAAGCAGAGCTTGCAGTGAGCCGAGATTGCGCCACTGCACTCCAGCCTGGGTGACAGAGCGAGACTCCGTCTCAAAAAAAAGAGAAAAGTCCAATGGTTAAGGAAGCAGAAGTCTCAGGAACCCAGGTTTGTCCTAATACACTTGTAATACTTCACCTCTTCCTCAAGTATGATCTCAAGCCAGTTCTAATTAGTTCCTTCAGAACAGCCAAGCTGGCAATAAGATAGCCTGGGTTTGCATTCAGTTCTCCTGCTTACTGGCTGTGTGGCATCCGAATGTAAACCTTCTGGACCTGAATTTTCTTATCTGTAAATAGAGTTAATAAGCATATGTCTCTCACAAGGTTGTTAGGGGGACTCAGTGAGATAATAATGTAAAGAATTTAGCACTCTGCCTGGCATACAATAAACCCTTAAACAGGATTAGTTATATTACTATTAAGTATCAAACCTTGGAGGACATGGAATTTATTTGGCGCAGATTTGCTATGAGCAAACAATCCATGGGGTGATGAGCAATGAGCTGGAACAAACCCCAGAGCATCAATCCAGGCTGTCATTTCGCGTCACCCCAAGGAGGGTACACTTAGTCAGAACTCCTCCCTTTCAGAGGATGGAGCAAAGATAAATGGGTTTTGCAACCTGTAGGCCCATCTGATTATCAGAATAATCACTCTCTGGGAAGAAATAATCCCCGAATCAGGTTGTAGACAAGGAGGAAAAGTCCCAGGACTGACTCCCCAGCTTGGCAGCCCTGAAGGTGTCTGGTCTCTTTCAGTTTTTCTCTACCCCATGCTTTTTTCAGTTCTGTGTACATTGTGGGAAGTTGCTGAATCGCGTAGTCTGTGGTTGGACTGTGCTTTTGGCAAGAGGTAGGGGAGCATGAGGAAGGGTAAAGAAAGAAGCCAAGGTTGTTTCCTGCTTTTGCTCTCTTACAGAGCTCCTGTTGGCAGGTCCCGGGAGGTCAGGAAACCCGGGTGCCTGAACACTTTCCCATCACTGTCTCATCATTCTCCTGGGCTAGCAGTAAATACGCCAAAGGGATGTGGTCTGGCCTCTTTTCCTTTTGGATTTCATGGTTTCTGGGATTGGAAGCAGCCTTCTGTTGGCCATGATCTGTGTAGGGAATGCCCAGGTGACTCAGAATTGGAGTTCTTCAGGTGACAGGGACATAGAAAATGGTGTGTGAGCTCTGGAGCTGCACTGCCTGGGTTCATCTATTGGCCTGCCATTTAATAGTTGTTGAACAAGTTACTTAGCTTCTTCGTCTTAGTCTCCTCATGTTTAAAATAGGGATAGCAGAATTCTGTGAGCCTATTTGGCTTAGGAAGCTGGCCGTAAATAAAAGAAAAAAGAGTGATAGTAATCATACTGAAATGGGGTTACTATAAGGATCTGGTGAATTAATTAATGTAAAGCACACAGATATAAGTGCTGTCATGTAGTAAATGCCTAAATAAAAGTGTTTTGTGTAGTTTTAATTTATACTCTATTTTTCAGAAACACAACTACCATATAAACTGAGAGAGTATTTTTATTTCTTTGGGATTTTACAAAGAGCAATTTACCATTTTTGAAAATCAGGCCATTCACGGGAACTTGTAGTTCCAGCTAATCGGGAGGCTGAGGCAGGAGAATGACGTGAACCTGGGACGTGAACCCATGAGCTTGCAGTGAGCCAGATCATGCCTCTGCACTCCAGCCTGGGCAACAGAGCAAGACTCCATCTCAAAAAAAAAAAAAAAAAAAAAAAAAAAAAGAAAATCAGGCCATTCAAGGCTGGGCTTGGTGGCTCATGCCTGTAATCCCAGCACTTTGGGAGGCCTGGGCAGGCGGATCAAGAGGTCAGGAGATCGAGACCATCCTGGCTAACACGGTGAAACCCCGTCTCTACAAAAAATACAAAAAAATTAGTTGGGCGTGGTGGCAGGCGCCTGTAACCCCAGATACTCGGGGTTACTGTAACTGGTAACTTGCATTGCTAATGAGTGCTAATTCTTCCTGGCATTAACTTTGGAAAATTATAAACTATTGTCTCTTCATGAGCTTTAGTTACCTAATTCATAAAATAAGACGGTTGCATTATTTCCCAAAGTATCTTTCAAGGAACTTGGCCTGCTTATGATGAAAAAAGGGTTCTTGGTAAATGAATTTAGGAAATTGTGGGTTTTTTTTTTTTTGCTGCAGGACTTCGCAGACTTCTTAATAGGCTAACATGTACTGAGTCTCCAAGAGGAGAATGTCTAGTTGTATACAGCATTTTCTAAGCTTATTTGACCAGGAAGACCTTATTTCAAAGGAGCAGCTCATGAAGTTAGTGTGCCAGGGACATTTCTGTGAAATATAAATTAAATATTCTAAATCCTCTTCCACTTCTAACATCCTAAAATTCTGTGACATTAAATGTTTAAATGAGAAACTTTTGGCCATTTTAAATAACAATCAGAAGAGTAAAGCAAAAGCTAGCCTACAGAAAATAAAATATTGTAAATCTGATGCAGAAGAGGAAAACAAACCAAATTCTAACACATGTAGATCTATGTAAATGATTTTGCAGAAGAGGCAGAAAGGGAATAGTTTTAAATGTTAGAGTTTCTACACTGTCCCTTATGTCATCACTAGCAAAGGTTGAACATTTATAACTTAGCAATCCCAGCAAGGTACTGAGTCCTCATCTTTTCAGCTTTAATTTTCTTTTTTCTTTTTCTTTTTTTTTTGAGATGGAGTCTTGCTCTTGTTGCCCAGGGTGGAGTGCAATGGCATGATCTCGGCTCACTGCAACCTCCGCCTCCTGGGTTCAAGCAATTCTCCTGCCTCAGCCTCCCAAGTAGCTGGGATTACAGACGCCCACCACCACTCCCGGCTAATTTTTTGGTATTTTCAGTAGAGAAAGGGCTTCACTATGTTGGCCAGGCTGGTTTCAAACTCCTGACCTCAGGCAATCCACCTGCCTCGGCCTCTCAAAGTGCTGGGATTACAGGCGTGACACGCCAGCACGCCTGGCTCAGCTTTACTTTTCAAGCCCATCACTAACATCACGTGGATTTGGCCAAGTTACTGTTGAGGAAATCTATGGGATTATTCCCTAGTCCTAGGCAATAGTCCTAGGCACTGGCCCCAGCCTGACTTTGCACAAATGACTATGGTGGAGGCTGAACCTGATTTTACACAAACCAGCAACCCCACACACCACACCTGGCCCAGCCAAGTTGGCTGATCTGGGGATGAACATGTAGTCTTAGTTGGAACATTAAGACTCCTTTCTAGAATTTTGCATTTGGGTCTAGAAAGGGAATCTGAGTGTTGGATATAACACTGGGCCACCATCAGTGGTTATGTTGCTGCCACAGGAAGAAAGCCAGATTCCAGGACAGGGGACTGAAGGTGAAATGAAAGGGAAGCATAGACAGGAGATGGAGTATTCCAGTTTGTGATTCTGAGTCGCTGACCCCCCAGCTCTATCTCTGCTTTTCCCACAACGTGGTTGTTCAGCCCTTCTTTGGATGCAACAGGCTAAACGCTCCCTTTGCTTAAGCTTGTTTAGACAAGGTTTCTTTTACTTAAAACCAAATAACTCTGAGTACAGTCACACAGCCCCTTCATACCTACTTTCTCCATTGATAAAGAGGGAAGAATGAAGCCTGTCTCCTGAAAGCTGGTGGACTGAACATATGCATACATCACTGCTCTCTCTTGAAACCCCACTAAAATTATGTAGAGGGATAAAAAAAAAAAATTGGCATCTTTAAGTTACCAGAACAAAAAGAACTAACAAGACAATAGCAACAGAAGTTTTTTTTTTTTTTTTTTTTTTTTGAGACGGAGTCTCGCTGTGTCACCCAGGCTGGAGTGCAGTGGCTTGATCTCGGCTCACTGCAAGCTCCGCCTCCCGGGTTCACGCCATTCTCCTGCCTCAGGCTCCCGAATGGCTGGGACTACAGGCACCTGCCACCGCGCCCTGCTAATTTTTTTTTTTTTTGTATTTTTAGTAGAGATGGTGTTTCACCGTGTTAGCCAGGATGGTCTCGATCTCCTGACCTCGTGATCCGCCCACCTTGGCCTCCCAAAGTGCTGGGATTACAGGCTTGAGCCACCACGCCCGGCCAGCAACAAAAGTTTTGATACTAGAAAGTAGTTGGATGAATCCTAGGGTCATGGTCCTGATTTGCCCAGGATAATATATTGTATGCCTGATGCCCTGGTAATAATTATTAATAGTATCCTCTTTCACCCTCAAAAGTGTCCCAGTCTGGATGATAAATTGATTCATTAAGCCTAAGAGTCCCAGAAGCAGGCCTAACGTACCACAGAATCTCAGAAAATTTCAGGAGTTGATGGCACCATGCCTCTTAAAATCAGGGTGAACAGAAGACCTGGTTGAGAGTATGTCTGAGTAGCAATCAGGTCCCCTGAGCCCTCTTCTACTACTCTCTGCATCCAGGTAACTGCCCCTCCCCAACCAGCAGAAGCCTGGAGTGTTTACCCTTTGGAGGGTCCTACCAGAGAGACTCTGGATAGGTAGACATTAGATAGAGACACAGATGAGAGTGCGATGGTAAAAACAGGAGGATAAGTGAAAGTCTACACACTGAATGGTGAGACCTCCATCCTTCTCTTTCCACTCATCTTCCGGAACCCTCCAGCCAGGCTTCTATCCTCTATGGGAGACCAAGATTCTTTTTTTTTTCTTTTGAGACAGAGTCTTGCTCTGTTGCCCAGGCTGGAGTGCAATGGAGTGATCTCAGCTTACTGCAACCTCCATCCCCGGGGTTCTAGCGATTCTCCTACCTCAGCCTCCTGATTAGCTGGGATTACAGGCCCCTGCCACCATACCTGGCTAATTTTTTTGTATTTTTAGTAGAGACGGGTTTCGCCATGTTGGCTAGGCTGGTCTGGAACTCCTGATCTCAGGTGATCCACCCGCCTTGGCCTCCCAAAGTGCTAGGATTACAGGCGTGAGCCACCGTGCCTGGCCGAGACTAAGATTCTTTTCTGCCAAGCCCCCCAAGAAAGACTTCAACATAGTCACAGTACGGAGTCTCCCAATGATATCACCTGGCCAGATCATCACCCTCTTATAAAGTCCTCTAGTCCATAAATAAGTACCTGTACATAGAGTATCATCAGCTTTTGAGTGCTCTGTTCTTAAATCTTGCAGTAGGCTTAGAAGTAACCAGTCCAGACAAGAGCAGTGGATGAAGGCTTATAGGAGACATGCCTCCAAGAAGATGAAGCTGTTAGATTACCTGATGTGTCTGAACCTTTTATGAGATTTATAAACTTTCAGCAAAGATTGGGGATGAATTAATGATAGGTTCATAGAAAAGTAACAGATGTAAACATGAAACATTTATTAACTTTAGAGAAAACTAAAATTCAAACAAGAAAGGAAATGTGATCATAGAATAGATAACAGTTACAGTCATAATAACATAAACACTGAATGCTGATATTAAAAAACTGTAATGTAACTAAATAGGGAGAATGGGGAGGGGGAATATATATATTTGTGAGAGCATGTTAATAATAATAATAATAATGAATACATATTGAGCTTTTAGAACCTATACATTCTAAATGCTTTTCATAGATAAGTTCAATTAATTCTTATAACAACTCTATAAAGTGGTACTATTATTTTTATTTATTTTTTGAGACCGAGTTTCGCCCTTGTTGCCAGGAGTACAGTGGCACGATCTCGGCTCATTGCAACCTCTGCCTCCCGAATTCAAGCGATTCTCCTGCCTCAGCCTCCTGAGTAGCTGGGATTATAGACATGCACCACCATGCCTGGCTTATTTTGTATTTTTAGGAGAGATGAGGTTTCTCCGTGTTGGCCAGGCTGGTCTCGAACTCCTGACCTCAGGTGATCCACCCACCTCGGCCTCCCAAAGTGCTGGGATTACAGGCATGAGCCACCGTGCCTGGCACTATTATTATTATTTCCATTTTATAGATGAGGAAGTTGAGGAGAAGAGAGGTCAACTAATTTGTGCAGGGTCTCACTGCCAGCAAGTTGCAAAGCTGGGATTTCAGCTTGGACATCCAGCTCCAGAGTCCATACTTGAAGCCAAAGCCACTGGACTGTTTCTTCATACCTCCCACATAGGCCAGTTTTTCCACCTTTGGAACAGAAGCTGAGGGGGCCCACTTTTATACATACTAGGAGGTCAAGTGAACTGAAGAATCAAGGTTGGGTACAGTGGCTCACACCTGTAATCCTATGACTTTGGGAGGCCGAGGTGGGCAGATGGCTCAAGCTCAGGTCTTGACCAGTCTGGGCAACATGGCAAAACTCAGTCTCCACAAAAAATACAAAAATTAGCTGGGTGTGGTGGTGTGTGCTTGTAGTCCCAGCTACTCGGGAGGCTGAAGTGGGAGGATTGCTTAAGCCTGGGAGGCTGAGGTTGCAGTGAACTGAGACTGTGCCACTACACTCCAGCTTGGGAGACAGAGCAAGACCCTGTCTCCAAAAAAAAAAAAAAAAGAAAAGAAAAATCAAGGCCTGAGAGCAATGGCACACACCTGCAATCCCAACATCATTTTGGGAGGCCAAGGTGGCAGGATTGCTTGAGCCTAGGAGTTTGATACGACTAGCCTGGGCAATATAGGGAGACACCATCTCTACAAAAAATTTAAAAAATTAGCCAGGTGTGGTGGTACACACCTGTAGTCCCAGCTACTCAGAGGCTATGGTGGGAGGATTGTCTGAGCCCAGGAGGTCAAGGCTGCAGTGAGCCATGATGGTGGCACTGCACCACTCCCACCTGGGTCGACAGAGCAAGACTGTGTCTAAAAAAAAAAAAAAAAGAAAAAGAAAGAAAGAAAAGAAAAAAGGAAAATCAAGAAATAGCAGTATAAGCATACCATCTGTAAATATGGAAAAAATATATATATATATTTTTAATTTTTTGAGACAGTCTCGCTCTGTTGCCCAGGCTGAAGTGCAGTGGCGTGATCTTGGCTCACTGCAGCCTCCATCTCCTGGGTTCAAGCAATTCTCCAGCCTCAGCCTCCTGAGTAGCTGGGATTACAGGCGCATGCCTGGCTAATTTTTGTATTTTTTGTTTTTTGAGATGGAGTTTCACTCTTGTCCACTAGGCTGGAGTGCGATGGCACAATCTCAGCTCACTGCAACCTCTGCCTCCTGACCTCAAATGAGTCTCCTGCCTCAGCCTCCTGAGTAGCTGGGATTACAGGCACCCAATACCACACCCAGTTAATTTTTGTATTTTTAGTAGAGACAGGGTTTCACCATGTTGGCCATGTTTCACCGTGTTGTCAAACTCCTGACCTCAGGTGATCTGCCCACCTCAGCCTCCCAAAGTGCTGGGATTACAGGTGTGAGTCATTGTGCCCAGCCTTTTGTATTTTTAGTAGAGACGGGGTTTCATCATGTTGGCCAGGCTGGTTTTGAACTCCTGACCTCAAGTCAGGATCCACCCACCTCAGTCTCCCAAACTGCTGGGATTACAGGCGTGAGCCACCGTGCTCAGCCGAAAGTAAATTTAAAAACCAAAACAAAACAACAAAACAAGTGGAAAATGGTTGCTGATGGGGAATAGGAACACTAAGTGAGAAACAAGCTTTGTAAAACTATTGTTTTAAAAATACATATGTTTATGTAATTTTATTTTTATTTTAAATAATATTTAATTACATTATATTTTAAATTATGCAATCAATTTAATATGTAATTTAATTACATAATATTTTTATTTGGGGGGAATAAAAATTAAATTAGAAAATAAATAAATCAACAATAAAGACAACCCAATTAAAAAATGGGCAAAGAAATTGAACAGACATTTCTCCAAAGATGATATACAAATAGCTAAGTGCAATGGCTCACGCCTGTAATCCCAGCACTTTGGGAGGCTGAGGCAGGAAGATTACTTGAGCCCACGAGTTTGAGACCAGCCTGGGCAACATAGTGAGACCCCATCTCTACAAAAAATAAAAAAATTAGGGCCGGGCGCGGTGGCTCAAGCCTGTAATCCCAGCACTTTGGGAGGCCGAGGTGTGTGGATCATGAGGTCAGGAGTTTAAGACCAGCCTGACCAACATGGTGAAACCCTGTCTCTACTAAAAATACAAAAATTAGCCGGGCATGGTGGTACATGCCTGAAATCCCAGCTACTCAAGAGGCTGGGGCAGGAGAATTGCTTGAACCCGGGAGGCGGAGGTTGCAGTGAGCTGAGATCGCACCACTGCATTCCAGCCTGGGTGACAGAGCAAGACTCCGTCTCAAAAAAAAAAAAAAAATTAGCTGGGCATGGTGGCATAGTTTAGGAGGCTGAGGTGGAAGGATTGCTTGAGCCTAGGAGTTTGAGGCTGCACCGAGCCATGATCGTGCCACACCATTCCAGCCAGGATGACCATGAGACCCCGTTTCAGAAAAAACAAAAACAAAAACCTAACAAGCTCAACATCTTTAGCCATGAGGGAGATGCAAAATCTAAACCTTATCATAGGAGTTCATATTTGATACATGCTAGAATGTATGATGGACAATAACAAGTGTTCGTGAGGATATGGAGAATTTGGAAACCTCATGCATTGCTGGTGGGAATGTAAACTCATGCAGTCACTTTGAAAACAGTCTGGCAGTTCCTCAAAAGTTAAACACAGAATTACCATATGACCCAACAATTCCACTTCTAGGTATATACCCAAGAGAAATGAAAACATATATTTACACAAAAACTTCTACACAAATGTTCATAGCAGCATTGTTTAAAATAGCCAAAAAGTAGAAACATCCTATATGTCCATCAACTGATAAATGGATAAACAAATGTGGCATACCTATACGATGGAATCTTATTCAGCTGCAAACATTAAGCTCTGATATATGCTACACCATGGATGAGCCAGGCAGGGTGTGGTGGCTCATGCCTGTAATCTCAGCACTTTGGGAGGGGAGGCAGAGGCAGAAGGATCACATGAGCTCAGGAGTTCAAGACCAGCCTGGGCAACATAGTGAGACCCCATCTTTATAAAAAAGAAAAAAAAAAAGCCAGACATAGTGGCTCATGCCTGTAATCCTAGCATTTTGGGAGGCTGGGCGGGGAGGGGTGGTGGATCACTTTAAGTCAGGAGTTCAAGACCAGCCTGGCCAACATGGTGAAATCCCGTCTCTACTAAAAATACAAAAATTAGCCAGGCATGGTGGCAAGTGCCTGTAATCCCAGCTACTCGGGAGGCTGAGGCAGGAGAATTGCTTGAACCTGGGAGGCAGAGGTTGCAGTGAGACGAGATGGCGCCATTGTACACCAGCTTGGGGGACAAGAGCGAAACTTCGTCTCCAAAAAAAAAAAGAAAGAAAAAAAATTTTTAAAGAAAGAAAACATGGATGAGCCTTAACCACATGATACTAAAGGAATGGAAGGAGGCAGACACAGAAGGCCACATATTGTATGACTCATTTATATGAAATGTCTAGAATAGGCAAATCCATAGTGAGAAAGTAGATTAGTGATTGCTAGGGGCTTGGGGGAGAGGAGAACGGGGAAGAGGAGAATTGGGGAGTGGAGTATGGAGTTTCTTTTGGGGGGCAATGAAAATGTTGTGGAATTAGATATTGATGAGCATTGCACCACTTTATGAATATGCTAAAATTGCAGAATTATATACTTTGAAAGGGTGAATTTTATACTATATAAATTATGTCTCAAATTAAGAAACAGTGACAAGAAATACAAGGTAAGGGGAAGAGGGGGCTCTGGTGCTATTGACGAAGAGAGCACACTCATTTTACCTCCTTCGGGTCAGCAGCAGCAGCCTTGCAGAAGGCCGGCCCCATCTGCCTGGGCCTGGCTTTGACTTTTTGCTGTTCATCAGCTTCCCTCAGCTTGGGTCTGTCCCCAGCCTAGTACTGCTCCTTTTCCAACACACTTTTGGCCCTGCTCTCTCAGGACCCTGACTCAAATCCTGGGACAAGTAAGCCCCTGAAATCTCTAGGAGTAACTCTTGTAATTAAAAAAGCAGAGCATCATATACAAACCATTTATTTTCTTTAGCCAGGGTTTGCCTTCTCTCTCACAGAGAAGTAGGAGAGTAATCTCCAGTATTAATGGTGAACCCACCATTCATAAATAACCTTATCAGGAAGAGGCTTCAGCCATCAGAGTCCAATACTGAGCTCATGTGATTAAAAATCATTCCTGCATGGAGGCCTGAGTTTGCCTCAGAACTTAAAACAGCTGTCAATTAATAATTAATCCCTGGGAGGCTAAGGCAGGAGGATTGCTTGAGCCTAAGAGTTTCAGGCTGCAGTGAGCTCTGATCACACCACTGCACTCTAGCCTGGGCAACAGAACAAGACATCCATCTCTTAAAAAAAAATTAATCCTGGCAGGGCACAGTGGTTCACGCCTGTAATCCTGGCACTTTGAAAGGCAGAGGTGGGCAAATTGCTTGAGGTCAGGAGTTTGAGACCAGCCTGGCCAACATGGCGAAACCCCACCTCTACAAAAAAAAAAAAAAAAAAAAAAAATACAAAAAATTAGCTGCACTTGGTGGCGTGCACCTGTAATCCCAGCTAGTCAAGAGGCTCAGGCACAAGAATCGCTTGAACCCAGGAGGCAGAGGCAGCAGTGAGCTGATATTGCGCCACTGTGCTCCAGCGTGGGTGACAGAGCAAGACTCTGTCTTATAAAAAGAAAAGAAAAGAAAAAAAAACTCCCAAACTCTTCTAAAGATGCTTCCAGGTTTGGCTTGTTTTTGAAGAAACAACCTGATGTTAAGACTTTTTATCATTTTGAAGGAATTAATTCTAAAGCTGAATACTGATCTCCCACAAAACAGATAGAGAATAGATTATTCTTTTGTCATCTAAAATTAGGGATTACAAGGAAGAAAACTGCTCTGAGAATTATCTTTTAATACTAAAAAGCAAGGGAAAGAGTTTCAATATAAAATGCTGCCATTTTATATTGTGGCTATATATTATATTAGCCACTATAAATCCATGTGCAAAGTTCTCAAATATTTTATAGTCCTTCTAAGAAGTTAACTTTCAATAAACTATGTAGAGGGCTGCAGCAGTAGTTACCTTGATAAATCAACCCCCAATCACTCATTTTTTTAAGATCAACTTTTTTCCCAATTGTATATATATTCAATTCTCGTTATTTGTGGTAGTTATGTTTTATAACGTTGCTGTGAGTGCTGCATTAGCAGATATTGAACCACTGCTCCTAGGGGAAATGTAAGATTAGGGTCCTGAGAGCCTCTGGTCACACCAAATCACTCACCTTTTTTTTTTTTCCTTTGAGATGGACCCAAGCTGGAGTGCAATGGTGCGATCTTGGCTCACTGCAACCTCTGCCTCCCAGGTTCAAGTGATTCTCCAGCCTCAGCCTCCCGAGGAGCTAGGACTACAGGCAACCACCATCATGCCTCGCTAATTTTTGTATTTTCAGTAGAGATAGGGTTTCGCCATGTTGGCCAGGCTGGTCTCGAACTCCTGACCTCAGGTGATCTGTCCACCTTGGCCTCCCAAACAAAGTGCTGGGATTATAGTTGTGAGACACCGCGCCCAGCCTAAAATCACTCTTTTTTTTTTTTTTTTTGAGACAGAGTCTCACTCTGTTGCCCAGGCTGGAGTGCAGTTGCACAATCTCGGCTCACTGCAGCCTCCACCTCCTGGGTTCAAGTGATTCTCCTACCTCAGCCTCTTGAGAAGCTGGGATTATAGGCACGGACCACCACGCCCAGCTAATCTTTGTATTTTTAGTAAAGACAGGGTTTCACCATGTTGGTCAGGCTGGTCTCGAACTCCCGACCTCAGGTGATCCACCCATCTCAGCCTCCCAAACAAAGTGCTGGGATTACAGGCGTGAGCCACCACGCCTGGCCTAAAATCACTCATATTTTAAATCTTTTTCTTTTTCCTCTCTGTTCTTCACATTATATAATTTCTAGTACTCCATCTTTCAATTCACTTATTCTTTTCTTGGTTAATTCCATTTAGTGATTTTTTTTTAAGTCACTGTAGTTTTTAGTTCTAGGACTTCCATTTGGCCCTTTTAAAATCATTTCTATTTCTTTTCTGAGATTTCCCATCTTTGCAGAAATATTTCTCCTCTACTTCATTGAGGATAATTATAATATTTGCTTTAAAATCCTTTTCTGGCCAGGTGCGGTGGCTCATGCCTGTAATCCCAGCACTTTGGCAAGGAGGCTGAGGCGGGCAGATCACCTGAGGTCAGGAGTTTGAGACCAGCCTGACCAACATGGTGAAAACCTGTCTACTAAAAATACAAAATTAGCCACGTGTGGTGGCACATACCTGTAATCCCAGCTACTAGGGAGGCTAAGGTGGAAGAATCGCTTGAATAGGTAGGCAGACGTTGCAGTGAGCCGAGATCGTGCCACTGCACTCCAGCCTGGGCAACAAGAGTAAAACTCCATCTAAAAAAAAAAAAAAAATCCTTTTCTGATAATTCTAACATCAGGATTACCTTGAGGTTCGTCTTAGTTGATTTTCTTCTCTCTGGGGAACATGTTCCATTTTCCTGGTTTTTCATATATTGAGTAACTTATATTGGGTTGTATTTATATTGGGTTGTATACATGAGTTGTATCCTGGACATTATGAATGTTAAGTTATTTTGACTCTGAATCCTGTTCTCCAATGAGTGGTCTATTGGTTTTTTCTTTAATTTTAATTTTTTTTTTTTTTTTTTTGAGTTGGAGTCTCGCTCTATCACCCAGACTGGAGTGCAGTGGCATGATCTCGGCTCACTGTAACCTCTGCCTCTTAGGGTCAAGCAATTCTCCTGCCTCAGCCTCCTGAGTAGCTGGGATTACAGATGCGTGACACCACGCCCGGCTAATTTTTGTATTTTTAGTAGAGATGGGGTTTCACTATGTTGGCCAGGCTGGTCTTGAATTCCTGACCTCGTGATCCACCCGCCTCAGCCTCCCAAAGTGCTGGGATTACAAGCATGAGCCACCACGCCCGGCCTAATTTAATTTTTTATTTATTTTTATGTTTATTTTTCTTTTGAGATGGAGTCTTGCTCTGTTGTCCAGGCTGGAGTGCAGTGGCACGGTCTCAGCTCACTGCAACCTCTGCCTCCCAGGTTCAAGCGATTCTCCTGCCTCAGCCTTCTGAGTAGCTGGGATTACAGGCGCCTACCACCACACCCAGCTAATTTTTTGTATTTTTAGTAGAGAGGGGGTTTCACTATGTTGGCCAGGTTGGTCTCAAACTCCTGAACTCGTGATCCGCCCGCCTTGGCCTTCCAAAGCGCTGGGATTACAGGCATAAGTCACTGCACCCAGCCTTTTTTTTTTTTTTTTTTGAGATGGAGTCTCGCTCAGTCACCCAGGCTGGAGTGCAGTGGCTCGATCTTGGCTCACTGCAAGCTCTGCCTCCCAGGTTCACGCCATTCTCCTGCCTCAGCCTCCCGAGTAGCTAGGACTACAGGCACCCGCCACCACACCCGGCTAATTTTAGTAGAGACGGGGTTTCACCATGTTAGCCAGGATGGTCTCTATCTTCTGACCTCATGATCCGCCCGCCTCGGCCTCCCAAAGTGCTGGGATTATAGGTGTGAGTCGCCGCGCCCAGCTTTTTTTTTTTTTTTTTGAGACAAGAGTCTCCCTCTGTCGCCCAGGCTGGAGTGCAGTGGCACAATCTCAGCTCACTGTAACCTTTGCCTCCCGGTTCAAACAATTCTCCTGTCTTGGCCTCCCGAACTGGGATTACAAGTGTGCCACCAAATCCACCTAATTCTTTTGTATTTTTAGTAAAGACAGGGTTTCACTATGTTGGTCAGGCTGGTCTCGAACTCCTGACCTCAGGTGATTTGCCCACCTTGGCCTCCCAAACAAAGTGCTGGGATTATAGGCATGAGGCACTGCGCCCAGCCTTTTAAAATTTTTTTTCTTTTTCAGATAAGGTCTTGCTTACGTAGCCCTGGCTGGTCTTGAACTCCTGAGCTCAAGCAATCTCGTGCCTCAGCCTCTTAAGTATCTGAGACTACGGGCATGTGCCAACACACCCTGCTTTGTTTTTGTTTTTGAAGCAGGCAACTACCTTGCTTGGTTCAGGGGTTAGCCTAAAAAGTAGGCAGAGAGAACTGGGGAATCTTCTCTTTGGATCTTTCCCTTCCAAATTGCCTCTCTTCTGTGGCTTCCCCACACTCAATCTCCTGGTTCCTCAGGCCAGAAAAGCTGTGATCTCTCTGCCAGTGCCCCTACTATATCGCATGCCTTGCCAAGTATACTTGTCCCTAGGTTAAAACAAGCAAATGGAACTTATCGTGTGCATCACCTCTCCTCTAAGCATGAACTCCCCATCAGAACTGGCCTGCTTCTAATCCCTCTCCAGGGATTTCAGGTAGCCCACCAAACTGCTGGGATTACAGGCGTGAGTCACCGCACCCGGCAAAAATAAGTTTTTCAATAACAAAGTGAATGCAGGGCCAGGCACAGTGGCTCAGTTGAGGTCACGAGTTCGAGACCAACTTGGCCAATATTGTGAAACCCTGTCTCTACTAAAAATACAAAAATTAGCTGAGCGTGATGGTGCAAATCTGTAATCCTAGCTACTCGGGAGGCCGAAGCATGAGAATTGCTTGAACCCGGGAGGTGGAGGTTGCAGTAAGCCGAGATCATGCCACTGCACTCCAGCCTGGGCACCAGAGTGAGACTCTGTCTCAAAAAAGAAAGTGAATGCAGTATTTCCCTCCAATGTGGATATTGTGTTGGCTGCACAAAACTCTGGCTACATTCAAATGGGAAAGAGGTAAAAACTGCCTCATGAGTTAGGGGCGTTGATGTTTCCCCTCTCTGATCCCATGCTATCTCCTGAACCCCTACCTCCTTTTCCAGCTGCCACAACCACAGAGGCCCTTGGCTGACGCATCCACAAGCAACAGAGAATTCACTGAAACCTGGTATTATCTTTTGGCACTCTATAGCTTGGGAGATGGTGATTAGAAGGGGGAAAAACACAGAACTTCATCAACAGTGTGGCATTTTCACTTCAGCTGTTCCTGGGGGCAAAACAGAGCCATAAAGAGAAATTCCAGATTGAAAGCTTTGTGGTTATCTCCACTTCTCATTAAAGTGCCCCTGATTATAATCACACCTACGATTACAAGATTTAACACACCTGGTCTCAAGGATGTACCAGGAAGAGGAATCATCTGTTCATCCCTTCCCATTTCCTTTTCTTTATTCACTAAGCACAACTTATAAGTTTCAGTGAGTGCAGACTAGAGACAGTTTGGAGAACAGGCGGAGGTTTTTCATTCACATGGGTTTTGAAAGTGACAAAAATCTTCCATGGCCACAAATTATTTTAGTACTGGTGAGACAAGCGGTGTTGGTTTCATTGGCTAGGCACAGATGTGAGAAATCTGGATAGAGTTTCTATTTCTTCTCTGACTTTGCTAACCAGACATTTTCCTCTGCTACACACACACACACACACACACACACACACACACACACACTCGCTCTGTCTCTCGCTCGCTCTCACTTTCACTCTCTCACTCAGTAAGGGTGTGTGCACTTACAGAGTCTCTCTCTGTCGCCCAGACTGAAGTGCAGTGGCGCGATCTTGGCTCACTGCAACCTCCGCCTCCCCGGTTCAAGTGATTCTCCTGCCTCAGCCTCCCGACTAGCTGGGATTACAGGCAGATGCCACCACACCTGGCTACTTTTTTGTATTTTTAGTAGAAACAGAGTTTTGCCAGGTAGGCCAGGCTTCTCTCGAACTCTTGGGCTCAAGTGATCCACACACCTCAGCCTCCCAAAGTGCTGGGATTACAGGCGGTGAGCCACTGCACCCGACCAACTTGTATTTTCAAATACATTTTTGCTTTGAAATAATTTTAGATTTACACAAAAGTTGCAAAGATAGTACAAAGTCCCTGTATACCCCTCCATTCCCCTACTGTTAACAACTTACTTAACAACATCTTTGCCAAGAGTTTTGTAGATCTTAACAATGGATGAAAAACACTGATTCTTCTTAACTCCCTCTCATACAGTGGATTCTCAATAAGAGCAATGTGTATTATTGTCCCTATAGCAATTTATTTAATTATACAAATTACTGAGCTATGATCTATATGTCCCCCATCCCCATCAAGGTCCTAAGTAAAACCCTGGAGCCTCCATCCTTCCAGGTGAGTGCTCCAAGTTAATGAGCAAGTCTGTCCCTACAGAAGTTTTTTGTTTGTTTTTTGAGAAGGAGACTCACTCTGTCACCTAGGCTGGAGTGCAGTGGTGCAATCCTGGCTCACTACAACTTCTGCCTCCCAGGTTCAAGTGATTCTCCTGCTTCAGTCTCCCAAGTAGCCTGGATTACAGGTGCCTGCCACCACGCCTGGCTAATTTTTGTATTTTTAGTAGAGACGGGGTTTCACCATGTTGGCCAGGCTGATCTCGAATTCCCGACCTCAGGTGATCCACCCGCCTCAGCCTCCCAAAGTGCTGGGATTACAGGTGTGAGCCACCCCGCCCGGCTACAGAAGTTTTTATGAGTCAGCCAGATCTTCCCCATATTCCTTTGTGTCACTATTAGTTGCCACCCTAATATCCATTTCCTGCCATCTTCCTTGCTGACTAAAATTCAATTTCATTCAGAGTAGCAATGTGCCAACTAAATACATTGTCAGGCTCCTTTGCAGCTAGAAACAATTGTTTGACACAGTTCTGGCCAATGAAATAGGAATTCTCCTGGGGGGTTCTGGGAAACTGTCCTAGTTCCCCAAAATAAGAAACAAAAAGCACCTAGGGCTGTCCTTCTCTTATCTTCTTTCTTTCTCATTTAAATCATTCACAATGGCCAGAGCTGCAGCAGCTATCTTGTAGCCATGAGGCAAAGGCCACAAAGATTATAGAAATGTTGGTCCTGTTGATACTGAGCTGCTAAACAGACACCACCTACTTACATATTTCTTGTGATGTGAGAAAAATCCTTACTTGTTTAGGACATTGTAGTTGAAGTTTTTCTAATTTGTAGTTGAACATGCTCATAGCAGATAAGTTCATTCAATCCAAACCTCAACCTATACAAGGTGGAGGAGAAGGGGGAGAAATGCAGCCGAGGGTAAAGCACTATTCCCAAAGCACTGGGAAATCCAATGGCCTCGCTAGTGAGGTGCAACAACAGCAAGTCACTACGTAAAGAGAAAAGGTGGCTGTGTAGGAAAGGAATGGGATAACTACTGAGTCCCTGCCTGTACAAAAATGGCATCAGAAACTCCATATGGTAACATTCTAGGATGAATAAAGCCCATGTATGTGTGTGTGTGATAAAACAATCACTTTTTTTTTTTTTTTGAGACAGAATTTCACTCTTGTTGCCCAGGCTGGAGTGTAATGGCAAGATCTCGGCTCACTGCAACCTCCGCCTCCCGGGTTCAAGCAATTCTCCTGTCTCAGCCTCCCGAGTAGATGGGATTACAGGCATGCGCCACCACACCTGGCTAATTTTGTATTTTTAGTAGAGATGGGGTTTCTCCATGTTGGTCAGGCTGGTCTCGAACTCCTGACCTCAGGTGATCCGCCTGCCTCGGCCTCCTAAAGTGCTGGGATTACAGGCATGAGCCACCGAGCCTGGCCTAAAACAGTCACTTTTATAATGGCTTCACTGACACTTGGTTAAATACTGATGTGTTAGCCACAGATGAGCATTGTGGATACTGGGTGGTGAATTATTAATGCAAATTTTCCATAGGAAGTCAACTGGGAATGTGTTTCCATTAAAATCAAGACGAAAATTAATTTAGAGGTCGCTCATTCTCAGCACACATATGGTTTTTTATATATATATATATGTAAATATATACTTTCTTCCTGTATTGGCCATACGCTGGGGAGAAATCCAGCCAAACCCACTTGAAGGAGGAAGAAAATTTAATTTATGCAGCACCTAACATGTCATAGATTGAACTCAGCTAGAAAGGAAACATCTTCAATGAGGCCCTTTAGTAATTCAGCATGAACAATCAAATGAGTCAGAAAGGCAAGTCACTGAAGTTCAGGGTGCAGAGGCAGGGTGAATGTGTTCTAGCTAGCTCACCTTGGAACAATGAGGACAATGCCAGGATTCAGGGCCTCAATCTACAACCTTGTGCTCTGGTTTTTCTTAGTATATAGTTTGGCCAATATGTTACTGAGGTAATAGAGACATACACCGAAGATACAAACAAGGTCATTTTCCTGCTACAAAATCCCTGTTGATGGATTCATTTGGATGAATCCATCGAGGAAAGAGGTTTGAGGCCTTCCCTGGTAAAAGGAAGATTGAGAAATAGACAAATAAAAGAGGTGGAGAAATTGCAAAGGGCGAGAGACGGACTGACCTCAGTAGCTTTCTGGCTGAGTCCCCGAAGCAGCAGCACAACCACATGTATGGCAGCTCTGCGTACTTGAACTTCACCATCTGTTTTGGCCACAGCAATCAGGCAAGCTGTTACCTAGGAGGATGAAGGAAGATGAAGTTGATAAGAATCAGAGTTGCACAATTACCTATAACCTTTCAACTGTGTTCCACTTACTACACATTCATCAAGAGCAATCTGGCTTAGAGAGGGCTGGATAGTTGCTTAATCCTCAACAAAGAGGGTGAGATCTAGTGGGAGAGATCTTGATGCAGTCTGACTTTTCTGGTAGAGGGCAAAATCCAGTTTGGAATTCAAGAACGAGATTAGAGAGTGGGAAGGAATATGTGTACTGTATATTATATGCATTTTGTAAAAGGTAAGGTCAAATGCTAATATTTCCACAAAAGTGAGAACTGTTAATTGTCCCCCTTTAAGAACATCAAATCAAAGGAAAAAAGATGGTCCCAACCATAGCTGCTTCTAGAGACTGAGGATCATGGGGATTTAGCTAAGGAGACTTCAGAGTTCACAGCCTGGCATGAATGTGAATGTACCATTGATGAAAGTTTCAGCCTAGGGAATAAAGAGTTACAGAAATATTCTAACTGATCTTCTTCAGCATGTCCAGATATTCCAGTCCTACAAATGTAGTGTACACCGGATGTGAGTCAGCAGGGGTCACTTTCAGAGACTTCCTGAATATGGAATAGGACTTTCTGTGCTCAATTACTTTACGTATTTTTTCTGTTTTGTTTTGTTTTGTTTGAGACAGGGTCTCACTCTGTCACCCAGGCTGGAGTGCAGTGGTGCAATCAGGGCTCACTGCAGCCTTGACCTCCTGGGCACAAGTGACCCTCCCACCTCAGCCTCCCAAGTAGCTAGGACTACAGGTGTGCGCCACCATGCCTGGCTAATTTGATTATTTTTTGTAGAGATGAGGGTTTTACCATGTTGCCCAGCTGGTCTTGAACCCCTGGGCTTATGCAATCCTCCTGCCTTGGCCTCCCAAGGTGCTAGGATTACAGGTATGAGCCACCGTGTCCAGCCTGTGCTCACTTTTTTTTTTTTTTTTTGAGACGGAGTCTCGCTCTGTTGCCCAGGCTGGAGTGCAGTGGTGCAATGTCAGCTCACTGCAACCTCTGCCTCCTAGGTTCAAGTGATTCTCCTGAGTAGCTGGGACTACAGGTGCACACAACCATGCCTAATTTTTTTTTTTGAGATGGAGTCTCACTCTGTCGCCCAGGCTGGAGTGCAGTGGCGCGATCTTGGCTCACAGCAAGCTCCGCTTCCCGGGTTCACGCCATTCTCCTGCCTCAACCTCCCGAGTAGCTGGGACTACAGGCATCCGCCACCACACCTGGCTAATTTTTTGTATTTTTAGTAGAGAAGGGGTTTTTCACCGTGTTAGCCAGGATGGTCTCAATCTCCTGACATTGTGATCTGCCCACCTCGGCCTCCCAAAGTGCTGGGATTATAGGTGTGAGCCACTGAGCCTGGCCCACCTAAATTTTTGTATTTTTAGTAGAGATGGAGTTTCGCTATGTTGGCCAGGTTGGTCTCAAACTCCTGACTTCAGGTGATCTGCCCGCGTCCACCTCCCAAAGTGCTGGGATTACAGGCATGAGTTACTGTGCCTGGCCAGCGCTCAATTACTTTAAAAGACCATACTAACACAGGAAAGAAAGACTGGAAATTACTTGCAAAACTGATATATAGTTAATTATGTCATAAAATCAAACAGTTGAATGTAACAGCCACTGTACCCTTGCCTGGCTCCTGGTAGGCAGAAAAATGTTTTAAAATCTCAATGAAGAGATACAATTAACAAGAATGACAACAAACCTTTCTGAGGCATTCATGTAAGCTTTAAAAAGAGAAAAAAAAATTTTTGAAAGTGTGACCAATGGCAGCAACAATCTGAAGGTATGTCTAACTTATTCAACTGGTCTCTCATATACTTTTTTTTTTTTTGAAACAGGATCTCGCTCTGTCATCCAGGCTGGAGTGCAGTGGTACAATCTTGGCTCACTGCAACCTCTGCCTCCCGGGTTCAAGCGATTCTGGTGCCTCAGTCTCCTGAGTGGGTAGGACTACAGGCGCGTGTCACCATGCCCGGTTAATTTTTTGTATTTTTTGGTAGAGGCAGGGTTTCACCGTGTTGGCCAGGCTGGTCTCAAACTCCTGACCCAGGTGATCTGCCTGCCTCGGCCTCCCAAAGTGCTGGGATTACAGACATGAGCCACCGCACCTGGCCTCTCACATACTTTTGTTATTGGACTTACTGTGTGAATATATTTCTTGGCCAGTAGTGGAAGGATATCTAATTATGATAGGAAAATAGCCAGACTGTGTTTAGAAACACGTACAAATACAAATCATGTTTAAAGAATGGTGAATATGAGAACAAGTGAGGAAATAGGCTTGTGCAGAAATTTTAACTATACAGGTTGTATTTTTCACAGCTTTCAAACAGTTGGGCATAGTTCAAAGTATCTAATTAATCAGTGATGGCAGAGAGATTAGAAGAACTAGCTTGTTCTTAAGCATAATTGCGTCTGTGATGCGCTGGCATTTAATCAACTTGTGCATCTATCAGACAAACATGCAGCTTGCAAGTGAAGGAAAATCCCAGAGGAGTCCAACCCTTTGGGGGCTGTTTTCAGTAAGACCCAGCAAGCTGCTCTGCCTTTGACCTGGGACCCCCCACCCTAAGGCCAGCAGTGGCTTCCATGCCTGTGGCATTAACAGTAGAAGCAATTCAGTCCTAAGAGGAATTCCTTGGGCAACCTCCAAATAGGCAACAATATAATAGCTACCTCCACTTTCAGGCTTAGTATTTACAAGGTAAGAGCTGAAACCAGAGAAACAAGTTAGAGATAGGTCTGAGTCCCTCTTGACACAGGGAAGTAAAATTTATTTGGTCTGATGGCTAAATTATGGAAGCCAGCCCAAGGCCATGGACCGAGCAGAGGGTCTTAGGCATTATGTTTGCTCCCCTCTACGTTTAGCTTTGGGCCCCTGCTTCCACGTTTGGAAGACCAAGGCTCCCTGGCCTAGAACCATGTTGGTGTCTGCCTTTGTCACCTCTGTCCTGCCTCTCTTTGCTGAGCGGGTCATGCTTCCACCTCAGCTCTCAGTGTAAGGCTGGCTCTCACAGTTGGGCATTTGTGCATTAATCCCACAGCTGGGATGTCCAGGCAGAAGCATCCTGCCTGGAAAAGGGCTTTCCCTTCAAGGGCAATTCTTTTTTTTTTTTTTTTTTTTTGAGATGGACTCTCACTCTGTTGCCCAGGCTGGAGTGCAGTAGCACGATCTCAGCTCACAGCAACCTCTGCTTCCAGGGCTCAAGCAATCCTCCCACCTCAGCCTCCCTAGTAGCTGGGACTATAGGCATGCACCACCATGCCCAGCCTTCTTCTTTTTCTTTTTTTTTTCTGTGAGACAAAGTCTCACTGTGTCACCCAGGCTGGAATGCAGTGGCATGATCTCAGCTCACTGCAGCCTTCACCTCCCAGGCTCTGGCACTCCTCCCACCTCGGCCTCCGGAGTAGCTGGGACTACAGGCGTGTACCACTACGCATAGCTAATTTGTGTAGTTTTTGTAGAGATGGAGTTTTGCCATGTTGCCCAGGCTGGTCTCAAACTCCTGGACTCAAGTGATTCGCCTGCCTCGGCTTCCCAAAGTGCTGGGATTCCAGGCATGAACTACTGCACCCCGGTCAAGGCCAATTCTTGAATCCCTGTGCCACCTTGAAGGTATGACTGAGAGAGGAGCTAGTTATGACAAGCCTTGCTGAGATCAGCTGAAATAGCCTCCTGCTTGCTACGGGCTGTTAGTGACTTATGCGCCAGACTCCACCAAACCCATCTGCAGTCAGCCATCCAGGACAATCAGGAAGAGGCCCGAGAACAGAAGAGCATTTGGGAAACTTCCTCAACCCCTCTGTCACCAGGACCAAATCATGTGAAATGTATAATGGTCTGTCACGCAAAATGCTTTCTGAGCATCGGAATTTTAATATGGTCTTACGGATATCATCTAAATATAAGAACAGTCTTCAGTTCAGGTCAAGCACCCATAACCAGCTTGTAATGCTGCTCTCCAGCAGACCAATGGGACAGACCCCTTGTCCAACACTAGAAGTGGGGAGGATGTAGGCCACTCTCTTCTATGTATCCAGGCTGGAAAAGTCACTTCACGGCTAGTCTCTCACCTCCAACCCCAACGACATAATGAACACTGAGTTCTACCTCTAAAAGCCTTGGTGAGATAGATAGATGATGAACTGGTGTATTATTTCTATACTCTAAGTCCTCTCAGAGGGCAGAAATCCATTCTTTTTTTTTTTTTTTTTTTTGAGGCAGAGTCTTGCTCTGTAGCTCAGGCTGGAGTACAGTGGCATGCTCGCAGCTTACCGCAACCTTTGCCTCCCGGGTTCAAGTGATTCTTGTCTCAGCCTCCTGAGTAGCTACATGTGCCTGTCACCACACCTGGTTAATTTTTGTATTTTTAGTAGAGATAGGGTTTTGCCATGTTGGCCAGGCTGGTCTCAAACTCCTGACCTCAAATGATTGCCCACCTTGGCCTCCTAAAGTGCTGGGATTATAGGCGTGAGCCACTGGGCCCAGCCAGAAATTCATCCTTTTGTCACCTGCTCTGAGTAAACCACACTATGGAAAGCTTTCTCTTCACTGGCTAAATCAGTAAACTGTGTCCACTTCTAAAAGCCATCCAGAGAGAAAGATGCTGATTGCTTTGGAAGCATTAAAGGTCAGTTTCAGCAATTTAACACTTAACAGGAGCCAAGAGAAATAAGGAAAAACATCACTCCCAAAACAGCTGGCACACACCAAGCATAACCAGAACTATATAAATAAAGATAATACAAATGGCAAGATTACCAAAAACTGACTTTGGAAAATTCCAAGTGAGAAGTTGCCAGAATTGAGGTATGTATCAAGGAAGCATGACTTTAATTTTCCAACTGCATCTTCATCCATTTTCCTAAAGCTTCCTTTATTAAAATTCAGTTGGTTTGCTAACTTGTCTGCAACTTCACCATCTGTAAACCAAGAAACCTTAACAGCAAAGACAATGTGACCAATCATTCTCAGGAGCTTGGCTTACTCAACCTGCCATGAAAGAAACCATGGCAGGTACTTTAGCTTCCTTGGGGTTTCCCAGAACATCTATCTCAGGCCTCATCTCAGGGGTCTACGTATCCTCAAACTGCACTGATTGTGGCAAAACTGATAGTAAATTCAGGTCATTCCGTGGGATCAGAGGCAGTGGCTTTGTATCAGCCCCCAAAGCTCAGGTATGTGGAATTCTGGGCACCATGTTAAAAGGAGACTGGACTTGTCACCTGGGACACATCTTATTTGCTGTAGTGAGGACAGGCCTCTCACTGTGGTTCACTTAAATCATATTTACTTCTCATAGAGAGTGATAAAGATGAAGAATCTATCAAGATTTGGTTTTAAGCGACACAGCCTTTGACAAGAACAAGGAAAAATTGAAAAAAAAAAAAAAGAAAAAAAAAAGAATGTTATCTACAGGTTAATTCTTGACATCAACAGAGAGGAAAAGCCTGAATTCCCAGTACAGTGACTGTGGAAGGGTTGAGCCTATACTTTATATTCCTTCCCGACCAGCTGGCATCATCATAGCAGACAGTGCCCAAATCTGGATCACCCAATAGTTAGGATAACTTTCTTCAGATGCCGAAGAGCTATAGCCAGAGAGGAAGGGCACTGATGCCCGCAGACCACGTCGCTTTAGAAGGGACTACGGTGGCTGGTTTGTTCAATTTCATTTTCTTCTGCTTATTATTTTTAACAGGTGTAATTCACTATTATTCTTGTATGAAAGCTTATGCTGTAACCACAGCTGGAGCCTGGGTCCTCTGCATGGAGGCTCTGGTGTGGGTCTTGATGTGATGGTCAGTGCATTCCACAGGGAGGCTTGGTGAATAGTCTCTTTCCAGAGGCTGGGGGTCAGGCAGCTATAGGTCCTGGAGATGGCATTGAAGGTGGCCTTGGTGAAGTTGTCCAGGGTGGCAGTGCAGCCCCTGGCTGAGGTGTAGCAGTTGTCAATACCGGCCATCAGCAGCAGCATCTTGGGCACAGGAGTCGAGATGATGCCATTGTTCCTGGGGGCAGGGATAAGGTGTACTAGCCCAGAGCTACAGCAGCCTGTAACCATACAGGGGGTGGTGTAGGACTTGCCGATCTTGTTCCCCCAGTAACCTCTCCGCATAGGGACAATGGAAAGCTTGGCCAGGGTGATGGTCCCTTGGATGGCAGTAGTAACCTCCTTGGAGCACTTAACACTTAAACTGATGTGGCCATCATAGTCCCTAACAGTAACAAATGCCTTGAATCTGGTGCGGTGGCCAGTGTGGGTCTGTTTCTACACAAGCATAATCTTTAAAACCTCACCCATGAGAGATGCCCCTTGAAAAAAGCTAATGATATCACACTCCTCGATGGGCAGGGAGAAGAGATAGGTCTCCAGGGACTTGATCTTCATATCCTTGACCAGAGGGACCAGCTTGGTGATGGGTATCCACTCCTTGTCCTCAGTCATGTCTCTGTGAGTTCCACAGCCTCAGCTCTAGCCTTGACCATGGCTGCGAGCCCAGTCCTGCATGCTGCTACCAAAGCCTCTGAGGAAGCCATGGCAGTTTTCCATTTAGGGTCCCCAGGGCCTCCAGGACCTCCCGCCACATTGGCGTTATCCTCCAGTTTGGTGATTTCTCAGAAAGGAAGCTGTTCAATTTTATCTCAAAATAGATTATGCTTCTTCTCTTCCTCTGCCTGGCTAACACTTGATCAACATAACCTTCTTGATGCCCTGACAAGTTAACCCAGGGTCCCAGCTCTGGGTCCCCCAGAGCTTGGTGCTGGCTCTATCGTGTCACTCCTATCCACTGTTGATTTACTCCTCTGCGTTTCACACAAGTTACTGAGACTTCCTTAAGGGAAGAGATTGGGTCCTTTATTTGTGTCTTCTAGCATACTTGCCAGATAACAGATGCTCACGAAGGAGAATTCCTTCTGTTCGCAAAGACAAGTTTCCCAAAGCTCAAGTTCCTTCTCCACCAGCACACCCTGGAACTAAGCAATTCTGAGACTTCAAGAGCTTTCATGGTACACTGAAAGAACTGTCCTAGAAGAAGCCACAGTAACTTTTTATTTTATTTACTTATTTTTGAGACAGAGTCTCTCTCTGTTGCCCAGGCTGGAGTACAGTGGTGTGATCTCAGCTCACTGCAACCTCCGCCTCCTGGGTTCAAGTGATTCTCCTACCTCAGCCTCCCGAGTAGCTGGGATTACAGGTGCCTGCCACCACACGGGGCTAATTTTTGTATTTTTAGTGGAGATGGGGTTTCACCATGTTGACCAGGCTGGTCTCGAACTCCTGACCTTGGGTGATCTGCCTGCCTTGGCCTTCCAAAGTGGTGAGATTACAGGCATGAGCCACCACGCCTGCCAACAGTAACTTTCTTTTTTTTTTTTTTTTGAGATGGAGTCTTGTTCTGTTGCCCAGGCTGGAGTACAGTGGTGTGATCTTGGCCCACTGCAACCTCAGCCTCCGGGTTCAAGCAGTTCTCTGCCTCAGCCTCCCCAGTAGTGGGGATTACAGGCGCCTGCCACCATGCCCAACTAATTTTTTGTATTTTTAGTAGAGACGGGGTTTCACCATCTTGGCTAGGCTGGTCTTGAACTCCTGACTTCGTGATCCACCCACCTTGGCCTCCCAAAGGGCTGGGATTACAGGTGTGAGCCACCATGCCCGGCCAACAGTAACTTTTTAAAAGAAGTTAGATCGGCTGGACATTGTGGCTCATACCTGTAATCCTAGCACTTTGGGAGGCTGAGGCGGGTGGGTTGCCTGAACTCAGGAGTTTGAGACCAGCCTGAGCAACATGGTGAAATCCTGCCTCTACTAAAAATAGAAAAAAATTAGCTGGGCATGGTGGCACATGCCTGTAGTCCCAGCTACTTGAGAGGCTGAGGCAAGAGAATTGCTTGAACCCAGGAAGCAGAGGTTGCAGTGAGTTGAGATTGTGCCACTGTACTACAGCCTGGGCGACAGCGCGAGGCTCTGTCTCCATAAATGAATGAATGAATAAATGAATGAATGAATGAACGAATGAAGTTAGATCATTTCATTCTTCCGCCCTGGCTTCCCATCTCATTCACAGGGAAAGCCAAAGTCCACACAAGGCTCCACTGGGACTGGCCACTGCCTTTCTGGTGCCAACTCCTGTTCTTCTCTGAAGCCACACTGGCCTTACTGTTCTCCAGCACGTGAAGCCTGCACCTGTCGCAGGGCCTCTGCACTCACATCTCCCTCCACCTGGAATGCTCCCTCCCTAGGTTTCTGGATCAACCCCTTGCTTCCTTATATCTTTGCTCAAAGGTCACTTGTCAGCTGGGCGGAGTGACTCATTCCTGTAATCCCAGCACTTTGGCAGGCTGAGGCGGGCAGGTTGCATGAACTCAGGAGTTTGAGACCAGCCTAGGCAACATGGTGAAACCCCATCTCTACTAAAACAATACAAAAAAAATTAGCTGGGTGTGGTGGCACACACCTGTAGTCCCAGCTACTTGGGAGGCTGAGGCAAGAGAATTGCTTGAACCCGGGAGGTGGAGGTTGCAGTGAGCTGAGATCGCACCACTGCACTCCAGCCTGGGCGACAGAGCAAAACTCTGTATCAAAAAAAAAAAGTCACTAGTCAGGAAAGCTTTTCCCGTCCATCTGAGACAACAGCAAACTCCCTTTGGGCCCCTTATCTTACTAAATTTATCCCGAGTAGCGTGTGCCACCACACCTGGCTAATTTTTGTACTTTTTGGTAGAGATGGGATTTAACCATGTTGCCCAGGCTGGTCTTGAACTCCTTTCCTCAAGTGATCTGTTCACCTCAGCCTCCCAAAGTGTTGAGATTACAGGTCTGAGCCACCGTGCCCAGCCTTGCTATGACTATTATTGAAACACATAGGAACTAGCCTTCCCAACCATCCTTCTCTGCTCTTCATTCAATATTGTATTAATCAGCCAACACCTAGCATCCACTATGTGCCAAGCACTGTGATAGGTATTGGGGGTATGACAAGATGAATCAAGATGGGTTCTGCCCTTGTTGTGCTCACAATTTGCTAATGACCATGAACATTCCTGGGATTGATTCTGTAGAAACAGTCCAGGTCTCTAGAAGTGGGGCAGGATCACTGGACAAGAGGTTTGCCAGGAAGGTGCCCCAAAGCAGCAGCTCCTCATCTCAGTTTTTTTAAAAAAAATTTTTAAATTTTTAAAATTTAATTTAATTTTATTTTTTGAGATCGAGTCTTGCTCTGTTGCCAGGCTGGAGTGTAGTGGTGCGATATTGGTTCACTGCAACCTCCACCTCCGGGGTTCAAGCAATTCTCCTGCCTCAGCTTCCTGAGTAGCTGGGACTACAGGCGTGCACCACCATGCCCAGCTAATTTTTGTATTTTTTTTTTTAGTAGAGACGGGGTTTCACCATGTTGGCCAGGATGGTCTCGATCTCTTGACCTCGTGATCTGCCCACCTCCGCCTCCTAAAGTGCTGGGATTACAGGCGTGAGCCACCGCGCCCGGCCCTCACCTGTTTTAAGGTTGAAACATAAAGGAGGTCCTAGGGTCACAAACGATGCTTTTCTTTGTGTCAGCACCCATGGTAGGCAAACAACCTACTACCTATTTGCACTTCATTTCCAAAGGCTAAATAAGCAATGCTTGATTCTTGCTGTGAGCCAGGAGGCTATAAAGTAACATGGCCTTTCATGATGTGGCCCCTACCTGCACTTTCTTGCCTTAGCTTCTGCCACCACTAACCCCCCACCCCTTTACTCCAGCATTTGGAACCTTCCTAAACATGTCAGGCCATCTCACGCCCTTTGCACAGCTGCTCCCTCTGCTGAAATGCTCACCTCTGCCTTTTTTTACCTGCTTAATTTCTACTTGTTCTCTGGATTCAGTTCCAAGGATTTCTTCCTCCAGGACATCTTTGCCAATACCCGAACTTGACCAAGGGACTCCTCAAAGGTGCTCCCATAGCACCCATCCTAGTGGACTGTAATTGTAATCACTGATGTCTGTGTCCACCAGATTACCCATGCCCAGAAGGCAGGGTGGTATCTGACAGGGTTTTGTATCCTCAGCCCCTAACACGGCAGTTGTTTTGAAAACATATGGCTGGGGACAGCTGAAGGACACTGATCACTCTGTTCTTCTTATTTCCCTTTTTTTTTTTTTTTTTTTTGAGTCAGAGTCTCGCTCTGTCGCCCAGGCTGGGGTGCGGTGGCATGATCTTGGCTCACTGCAACCTCTGCCTGCTAGGTTCATGCAATTCTCCTGCCTCAGCCTCCTGAGCAGCTGGGACTACAGGTGCCTGTTACTACTCTCAGCTAATTTTTATAATTTTAGTAGAGATGGGGTTTAACCATGTTGGCCAGGCTGGTCTCGAACTCCTGACCTTAGGTGATCCACCCACCTTGGCCTCCCAAAGTGCTGGGATTACAGGTGTGAGCCACCACACCCGGCCTGTTCTTCTTATTTCCTTGATGCTCATCCTCATCACTGTCATCATCAGCCCCCTTCAAATGACCAAGATGTTCCTTAAGAAAAATCTTAATATAGAAAAATAAAATGTCTTTACTAGAATGTCACCTCCTCAGTGAGACTCACCTGATACCCTGTTTAGCACTGCAACGGCCCCACCGCCTAAGACTATAATCCTGATCAGTTTCCCTTCCTCTACTTTTTCTTTTTTTCCATAGCACTTATCATTGTCTAATATACTAGATACTTTACTTATTGATTATACATAACATTTATTATCTGTCTACTCTCTCTAGAATGGAATGAAGATTGAAATCACTGTGTATTTTGAAGAGTGATATGTCTTAGGTGTCCGGAATACTGCTTGGCATGTAGTAGGCACTCAATAAAAACTGTTGAATAAATCATTGTATCAAACATATACGTCTTGTAACAATCTTGATTGCAGGTATTTTAATCCCATTTTCTAGATCAAGAAACTGAGCCCAAAGTCATTTGCTCAAGTGAATGCAAGTAAACAGATGGTGTAGCTGGGCTCTCATTCATTCCCATTCCCAAGTGTACCTGGCAGTTTTGTTATCTTTCAACAGGCTGGGTGGGTCTCCTGACAGATGATGCTTCTTGAATGTTACAAAATCTGCTTTAGCTCAATCTTTCTAATCAACCAAAACCAAGAAATTTCTCTTAACACTTTGGATAGTAAATCATATGCTGCTAGCATGCTACAATTTCCTTAGGAGAGAGAAAAAGAACAGTCTAGGGATTCAAAAATAAATACAGTCTCAATGTTTGAGTTCAGAGGTCATGATATTCAGGTATTGTTCAGGTTCATTAGTTTTAGAAAACATATAGATCCCATCAAGTCTCAGCTGGTCCACTTGGAGATCTGGGGAAAATTTTTCTGAAATGCATGGCTATGTAGTTTTTCTTTTTCTTTTTTTTTTTTTTTTTTGTTAAACTGGGCATGGTGGTGTGTGCCTATAGTCCCAGCTACTCAGAAGGCTGAGGCAGGTGGATCACTTCAGCCCAGGAGTTCGAGACCAGCCTGGACAACACAGCAAGACCCCATCTCTAAAAATAAAAAAAAAAAGTGTGTGTGATTGTACCAATAACTCTTTATATACTAAAAACCATTGAGTTGTACACTTTATTTTTTTTTAATTTTTAGTTTTTTTTGAGACAAAGTCTCGCGCTGTCACCCAGACTAGAGTGTAGTGGCGCAGTTTTAGCTCACTGCAAACTCCGCCTCCCGTGTTCAAGCGATTCTCCTGCCACAGCCTCCTAAGTAGCTGGGATTACAGGCATGTGCCACCACGCCTGGCTAATTTATTTTGTATTTTTGGTAGAGAGGGGGTTTCACCATGTTGGCCAGGTTGGTCTTGAACTCCCGACCTCAGGTGATCTGCCTGCCTTGGCCTCCCAAAGTGCTGAGATTATAGGCGTGGGCCTCTGCACCTGGCCTGAATTGTGCACTTTAAATGGGTGAATTGTATAGTGTGTGAAGTGTATCTCAGTAAAGCCATTATTTAAAAATAATAATATTTGGAGGGCCGGGAGCGGTGGCTCACGCCTATAATCCCAGCACTTTGGGAGGCCCGAAGCGGATGGATCACCTGAGGTGAAGAGTTCAAGACCAGCCTAGCCAAGATGGTGAAACCCCATCTCTACTAAAAACACAAAAATTACCCAGGCATGGTGGCAGATGCCTGTAATCCCAGCTACTGGGGAGGCTGAGGCAGGAGAATCACTTGAACCCGGCAGGTGGAGGTTGCAGTGAGCAGAGATCGTGCCACTGCACTCCAGCCTGGGCAACAGTGAGACTCTGTCTCAAAAAACAAAAAAAGAAAAAAAATTACAAATATTAGTCGGGTGTGGTGGCAGGCGCCTGTAATCCCAGCTACCTGGGAGGCTGTAGCAGGAGAATTGCTCGAACCTGGGAGGCGGAGGTTGCAGTGATCCGAGATCACGCCATTGTACTCCAGTCTGGGCGACAGAGCAAGAATTCGTCTCAAAAAAAAAAAAAAAATTGGGTTTGGTTCAGATCATGGACCAGCAACTTGTTTTAGTACACAGTTTACAGTTCAGTTTGGTTTGGGTTATGTGAAGAGACCAAGAAAATAGAGAAAAAAAAATGTGGGAATCATTTCAGTATCTGACCCAGAAAAGTTACACTAGTCTGAAATCTTCAGACAATATAACCAAATAGACCCATAAAAGCCTTCTCTTAAGGTTACAATTTAATAATACTAAAGAACAAGATATTTGCTAAATCCATCTAAAACAGGATGAGATGCCTAACGGTTCACATATATTAGAACACTTGGGTTTTAAGTAGGTACTTAAAGTTATTGTTTCTAAGTTACTAAAAAAAAAAGAAGATACAAAAACTGAGGAACAGGCTGTCCCTGGTGATCCCTCAGAGAACAGTTAAAGGGAAGGAAATAACTGATATATATGTAACTTTCCTGAAAATCCTAGGTTGAAATTTAATGAAAAGAGTAGCCCTTATAACCAAATAAAGCAAAATATATGAAGCTCAAGAATCAGGAAATACCATAAATTCAAGTGTATGCATACATCTGTGAGTGTGCTTCTCTGCTTATTGATATGACACAACTGCCAAACATTGAAAAAAATTCCCTCTCAGGCCCGGGCGCGGTGGCTCATGCCTGTAATCCCAGCACTTCGGGAGGCCGAGGCACGCAGATCACTTGAGGTCAGGAGTTCGAGGCCAGCTGGCCAACATGGCGAAATGCCATCTCTACTAAAAATACAAAAATTAGCTGGGCATGGTGGCTCATACCTGTAATCCCAGCTACTCAGGAGGCTAAGACAGGGGAATCACTTGAACCCAGGAGGTGGAGGTTGCAGTGAGCTGAGATTGCACCACTGCACTACAGCATAGGGAACAAAGCGAGACTCCATCTCAAAAAATAAAAAAAAGAAGGGAAAATTCCCCCTCAGTAGGTCATTCTTCAGATTTGATCCTCTCATCCCTGGAACCTGGGAGGTGGAGGCTGCAGTGAGTCAAGATCACGCCACTGCACTCCAGCCTAGGTGACAGAGCAAGACTCCACCACAAACAAACAAACAAACAAACAGATTTGATCCTCTCCTCTACTCACCTTCTCACTCTGCCATGCCCTGCTTTGATAAGACATCTGCCATTTCCCCCAGCTAGCAGGCCTAGCCTACAGAGGAGGGCATCATGCAGCTCGCTTTGCCTGGCTCTCTGAACATCCCATGGCCTCAACCCAGGGGTCCATGCAGGCTGCGAGCTATGACCTGTACAGTGCCTATGATGACACAATACCACATACAGAGAAAGCTTTTGTGAAAATGGACACTCAGATAGCCCTTCCTTCTGGATGTTATGGAAGAGTGGCTCCATGGTCTGGTTTGGCTGCAAAACACTTTCTAGATGTAGGAACTCGTGTCAGAGAGAAAGATTATAGCGTAAATGTTGATGGTATAATGTTTAATTTTGGCAAAAAAAAAGTTTGAAGTCAGTGGGGCGTGGTGGCTCATGCCTGTAATCCCAGCACTTTGGGAGGCTGAGGTGCGCGGATCACTTGAGGTTAGGAGTTTAGACCAGCCTGGCCAACATGGTGAAACCCTGTCTCTACTAAAAATACAAAAATTAGCTGGGTGTGGTGATGGGCGCCTGTAGTCCCAGCTACTTGGGAGGCTGAGGCAAGAGGATTACTTGAACCCGGGAGGCGGAGGTTGCAGTGAGCTGAGATCGTGCCACTGTACTCCAGCCTGGGCAACAGAGTGAAACTCTGTCTCAAGAAAAAAAAAAAAAAGAAAAAGTTTGAAGTCAAGAAAGGTGATCAAATTGCATAGCTCATTTGTGAACTACATTTTTTTTTAACTAGAAATAGAAGAAGTTTAAGATTTGGATGACACTGAAAGGGGTTCAGGAGGCTTTGGTTCCACTAGAAAGAATTAAAATTTATGCCAAGAATAGAAAATTAGAAATCATACCTTGTCTTAAAAATAAAGAGTTTTTGCTTAAAGTGGAAAAAAAAAAAAAAGGCCAGGTGCAATGGCTGATGCCTATAATCCCAGTGATATCTACAGGAGGCAGCCAAATGCCTACGCAGATAGGGGCAGGTACCCAGTGCAAACTTACCTCCAAGCTGAAGGCAGTTTAAAGCCCGAAAGCTAAGCTACAAGTTAAATTCTCAGACTGGATTGAAAACTTGTCTTCCTGTTTGGCACACTTTCCTCTGATTGGTCCCCACCCTTCACCTATTTTACATATGCCTACCATTTCCTAATTGGTTTTCTATACTGTGGGGCCCGCCTTTGAGTGGTGCCTTGTTTTAACCTTTTTTGCATACTCACAAACCAATCAGCATGCAACTTGTGCCTATGAAGACCCCAGACTCAGTCAGTAGAGGGGGAAATGGGTTGACTTCAGGGAAGAGACAACCTGAGTTTGAGGAAGACACCCTGCCCTTCATGTCCTCTCTCCAGCTCCCTTCTCTGCTGAGAGCCGTTTCATTGCTCAATAAAATTATTCTCTGCCCTCCTCACCCTTCAATGTCCAGTGTATCCTCATTTATCTTGGGTGCGGTATAAGAGCTTGGGAACTGCTGAATGTGGTACAAGCTATAACACAGGTGAGCTGGGGCACGCCAGCATGGCCAAGTGAGGCCAGGGTCGGGCATTCCCAGCCAGAGGTCCCTGGCTTGCAAAGTGACTGAGAAGAAAAATCCAACATCACCAGCACTTTGGGAGGCCGAGGCAGGAGGATCACTTGAGTCTGGGAATTCAAGACCAGCCTGGCCAACATGATGAAACACTGTCTCTACTAAAAATACAAAACTTAACCAGGCGTGGTGGCACACGCCTGTAATCCTAGCTACTCAAGAGGCTAATGCGGGAGAATCGCTTGAACCTGGAAGGTGGAGGTTGCAGTGTGCCGAGACTGCACCACCGCACTCCAGCCTGGGCGACAGAGTTAGAGACTCCATTTGAATAAAAAAAAAGGTAATTTAAACTGTATTTCACTTACTTATTTATAATTTATAAGGCATCTTCTTCCAAAAAAAAACTTAAGATGGTCATGTACATTGGTAGTAAAGACTCCTGGCCACATGTTAACTAGTCTTTTTCTGTCTATCATCATCTGTAAATAGCAGAGTAGGTGCACACAGCAGATACTCAAGATATACACTGATATATTGATGAGTACATAAATACAAGGCAAAGGTACAATTTAAGAGGCTAGAGGGGCCAGGAGGGGTGGCTCATGCCTGTAATCCCAGCACTTTGGGAGGCCGAGGCGAGCAGATCACAAAGGCAGGAGTTCAAGACCAGTCTGGCCAACATGGTGAAACCCCGTCTCTACTAAAAACACAAAAATTAGCTGGGCATAGTGGCATGCGCCTGTAATCCCAGCTACTCGGGAGGCTGAGGAGAACTGCTTGAACTGGGACCCGGGAGGCGGAGGTTGCAGTAAGCCGAGATCGTGCCACTGCACTCCAGCCTGGGCTACAGAGCGAGACTCTGTCTCAAAAAAAAAAAAAAGGGGGCTAGAGAAAGACACTCATAGAGGCCAGGGGCAAGACGCACATTTCATTAATTAATAAACTCTGAGTTCAGGTGTGGTGGCTCACGCCTGTAATCCTAACACTTTGGGAGGCTGAGGCAGGTGGATCACCTGAGGTCAGGAGTTCGAGACCAACCTGGCCAACATGGTGAAACTCTGTCTATACTAAAAATACAAAAATTGGCCAGGTGTGGTGACACATGGTCCCAGCTACATGGGAGGCTGAGGCAGGAGAACTGCTTGAACCCAGGAGGCGGAGGTTGCAGTGAGCCACGATTGCGCCACTGCACTCCAGCCTGGGTGACAGAGTGAAACTCTGTTTCAAATAATAATAATAATAATAATAAAAAACTCTAAAACCAGAAAAGCTTCTGGCCCCAACACGTTGTATGGCTATCATTTTGATGGTTCACCATTCATCTTTTCAATAATTTACTGATTACCTACTACATACCAGGCACTGGGTATGAAATGCTGAGCAAAATATGGAACTTAAGCGTTTTTTTTTGGTAAACAACACCATCCCCCTGAATACAGGGTGCCTCGGCCAAAGAGGGTCAATTAGAGTATTTGCCTGAGATTTTTCTGTGAGTGGAGGAGATAAGACTCACAGATGGCCCAGAGACTCAGGGTAAAGCTCTATCTACTTTTCCTAAAGGTTTCTCCAATTCTGTTAGTTACATCAGACTCTATGATAAATCATCTTTTATTGCTTAAGGTAGGTTAAGATGACTTTCTCTCAGCTGCAACTATGAAATTCTTACTAACATAATTTTTTGTTTTTGTTTTTTTTGAGACAGAATCTCGCTGTGTTGCCCAGGCTGGAGTGCAGTGGCGTGATCTTGGCTTACTGCAACCTATGCCTCCTGGGTTCAAGTGATTCTCCTGCCTCAGCCTCCTGAGTAGCCGGGATTATAGGCATGTACCACCACGCCCAGCTGATTTTTGTATTTTTAGTAGAGATAGGGTTACGCCATGTTGACCAGGCTGGTTTCAGACTCCTGGCCGCAAGCAATCTACCCGCCTCGCCCTCCCAAAGTGCTGGGATTACAGGTGCAAGCCACCATGCCCGGCCCTTACTAACATAACTTTCAATATACATGTGAGACAGATGAAGCCTTGGGAAGTTCAATGGCTCACTTGCCCTGTCTCACAGGGAGGCAGTGGCAGATCTGCAAAAAGAGCCCAGGTCTCCTGACTCCCAATCTCAAGATGCATCGTAGGTCCAAGTGAAAACACGCTTTAGAGAAAGGAATCAAAATACAGTACCTCATGGACCACGGAGCCCAGCAGAAAGTCCAGCCTCTGGCACAGCTCCCCAAGGTTGGCCAAGCTGCTGGCCCTGTGAGCACCATCAGGATCTCTCACTCCCCTCAGGAAGGTATGGATCAAAGGTTCTCGGTACTTTGAGACCATGTCTCCTATAGGAAAAAGGAAGAAATCAAAACCCCTTAAAACAAAATTTCAACTTCTTAAAAAAGGAAGAATTATATTTCCATAGTTCACTGCATGATGTCTTATTCTTTTTGTTTTTATTTTTTTTTTGAGACAGGGTCTTGCTGTATTGCCCAGACTGGAGTGCAGTGGCACAATCACAGCTCACTGCAGCCTTGACCTCCCAGGCTCTGGTGATTCTCCCACCTCAGTCTCCCAAGTAGTTGGGACTACAGGTGCATGCCACCATGCCCGGCTAATTTTTGTATTTTTTGTGGAAATGGGGTTTTGCCATGTTGCTCAGGCTGGTCTTGAACTCCCGGGCTCAAGCTATCCATCTGCCTTGGCCTCCCAAAGTGCTGGGATTACAGGAGTGAGTCACCGTACATGACCAATGTCTTATTCTTTTCAAAGTACTTGCATAACCATTAAAAATCATGCTCCAGAAGAATATTTCATGTTATGAAAAATATTCATGATGTATGGTTTTGTGAAAAAGCATGTAGAATCTCAATTTTATTCTCAAAAGTCTACATGTAGAGATAAAACATGTGAAGATATTCCCCATAGTGTTACTAGCAGTTATTTTCAGAGTCTTATTACAGAAAACTTAAAAAATTTACATACACGGCCAGGCGCGGTGGCTCACGCCTGTAATCCCAGCACTTTGGGAGGCCGAGGTGGGCGGATCACGAGGTCAGGAGATCTAGACCATCCTGGCTAACACGGTGAAACCCCCGTCTCTACTAAAAATATAAAAAATTAGCCGGGCGTGGTGGCGGGCGCCTGTAGTCCCAGCTACATGAGAGGCTGAGGTAGGAGAATGGCCTGAACCCGGGAGGCGGAGCTTGCAGTGAGCCGAGATTGCGCCACTGCACTCCAGCCTGGGCAACACAGTGAGATTCTGTCTTAAAAAAAAAAAAAAAAAGAAAAAAAAATTTACATATACATACAAAAAATGTATATATCATAAGTATATAGCTTAATAAACTTTCACAAACCCAGCCCAACTATAATTAGCCCATGGTCACACAAACAAAAAGTGTGGCCCCCAGGCTAGACCCTAGACCCCAATCATCAGCCTACTTTTCCCTGTCTTATCCTGCTGTCTGCTTGGATAAGCAAATTGAGTGAAAAACAATCAAGGCATTTGGGTCCTGGAGAAAGAGAACTATGATTATTAGACAAATATTTAACGAGAGGCCTAGTATGTGCTAAGCATTGTTCCAGATGCTTGGCATATGCTGCGAAACAAGAGACCATGATTCCTGCCCTTCTGTGGCTTATATTCTAGTGTAAATTAGATAGAATGTTAGAAGGTAATACATACTATAGGGGCAAAAAAAGTAAAACAGGTAAGGGAAATAAGGAATAATGGGAATGGTGGCCGACTTCAGGTTTTAAAAAGGTGGTAAAGGTAGGCTTCATTGAGAAGGTGACATTTAAACAAAGACTGGAAGGTGAGCGTATCAGTCATGTGCATTTCTGGGAGAAGAGCATACCAGGAAGAGAGAACAGCCAGTGTAAAAACCTGTAGAGGAGCACGCCTGGCATGTCTGAGAACACCAAGGAAGCCCTAGATGAGGCTAGAGAAGTAAGGGCAGGGATGGGAAGGTGGGGTAGATCATGAAGGGCCTTGCAGGACACTGCAAGGACTTGAACTTTTTCTCAGAGTACAATGAGAGGCCTTTGGAGGATTCTGAGCAAAGGAGTGCAAAAAGATCACACTGGCTGCAGTGCTGAGAACACATTGTTGGGTACCATGTATGTCCAGGGTGGAACAAGGGTCCAAGGTAGAAACCTACTACAGTAAGTAGCTGGAAAGACAACAGTAGAGGTGGTGATAAGAAGATTCCGCATACACACACACACCACACACACACACACACACACACACACACACACACACATACATACATATATAAAGGGGGGGTGGGTCTTGCTCTGTTACCCAGGCTGGAGTGATCACAGCTCACTGCAGCCTCAATCTCCTGGGCTCAAGTGATCCTCTCACCTCAGCCTCCAGAGTAGCTGGGAAGACAGGTGTATGCCATCGCGCCTAATTTTTTGATTTTTTTGTAGAAACAGGGTCTCACTATGTTGCCCAGGCTGGTCTTGAACTTCTAAACTCAAGTGATCCTCCTGCCTCTACCTCCCAAAGTGTTAGGATTACAAGCATAAAGTCACCTATTTTTAATCACCAAATGATGACCTATATTGATAAATCACTGACCTGTCCTACCAGGCCCAGTTCAAATGCCACTTTCTTTGTGGAACCTGCCTCTTCCCCTCAGTGAGCTTCAATTAGCCCTCCTTGAAAGTCTCACAATACTTTGTGCTTAAGTCGCTTTGACTTAAATCACATTTGTCACTCGTGCCTTGGTTCCTAAATGTTTTAAGCCTGTATCTGTTTCTTCCATAAGACTATAAATTCCTTGAGGGTAGAACTTTGACTCCTTCATCTCTGATCCCATCAGGTCTTAGCAGTCTTTGCATATACAGTCATGAGCTGCATAACAATGCTTTGGTCAATCATGGACTGCATATACAACACTGGTCCTATCAGATTGTAGGGCAGCACACATTTAGAAACCTGATCAAGTTGGGGATCAAGTTGGGGAAATAATTAGTATTAGATCAAGTTGGGGAAATAATTAGTATTCAGTAATGGTGCTGGGACACTGGGACATTTGATTTTCTGTATAAAAAATATATATAAATATAATATCATCTAGGTTTGTGTAGGCACATTTTATGATGTTTGTACAATGACAAAATCACCTAACTACACATTTCTCAGAATGTATTCCCATTGTTAAGCAACACATGACTGTACTAGGTACAGGAAATGGTAATATTGAATTGAATTCATTCATTTATTCAACAAAACATAATTATGTACTAGGTATCATGCTAATATTCTAGGAATACAAGAACTGATGAAATACTATTTTTACCCTTTAAGAAGCCCAAAGTAGGCTGGGCACGGTGGCTCATGCCTATAATCCCAGCACTTTGGGAGGCTGAGGCGGGAGGATTGCTTGAGCCCAGGAGTTTGAGACCAGCCTGGGCAACATAGGGATAGTTTGTCTCTACAAAACTAAAATGAAATAAAATAAGGAGAAAAGAAGATGCCCAAAGTTTAAGGAGTACATATAAACAGATAAGTACTGACAATTATAGAACTGTGTGGCAAATGCTGTCACAGAGTCAAGCAGAGGTTGCTCGAAAGCATGACTTTGCTAGTCTCAGTCCCTTGGAAGGAAGAGGACGAAGAAGTTTGTTTTTTTTCGTTTTTGTTTTTGTTTTCCCCTCAAGGTCCAAAGCACAATGTACCTTCCATACAGTATAAGAAAAAGATAAAGGAGTACTTTCTCCAAAATGCTCCCAATTCCTAACATACTACATGCAGTCATAAGACTCACCTCTGTCCTGTTAACATCAACGTATGCTGCCAAAACTAAATCATTGATGACCTAGACATAACCTATTTTCAGAATAGAAAAGAGGAGATTTGAATTGTCATCTCAGACTCTTTGACCCAGTCTTTGCATTTCTAATTATCTATCCTAGAGAGGTAGTTACATATCTGCACAAGGACATCTGCATCAAGAATTTAGTGAATTGTAATCGTGAAAAATGAGAAGAAATAAACTAAAAAATTCATATAGGAAAGGTTAAATAACCATGGTATACCCATATTACGGATTACTATGCAGTGATTAAAATGAACATGACAGAATTATATATACTGACATGAAAAGCTCTCCTCAAGACATTGTTAAAGTGAAAGAAACTACCAGAACCAGTATTCCCATTTATGTATGCAAATATGCACACACACAACTTTTCCTACTATTAACAAATCAAACATACAGATTTATTTATTTATTTATTTATTTTTTGAGACGGAGTCTCACTCTGTCGCCCAGGCTGGAGTGCAGTGGCGTGATCTTGGCTCACTGCAAGCTCCGCCTCCCGGGCCTCAACCTCCTGAGTAGCTGGGACTACAGGCACCCGCCACCACGCCCGGCTAATTTTCTTTTTAATATTTTTAGTAGAGATGGGGTTTCACCGTGTTAGCCAGGATAGTCTCGATCTCCTGACCTCGTGATCCGCCCGCCTCGGCCTCCAAAGTGCTGGGATTACAGGCGTGAGCCACCGCGCCCGGCAAACATACAGATTTAAATATGTACATTAAATATTCAAATGCATAGGAAAAAAGAGAAAGGACATATACTAAGACAAAGGAGTTAACTTGTTTGAAGAGTAAATAGAGCTGGGATCAAACTTAAATGGTCTGATACTTAATTCCTATGAGTTACCTATGAGTAACTCCTATGATATATTGCATTTAAGAGATTTCCGGCCGGGCGCGGTGGCTCACACCTGTAATCCCAGCACTTTGGGAGGCCGAGGCGGGCAGATCACGAGGTCAGGAGATTGAGACCATCCTGGCTAACACGGTGAAACCCCGTCTCTACTAAAAATATTAAAAAGAAAATTAGCCAGGCGTGGTGGCGGGCGCCTGTAGTCCCAGCTACTCGGGTGGCTGAGGCAGGAGAATGGCGTGAACCCGGGAGGCGGAGCTTGCAGTGAGCCGAGATCACACCACTGCACTCCAGCCTGGGCGACAGAGAGAGACTCTGTCTCAAAAAAAAAAAAAAAAAAAAAAGAGATTTCCAACGGCTGGGCATGGTGTGGCTCACCATGGTGAAACCTCGTCTCTACTAAAAATACAAAAATTAGCCAAGCATGGTGATGGGCTCCTGTAATCCCGCTACTTGGGAGGCTGAGGTAGGAGAATTGCTTGAACCTGGGATGATGAGGTTGCAGTGAGCTGAGATCACGCCATTGCACTCCAGCTTGGGCAACAAGGGTGAGACTCTGTCTCTCAAAAAAAAAAAAAAAAAGATTTCCAACTAAGACTAAAATATACTTTTCTACCTTTGTTGCAGTGCTTTCTCTTTCTGGAGTTAGGAAGGGGGCTTGCTCACTCTGCAGTGGGAGATGAGGATCCAGAGTTAGAGATCTGTGTTCTAGGGTTGGCCCTGCTGCCAACCAGCAGAGTGACCCCTGGGCAATTCACTTCGCTTCCCTGGAAGTGGAGATGAGCCAGTGAGACAAGATGACCTCTCAGGCCCCTTCCACTTCTAAGTGTGTGAGTTGGTGAGTCACTTTCAGTTTAGTCATTAGGAAAATGAGATTTAGGAGACTGGGGAAGGAAGAAAAGGCACACATTCATGAGCCCTGGAGTGGGAGGCTGTTGTGGTTAAAGGAAGAAGGTTCCTTGTCAGGAAGGAAGGCACATAAAAAATGAAGGAAGTTTGGAATCTACAAGCAGGGGAAATTGCAGGTTGAAAAGGGTAAGAACACAGGAGAAACATTTTAATGTTTACTAATATAGTGGCTTATAGTTAAAAATAAATGATAAAGAAAAGGCATATTAACTTATCAAATAATGATTAAGTGTGTACTATGTGTCTGCCACTGTGCTGGGCCCTGGGGGACTAATCATAAGCAAGAAAGATACAGTCCTTACCCTCATGGCAAAACCTAATGGGGAAGAGGAAAAATACTGACCAAGCAATAACAATGGAGTGAGATGTGCCAAAATGGTGACAGAGAGGGACTTTTATGAGTAATGTTTGATCTGGTTTCTATTCTATTAACAACAGCTCCAGTATTATCTTATTTGCTCAGACTCTAAAGTGTGTTCATTTTTTTTTCACTACTCCCTGTTACCCTTCAATTAGTTCACTTATTATTCAGTCTTCGTTTACTTCCACACAGGATCTGAAGCAACTTACAATAAATAACGTTGAAACCATGTGTCATTAAAATAAACATTTTAGGCTGGGTATGGTGGCTTACACCTGTAATCCCAGCACTTTGGGAGGCTGAGGTGGGCGAATCACCTGAGGTCAGGAGTTTGAGACCATCCTGGCCAACATGGTGAAACCCATCTCTACTAAAAATACAAAAAATTTAGCCAGGTGTGGTGGTGCCTGCCTGTGGTCCCAGCTACTCAGGAGGCTGAGGCAGAAGAATAGCTTTAACCCAGGAGGCGGAGGTTGCAGTGAGCTGAGATCGCACCATTGCACTCCAGCCTGGGTAGAGACTCCATCTCAAAATAATAATAATAAATAAAATAAAATACATAAAATAAATATTTTAAAACCTCTACAGTAAGTGAGAGAAGTGCAGACATCCCAAGCTAAGAATGGCTACTGCAAATAAACCAAGAGTTTAGTAGTTTAATTTTACAATTCTTGGTAGCTAAGGCAAAAAAGGAATTAGAAAACACAGCTCTCATTATCCAATAAAAGAAGGAACATCATGAAGAGAGAGAAACTTCAGGAAGGACACTAAGAGGTATCTCATTCATTCATCCGGCAAATCTTTTTTTTTTTTTTGAGATGGAGTTTCGCTCTTGTTGCCCAGGCTGGAATGCAACAGCGCAATCTCGGCTCACCGCAACCTCCCTCTCCCAGGTTCAAGTAATTCTCCTGCCTCAGCCTCCCAAGTAGCTGGGATTACAGGCATGTGCCACCACGCCTGGCTAATTGATCCAGCAAATCTTAATTGAGTGCCCACAGTACTCCAATGTGCCAATGTTCTCAGTACTGAGGACAATATGGCATGAACAAGAAATCAAAGCTCCCATCTTCATGAAGCCTACTTCTAGCGGGGAAGAAAGACAATAAATAATAAAATTTCCAGCAGCAATGAAGGCTATGAAAAAAAATAAGGAGCGGGGGAGTTGACAATGTGGGTGAGGGCTCAGGGAAGAGCTCTCAGAGGAGAAGACCTCAAGGAACAAGGCATGTGAGGGCCTGGTGGAAAAGTGAAGAAGAGAGTGGGCAATAGAAGCTTTATATTCAATGCAGGAATCATACGGCTGTTTCTTATACTGACTGGCCATATAAGTCAAGAGCATATCACTATATTAACAAAACTGCAACTTAACGTTCCATTTATGTAAATTCCTGCCCTAACTGAGCTCCAGCACTCCTTTGAAAATGAGCATCCATTGGCCAGGTGCGGTGGCTCATGCCTGTAATCCCAGCACTTTGGGAAGCAGAGGGGGCGGATCATGAGGTCAGGAGATCGAGACCATCCTGGCTAACATGGCGAAACCCGGTCTCTATTAAAAATACAAAAAATTATCTGGGCGTGGTGGCGGGCGCCTGTAGTCCCAGCTACTCGGGAAGCTGAGGCAGGAGAATGGCGTGAACCCAGGAGGTGGAGCTTACAGTTAGCCGAGATCATGCCACAGCACTCCAGCCTGGGCGACAGAGCAAGACTCTGTTTAAAATAAATAAATAAATAAATAAATAAATAAATAAAATAAAATGAGCATCTGTTAAACTACATGCTCCATCAACCCATCCCAGCTACATCTGAGAACCCAAGAAGCCAGTGGGAGTGTCAGCATCTCAGACCCTGCATTGTACCTGGTCAGCTGGCTCTGGGCTCACTTGCTACCTTGTTTTCCAAGTGTTGGACTGGAAGAACTGGAACACTCACTGCATCCACTCTGCATTTCTCAAAGGGCCCCTGCCTCCACGTTCTCCGAGACTGGACCTCTCTTAGGCCTCACATACATAGCCTAGATCTGTCACATACTTGGCTCAAACCTGGTCTTCTTTGGGGATTTATGACCTTGCCTTCATTTCTTGGGGCTCTGCTACCCTCTGACTAATCTTCCCTCCCTTCTGATCTTGTGATAGAGGTCTCAGGACTGTATTGTACCCTAGTCTCCAGGTGGGAGTTGGCTTGAACTGGTTTCTATGGAGAACAAAATGAATGCACATAGTCAAAGAATCTTCCAGGGCTGCAATTTGGCATAGGCATTGAATTTTAAGATCCTACATAAGAGGTTCTTTGTCTTTTCTTTTTCTTTTTTTTTTTTTTTTGAGACAAGGTCTTGTTCTGTCACCCAGGCTAGAGTGCAGTGGTGCAATCATAACTCACTGCAGAATCAAACTCCTGGGCTCAAGAGATCCTCTTGCTTTAGCCTCCTGAGTAGGGTGGGACTATAGATGCACACCACCATGCCCAGCTGGTTACAATTTTTTTTACAGAGATTGGGCCTTGCTATGTTGCCCAGGCTGGTCTCGAACTCCTGGGCTCAAGTGATCCTCCTGCCTTAGACTCCCAAAGTGCTGAGATTATAAGTGTGAGCCACTGTGCCCAGCCCAGGGGTTAATTTGAGCTTTAGGGATTCCTCTATGTCAAATTTTGTATACATCTCACTGGCATTTTCCCAATTTTCCTTACAAACAGTACATTAATTTTGTTCAAGTATCCACCTGTCGCCATCCCTCCCCATGTGATTCAGGCTACAGTTTCCATTGGTCTAAGTGAATCGTGGTGGACATCTCCCTTTGCTTTAATTGGTTTAGGCATGGGCATGTGACCCAGTTCTGGACAAGGAGTTGTGAAGGAAAGTCTGCTAGAAGACTCTCAGAAAACTTTTTGCCTTTGGCTATCATAAGGATATATGAATTAGGGTTGCCTTAGAGTTGCTGCAACCAACTTGAAACCATGAGGAACTAAAGGATAAGGCCCATAAGCTGTGGTTGACAGAGAAAGATGAAAAGAATATGGGTCTTCAATGATGTCACTGAGCTAGAGAATTAGCAATCCTGGAATTTTTGTTATGTGTGATAATTCATTCTTTGTTAAGCCACTTGAGTTGGGAATTTCTGTTACTTGCAGCCAAAAGCATCCTGATATATGAAAACTGGAATGCTCTTCATATATAAAGTTGTAGAATACCTCAATGTCAATCCTATGTCTATCAATATGAAACATCAAAAAAGTTAGATTTGTCAAAACTAAGGAACTTGGGGGCCAGGCACGGTGGCTCACGTCTGTAATCCTAGCACTTGGGGAGGCCAAGGCAGGCAGATTGCCTGAGCTCAGGAGTTCAAGAGCAGCCTGGCCAACACAGCGAAACTCTGTCTTTACTAAAAATATAAAAAATTAGCTAGGCATGGTGGCACATGCCTGTGGTCGTAGCTACTCGGGAGGCTGAGGCACGAGAATTGCTTGAGCCCAGGAGGTGGAGGTTGCAGTGAGCCAAGATTGTGCCACTGCACTCTGGCCTGTGTGACAGAGTGAGACCTGGTCTCGGAAAAAAAAAAAAAAAAAAGGAACTTAAGGCAACCCCGCCTTTTTTTTTTTTTTTTGGAGACAGGGTCTTGTTCTGTCGCCCAGGTTGGAGTGCAGTGGTGTAATCACGGCTTATTGCAGACTTGACCTCCCAGGTTCAAGTGATTCTTTTACCTTAGCCTCCTGAGTAGCTGGGACCACAGGCGCATGCCACCACGCCCAGCTGATTTTTGTATATTTTTGTAGAGAAGGGGTTTTGCCATGTTGCCCAGTCTTGTCTCAAACTCCTGAGCTCAAGTGATCCTCCCACCTCAGCTTCGGCCTCCCAAAGTGCTGGATTACAGGTGTGAGCCACTGTGTACATATTTTTAAAATGGCTCAAAAGTCAATTTTATAACCAAAGTATAACAAAAGAAAAAATTAAACCAAATAATTTTCTTTCCTCTAATTACAATTTTAATTGAGACAACAACCTGGTATACAGCATGACTCCTATAATATCAGCATATATACATATAACTTTCCCAAAGAGCTGAATCATCTTAGTATATGTGCTAACCTATTAAAAAAAAAAAAGGTGTGTAACTACTTACAGTAGTAGCTTGCAAGAAGGAGTTACATGCTGAGTGTATTTCACAACTATTGGCTAACCTATTTGAGTATGAATTAAAATCTAGGGTTCTGGGATACCCACTATTATTTCCTAGTTTCTGATTGGCAACAAAACCACTATTATCCCATCCAGGAGGGGTTCTTTGGTTTTGGTTGTTGCTTCTTGTTGTTTGTACTTTTCTTTATCCAGATGAGATGTTCCCATTGACTCAGTTGAAACTTATTTGAACCGTAAGGCTCCGAGATCCTAATTCATCTTTTAATGAAAGACAGCACACATTTGTCCCCTGACAAGGGCAAACATTCATTACTATTTCTCTGTCTCCTTAAAGATATGCATTAAATGACTTTTACAAAAAATACTGATTTCCAAATTCCCCCACACCATTTTCAGAAAGCATTCATTACAGACTACAACATTTAGATGAAGAGGCACTCATGAAACTGAAGTTAAAGAGACAATCTTCTTTTCCTCAGGTATTTCTTTCTTTTTTTTTTTTTTCCTTTTTTTTTTTTTTTTTTTTTTGAGACAGAGTTTCGCTCTTGTTGCCCAGGCTGGAGTGCAATGGCACGATCTTGGCTTCCTGCAACCTCCACCTCCTGGTTTCAAATGATTCTCCTGTCTCAGCCTCTTGAGTAGCTGGGATTACAGGCATGCGCCACCATGCCTGGCTAATTTTGTATTTTTAGTAGAGATGGGGTTTCTCCACGTTGGTCAGGCTGGTCTCGAACTCCCAACCTCAGGTGATCCGACCACCTCGGCCTCCCAAAATGCTGGGATTACAGGCGTGAGCCACCGTGCCCAACCTCCTCAGGTATTTCTAAAAAGCTTCAGAGAAATGAACACAGTAAATCCAAGCCCACTTTTAGAAACTTACTCCAGTAGATTCTAATGAGTGGGGTTTATCTTAGCTTAGTTCTAATGGCTTCTACTTTGTGCAATGGTAATGACAACACCTGGCTATTTGCAACTCCCTATTCTCAGGAAGTCAGCACCAATCAACCTTATTGAGAAGCAAACAGCTGTGTGTTCAAGAAAGCCAGTGAAGGATCTAGATTTGTTTGAACAAACTTGACAAAAATGAGTTGCTTTGGAAGGTGAACAATCAAGTGAGAGAGCTGAAAAAATTTTAACCTGCCTATGACTTGCCTATATCAATTCTGGCATTGTGAAAAGATTCTTTTAACAAATTAGAATTTGGAAGATTTTTCATTAAGCTTTTCAATGGTACTCTGAAGTCTAGAGTGATCGATTCATTTATGCATATCAGATCCCATCTTCTTCCAGAAAGGATCTGAAATGACTTGCAACAAGAGTTGCTTACATAGCAGAGGGGTGCTGTCAAATCTGAATTAACAAGATTTGGGCAGCTGAGGTGGGAGGATGGCTTGAGGCCAGGAGTTCAAGACCAGCTTGGGCAATATGGCGAAAGCTTGTCTCTAAAAAAGTTATTTTAAAAATTAGCTGGGTATGGTAGCATGTGCCTGTAGTCCCAGCTACTAGGGAGGCTGAGGTGGGAGGAGGACTTGAGCCCAGATGTTCGAGGACTGCAGTAAGCTATGATTGTGCCACTGCACTCCAGTCTGCGTGACACAGCAAGACCCTTTTTCCAAAAAAAAAAAAAAAGAACACACTAAACTTTTGGAGTCAGAGGACCTGCTAATTTCAAGGGCTCAATCATTCCCCTAATTCACTAAAACAGGTCATAAAAGTGAAACTGAGAAAAATCAAGTAAGAAAAAGAATTCCACTCTGCCAAATTCTTACACCATTCTTTTAAAACTCTATTATTAATGTAGGGGGGCTCTCTTCTTTCTCCTCCTGCCCCCCCTTTTCTTTTTGAGACACACATGTGAACACAGACAAAACCATTCCTAACTGCTCTCTTCATTTTCTACCAAGAAGAAGTAACTAAAGAATATCTTATCCTGCACATTAAGGTACTGCTAGCTAAAACGAATTATATTTTCCAAAAATCGAATGATTACTTACAGCCAGCACTCCACTGTAATCAGAACTTTACACACATTCTGAATAATGTTTTACTCCAATGTTTCTCAAACACACATATGGGCATTAAAATTGTGCAATGCAACTTGATTATAACGTGGATCCTGGTGATTCAGAATTATTATTAAAATGAAAACACAATATTTTAAACATTATTTTAGAGAATACACATAGTCCTGAAAATATATCAGAATTTAATTTCCAAACTGCAGTTTAAGAAATATCTTTCCATCTAACCAATTCAATGAAAACATTGAATGTATACATACTATATGCAAGGGAAGCCATACGGCACTGGAGATTGAGAGATGATGGAGATTTTGTCCTTACTTCTAGGAAGTTAGAGGTACTAAGCAGGATGAGAGCAACAGGATGGGTGATATCTATTCTTCTTGGGGAAGATTTCATGGAGGAGGGAGCACTTAAACCTAATCTTGAAGAATGGTAAGGATTCTCATAGGGGCAGACAAGAGGAAGATTGCTTCAGGTAGACGGAGCTGTGACAGCAGAGGCAAGGTGGTGGCAGGAGTAGAGAGACAAAATATATGGTATATTTAGAAAACAGCAACTGTACCAGGTAACTGCAACGAAGGGCACAATGAGAGGTGAACATGATCAGAAACAGGCGGTGTCAAATCATGGAGGGTGTGAAATTAAAGATGTAAACAATGCAGAGCTGATAATGCTTTTTCGGGCAAGGAAACAGCTTAACTAGAGATACATTCTTGGTGGAGTAGAATTTAGATAATGTGTTCACTGAGGATGGAGGTCTTTGTTTTATGATACAGAATGAGGTTTTTAATCTCCAGTGGATCATTCTACTGCAATGCCTTTAGCATAACATTACTCTGGTGCAAAGTCACCATAATCTCACTACAGTTGAAGAGTATGATAATCTTTTGGGAATCAAATCTCTCTTCCAAATGAATGATGGCACAAATAGTACTGGGACTGCTCCATTTAGTGAGGGTAGCAAATAGAATGATAAGATGATACACAGAATGATTGAAAACTTTCTAGATACTTTGGCAAGAGAAAGTCTTTCTCTATAACAGTCATAGAGGAATCAGGTCATCAATCGCACAGTCATTTGGGGGTGGCCTCACCAGCTTAGCAGCACTGACACCCATTTCGCTCTTAGTACATGCATGAAATAATTTAATTCACTTCAAGCAACTGATGTATCCTAATATGCCCTTGAGTTCCTGCCACCAAATGCCAAAAGTAAGTATTCAGGTTAGCAATGAATATTCTGAATAAGAAAATAATTCCATTTGCAATTGCATTGAAAAGAATAAGATAGGAATAAATTTAACAAAAGAAGTGCAACATATACTCTGAAAACATTATTGAAAGAAATTAAAGAAGACAAATAAATGGAAAGACATCCCATGTTCATGAATTGAAGGACAATATTACAATGGCAATATCCAAAGTTGACCTACAGATTCAACACAATCCCTACCAAAATGCCAGCTGCTTTTGTTGTTGTTGCTGTTGTTGCAGAAATTGGTGACCTGATCCTAAAATTCATATAAGAATGGAAGGGATCCACAACAGTGAAAAAGTTGGAGGACTCACGCTTCTGATTTTAAAACTTACTACAAATCTACAATAATCAAGATAGTATATACCGGCCTAATAATAGGTAAATCAATAGAATAAAACTGAGGGTCAAGAAATAAACTCTCGGGCCAGGCGCAGTGGCTCACGCCTGTAATCCCAGCACTTTGGGAGGCCGAAGTGGGTGGATCACCTGAGATCAGGAGTTCGAGACCAGCCTTATCAACATGGAGAAACCCCGTCTCTACTAAAGATACAAAATTAGCTGGGCATGGTGGCGTGTGCCTGTAATCCCAGCTATTTGGGAGGCTGAGACAGGAGAATCGCTTGAACCTGTGAGGCGGAGATTTCAGTGAGCCGAGATCACGCCACTGCACTCCAGCCTGGGCATACAGAGCAAGACTCCGTCTCAAAAAAAAAAAAAAAAAAAAAAAAAAGAAATAAACTCTCCTGTTTATGTTCAATTGGTTTTTAACAAGAATGCCAAAACAATGGAGAAAGAATGAGGCTGGAACAACTTGATAGCCACATGAAAACCCCTTCTTGACACATGTACAAAATTAACTTCAGCCGGGCTCGGTGGCTCACACCTGTAATCCCGGCATTTGGGAGACTGAGATGGGCAGGTCACCTGAGGTCAGGATTTTGAGACCAGCCTTATCAACATGGCAAAGCCCCATCTCTATTAAATATACAAGAATTAGTCAGGCATGGTGGCAGGTGCCTGTAATCCCAGCTACATTGGAGGCTGAGGCACGAAAATTGGTTGAGCCTGGGAGGCAGAGGTTGTGGTCAGCTGAGATCGTGCCACTGTACACTGTACTCCAGCCTGGGGAACAGAGTGAGACTCCATCTCCAAAAAAAAAACCAAACAAACAAAACAAAACAAAACAAAAATTAACTTCAAATGGATCACAGATTTATGCATAAGAGATAAAATTGTAAAACTCTTAAAACATACAAGGCCAGGCACAGTGGCTTACGCCTGTAATCTCAGCCCTTTGGGAGGCTTAAGTGGGAGGATTGCTTGAGGCCCAGAGTTCAAGACCAGCCTGGGAGTGATGGCTTTGATCAACATAGCAAGATCTCGGCTGTACAAAAAACAAGAAAACAGGAGTAAATCTTTGTGACTTTAAGTTAGACAAAGCCTTCTTACATATGATGCCAAAAGCAAAAGTGACAAAAGAAAAAATGCATACTTTGGACTTCATCAAAATTAAAAACCTTTGTGCTTCAAATGTCACCATCAAGAAAGTGAAAAGAATTTTGATAGTGAAGGAGGCTGTGTGGTGGGGAGGGAGCATATGGAAACTCTCTCGATTTTCTGCTCAATTTTTATGTGAACCTATAACTGCTCTAAAAAAAAAGTCTATTTTTTCTGAAAGAAAAAGCCTATTCTTTTTTTTAAAAAAAGTGAAAAGACAACCCACAAAATGGAAGAAAATATTTGCAAATCATATAAGTGTAAGGGACTTGTCTCTTGAATCTATAAAGAACTCTTACAACACAAAAAAGAAAGACAACTCAATTAAAAAAGATCTGAAAAAACATTTCTCCAAAGAAGATATATGAACGTCCAAGAAGCACAGGAAAAGGTGCTCAACATCATTAATCACTGGGGAAGTACAAATCAAAACCATAATGAGATATCATTTCATATCCACTGGGAGGGCTGTAATCAAAAGGGCAGACAATAATAAGCCCTGGTGAGGAGAAACTGGAACCCTTCTACACTGCTGGTGAAAATGTAAAATGGAAAACTTTGGAAAACAGTTTGGCAGTTCCTCAAAAAGTTAAACATAGAGTTACCATATGACTCGAGAGAACTGAAAACACATTTCCACATAAAAACTTGTACACAAATATACATAGAAGTTTTATTCATAATAGCCCAAAATTCACATATCCATCAACTGATGAATGGATTAAAAATGTGGCATATCCAGGCCGGGCACAGTGGCTCACTCCTGTAATCCCAGCACTTTGGGAGACCGAGGCGGATGGATCATGAGGTCAGATCGAGATCATACTGGCTAACACAGTGAAACCCGTCTCTACTAAAAATACAAAAAATTAGCAAGGTGTGGTGGCACGTGCCTGTAGTCCCAGCTATTGGGGAGGCTGAGGCAGGAGAATTGCTTGAACCCAGGAGGCAGAGGTTGCAGTGAGCCGAGATCGTGCCACTGCACTCCAGCCTGGGTGACAGAGCGAAACTCAGTCTCGAAAAAAAAAAAAAAAAAGAAAAGAAAAAAGAAAAAAAAATGTGGCATATAAATACAACGGAATATTATTCAGCAATAAAAAGAAATGAATTACCAATACATGCTACAACACAGATGAACTTTGAAAACACTGTGCTTGCCTCAGCAGCAAATATACCAAAATTGGAATGATACAGAGATTAGCATGGCTCCTGTGCAAGGATTACAGGCAAATTCGTGAAATGTTCCATGTTCAAAATAAAAGAAAAAGAAAACATTATGCTAAGTGAAAGAAGCCCACATGGTGTATTTCGTTTATATGAAATGTCCAACTCTAAGTAAACCCTTACAGCAGCAAGTACAGTAGTGATTGCTCGACTGGGAATGGGTACAAGGTTGCTTTTGGGGTGATGAAAATGTCCTAAATTGATTGTAATGGTGAGCATACAACCCTGTGAGCATACAACAACAACATTGAGGTGTACACTGTAAATGGTTGAATTATATGGTATATGAATTCTATTTCAATAAGTTTGTTTTTGTTTTTATTTTTGTTTTGAGACAGAGTCTCGCTCTGTTACCCAGGCTGGAGTGCAGTGGTGCGATCTCAGTTCACTGCAACCACCGCCTTCCAGGTTCAAGGGATTCTCCTGCCTCAGCCTCCAGAGTAGATGGGATTACAGGCGCGTGCCACCATGCCCAGCTAATTTTTGTATTTTTTTTTTTAAGTAGAGATGGAGTTTTGCCATGTTGGTCAGGCTGGTCTCAAACTCCTGACCTCAGGTGATCCACTTTCCTTGGCCTCCCAAAGTGCTAGGATTACAGGCATGAGCCACCGCACCCAGCCAGAAGTCTGTTTTTTAAAAAATGAAACTTTGCGAATGAAAGGGTCAGAACGAGGACTGGAGAATCTATTTTTCAGTGAAGCTGGAAAAACAGAAGCAACATATAAAAATATTCACATACTAGAAAAGAAGCAGTCTATGTGTGTAAGCACAATCTGATAAGAAACACAGCCCTGCCTCCCAAAAACTCAGAGACCAAAGGCTTGGGACTAATCTCACAGACAATTCACAATCCTTGCTCCCCTCAAACAGAGGAGGCAGGAGATCTGGATTCTTCGGTGATCTGCCCACTACAGGAACTGAGTTCTGCCTGCACCACCAGCCAAGCAGAACCCAGGGCTTTCCCACTGCTTTCTGACTGGCATCGCTTCTGCCAGCTCTTCCTTTCCTTATTTGTCAGTAAACGATGGTGACAATATAATTTCAGTTTTTACTGCTTCAAAGCCGGCCATTTAATGAGTAACATTTGTAAAAGCCTTCTAAATTTTCATTGTTTCTGTTTTTGAAAAAATATTAGTATTATTTAAAAGTTTCTTAACAGAGGCAAGAAAAACACTGCAGATTCAGACTCTTGGAGGTCCTTATGTCAAAGGCATTCAAACCAGAGTGACTCCACCTTGAATAGGGGCTGGGTAAAATGAGGATTCAACTTGCTACCTTTTTTTTTTTTTTTTTGAGATGAAGTTTCATTGTTGTTGCCTAGGCTGGAGTACAATGGCACAATCTCAGCTCACTGCAACCTCTGCTTCCCGGGTTCAAGTGATTCTCCTCCCTCAGCCTCCCAAGTAGCTGGGATTACAGGTGCCTGGCTAATTTTTGGTATTTTTAGTAGAGACGGGGGTTTCACCACGTTGGCCAGGCTGGTCTTGAACTTCTGACCTCAGGTGATACACCTGCCTTGGCCTCCTGGGATTGGCCTCCTGAGATTACAGGCATGAGCCACCGTGCCTGGCCGCTACCTTTTGTTAAATTTCGATTTTGGATTCTCTGTCCTTTATTTTGGGTAGATGGGAAAGTGGCCATAAGACCTCTGGCTTGGGAGCCTGACTGCAGCCTCCCATTGTCTGGGTGCCCCAGATGGGAGCACACCTGGAAGGCCACTTCCTTAGTAGCCCACCCTGTCACCCCTTCTCTCTGACATTTTCTCTTTAGTTTCTAACAATTGGCCATTTTACTTTTCTGCTCTTACTGTCAAATTGCATGCTTATCCTTTTTTCTTTGTCACGTTTGTAGTTTTTCCTTTGGATAGTTGAGCAATTGGTTAAAGCAAGACACTTGGTTGTGAGTGGTCCCCCACTGTGTTGATCCTGGGATGCCAGAGTCATGTTGTACTGTGGCCCCCAACTGTGTTAGGTCTCATGCCTTTGGGGTTCACTGTTGGACACTCCCAAGATGCTCTGGGGTTTTCAGCACTTGGTACTGTTTGTCATCCATGCCAGATGCTCTGGGGTGTTCGGAATTGGCATTCCCTCTAGAATTGTGGGTTAGAGTCCCACCCTAGGGGAATCCCGGTCTTGCTTTTTCTTGTTTTCTACCCTAAAGTTATCATTTTCTGTAACAGCATTTTCTTGTCTTGTCACTTGACTTAATGTTTCGATGCAGGAGGTGAGAATTTGCAGTGGGAGACAACCGGATAGAAAGACAGATAGAAAAAGTTCTATGTCTAGTAAAGATCCTTGTTAGACATGGGGACAATAGTCCTGAAGGACTTGCTACTAAGGTGCCTTTTAAGCAACTGGAGCAAATTCAAATTAGCAAACAAAGTTTAGCCATGTGGACAAGTCCCGATTTTGTCAGAGAAATAATTTGGGGCTGGGTACAGTGGCTCTTGCCTGTAATCCTAGCACTTAGGGAGGTTGAGGCGGGCGGATCACAAGGTCAGGAGTTTGAGACCAGCCTGACCAACATGCTGAAACCTCATCTCTACTAAAAATACAAAAATTAGCCGGGCGTGGTGGCAAGCGTCTATAATCCTAGCTAATCAGGAGGCTGAGGCAGGAGGATTGCTTGAACCCAGGAGGCGGAGGTTGCAGTGAGCAGAGATTGTACCATTACACTCCAGCCTGGATGACAGAGTGAGACTCCATCTCAAAAACAAAAAAAAAAAAGAAAAGAAATAATTTGGATCTAGCTATCTTTTATGAAACGGTGAGTTTGTATTACTATCTCATGACTAGAGTTTCAAGATAAAAGCTATTGGATCTTTATGTGTGTGCATACATGTCTAGCTGTGTTTACGTGTATTTACATTTATTATGTTATATATTGTTTACAGGGTAACAAATTGACTTATAAGTAAAAGAGCACTCATAAATTAAGTAAATAAGTCCAAGCATTTTTCAAGTTCATTTAATTTAAACTCATTAAAATTTAGGATTACTAAAAATTCATATATAATTCTGTATGTAAAATGTGCCAAAGAAGATATGCTGCTATTGAAAAAAATTTTTTTTTTTTGCCAATTCAGATGTTATTTAAAGTGGGGTTTAAAATGTGGATTTAGGAAGAAAATAGAAACAAGATAGAAAGAAAAAAAACAGTAAGTAGGGGAAAGAGATGAGTAGAAAGTTATGGATATGAAGATGTATTTTTGATAAGGAAGGCTATAAAGAAAAGAAATTTTATGTGAGAAAGGATCTTGTATGGTAAATTCTTGTCCTAAAGTAGAATGACTGATTATTTAGGAAAGAAGAAAGTATAGGACAAGTCAAAAGGTCCAAGCATGTCATAGGTGGTCTATGTAAGTCATGATAAAGTTCATAAAAGATAACTTATTAAACTTTTTTATATAATTAAATAAACTACAATGAAAGAAAATTAATTTATAACAGTCTATCTAAATTTTGGTCCCCTATGTTAAAACACGTTTTTTAAAGTATTGGTTTGCTTTCAGTAAGACTGAAAGAAATACTGGCTTTTAATTCTAAAATCTGTTTTCTTTTCCCTTGAAAAGGTATGTTCTTCACAAGCTCAAAAATGGCTGCTCTAGACTCCTGGGAAAAACAATATGGTGCTTACCTTCTGCTGTAGCTCAGTAGCTAAGGCTTTGCTCTTTTGTGATGGTGGCCTGGGTTAAATTCCTGGCTTAGGGAATGAATTCCTTTTGATTTGACAGTTGTGGGACTTTTGCCATTTATTTATTCTTTTTCCCTCTATGGGCAGCTTCTGATTTCCTGACTTGAATTTTCTTTTCTCTGAGCTACCTTAGGTGTGATTCTAGATCTTATAAAAACTGCTTGCCATCTCTTTGGAGACACCTTGTGCATCCATGGTTAAATCATAACCTTCGTTAAGGCTTTTTTTGTTTTACCTGGAAAAATACCTTTGAGGGGGGAAAAAAGGGCTTAAAAGCCAGAGGTGTCAGCTGCTTGTCCTGGCTAAAGTTTAATGATAAAAGATTTAAAAACTTTCTTTTTTTTTTTGAGATGGAGTCTTGCTCTGTCACCCAGGCTGGAGTGTAGTGGCACCATCTCAGCTCACTGCAACCTCTACCTCCCGGGTTCAAGTGATTCTGGTGCCTCAGCCTCCCGAGTAGCTGGGACTATAGGTGTGTGCCACCAGACCCAACTAATTTTTGTATTTTTAGTAGACAAAGGGTTTTACCATGTTGGCCAGGCTGGTCCCGAACTTCTGACCTCAGGTGATCTGCCCGCCTCAGCCTCCCAAAGTGCTGGGATTACAGGTGTGAGCCACCGCACCTGACCCAAAAGGACTTTTTTTAAAAGTGCTCTATGGTTAAAAATCAGCTTAATTAAAAACAGATACCCAACGTATTAGTCCATTTTACACAGCCGAGACTGGGTAATTTATAAAGAAAAGAGGTTTAATTGACTCATGGCTCTGCAGGCTGGGGAGGCCCCAGGAAACTTACAATCATGGTGGAAGGGGAAGAGGCATGTCTTACATGACAGCAGGCAAAGAGAGAGCAAGCAAGAGCAGGGAAAACTGTCTTATAAAACCATCAGATCTTAAGAGAACTCACTCACTTAACTCACTCACTATCCTAACAACAGCATGGGGGAAAACATCCCTATGATCCAGTCACCTCCTACCTGGTCCTTTCCTTAATACATGGCGATTATGGGGATTACAATTCAAGATGAGATTTGGGTGGGGGCACAGAGCCAAACCATATCACCCAAATTTTATATATATATATAAATTAAAGGGCTTTATGCCTTTTCTTGGATCTTATTTTTTTGGTTTGTTTTTCTTCTCAGTCAACTGAATTATTTCTCCTGTCCGTTTTCTTGCTACCCTTGATGCTCACATGAGAGGACCTATGGTAATTTCTGACAGCCTGGGACTCCTTGGGAGAAAAATAGAAGATGTCACAGATCCTGTTTTGGAAGAAAAAGCTGTTTTCCTCATGGAACTCCAAGAATTGTAAGTAGACAGGTCCCTCTCAAAATCTAAGGCTCTGCTCTGTTTTGCATCACATTACTTTATCTTTTTTTTTACTTTTGGGGGTATCAGAAATTATTTTGCATTATGAGAGAACTTTTAGCCTTGGTGTATAACAGCTAGGTAGGACATATACTTTTAGGAATAGCTGATGGCAGTTGCTTACAGTGAGTGGTTATTACTACAGGCCAATACTTCTTTCTTCTCATATTTAAATGAAAAAAGTGTGCTCTTGGGTACCTAAAAGATATGAAATGCGGAATGGGCAGATTGGCTTTGGGTTGGCCACCAGCTTCGGGGGAACGTCTTTGCAGTGAAATGCATGGTAAAAGCATTGCATTGTCTGGTCCCATGGTGTTCCTTTCTTTTTAGGAATCTAGAATCTAGTGTAAAAATGGGATCCTTGATTTTTGGGGATCTGTTTTGCTTTCTAACTGTGCCTGCTTATTTAGCCCTAGAAATGCAGGCTTTAATGAGAAACTTAAAAACTGGCAAATGAGAAATCCTACAACTACTGAATCTTCTGTCTGTCTGTGTATTTATATGTGTTGTATGTGTGATGTTTATATAAAAGAGCTGTAAATAATAGGCACAAAGAAAAATAAAACTTAAATACTTTGTTAGAAAAATAAAAACTTTAGTGCCTTTTAGTGTGCATGACTAATAATCTTTTAAAAATAAAGGGAGTTTAAAGATTACTGGTAAAATAAAATAAAAATGTCTTCAAAATTTGGTTTGCTAAATGCTTTAAGGTCATAAACTATTTCTATGACTTTTGGTAATTGTTCAACTTACCTGCGTTAGAGCCATTTAATTCAGGATAAGGCCTGGGAACATAGAGGGTGAGCCATTTCCCCCTAACTGTGCTGGAAAGAGTCAGACTTTATAGGCCATTCTGTCCTGTATCCTAGGCTCTGCACCTGGTATGTAATTAAAATTTCTTACATTAAAGAAATTAAAATTACATGTTTTTGGTAAAAAGGCATGAGAATGTGTTTTTTCTTCAAAAAATAAAGTAATTTTGTCTAATTTAGAGGGTGTAAGAATCATTTTAAATTTAAAAATATAGGATAAAACTAAAGGCTTAAACAAGTTGTAGAAGGTTTCTGAAAATTTAACCTTGTAAAGAACTGTGTGGGAGCAAGTTGACTAAAATTAAAAGGATATTGGTCAGGCTTGGTGGCTCATGCCTGTAATCCCAGCACTTTGGGAGGCCAAGGTGGGCAGATCACTTGAGGTCAGGATTTCAAGACCAGCCTGGCCACATGGTGAAGCCCCGTCTCTACTAAAAATACAAAAAAGTAGCCAGGTGTGGTGGCATGCACTTGTAATCCCAGCTACTCAGGAGGCTGAGGCAGGAGTATTGCCTGAACGTGGGAGGCAGAGGTTGCAGTGAGCTGAGATTATGCCACTGCACTCCAGCCTGGGTGAGAGAGTGACAGCCTGTCTCAAAAAAAAGAAAAAAAAAAGAAAGATTTTTGTTTGCCTTTAAAATAAACTATAGGAAAAAAAGAGGAGAGAAAAGAGATTCAGTTGGCCTCATTTTGTTTTTATTGGATCTTGTCTGGAAAGCTAAGTCTTCCCTTTATCAATGAGTAAAAGTTTTTGTCTTTTTGAAATCTTTGAGTTATTTTAGCTAAATAGACTACCAGTGATTCTATTTTATAATATCAAGTGTTTTAAGCCTTTGATATTTGACAAGTTCCCAAAATCAAATTCTAAATTAAGTCTTTTTCTGACCCAATTATTCCTTTTAGATATTAGGTCCCCTGAAGTCAAAAAATGACATATTTGGTATATTAAAAGCATACAGGAAGCACTGTTAAATATACAATGGTATTTGAGTTTCTTTGGGCTGTATTTGTATAAATGTGTTACTGGTATGTGTTCCAAAATTATGTGAAACTTCTATAATTCTGATATGACTTAGTGTACATTATCAGTAATAATTATAATTGTTATGCTAAATTATTTTCTGCCACAAAGGTAACCAAATTTCCTGGCGAATCGCCTCTTTGACTGTGGCTGCCCTAAGACTTTTTGTCATCCACAGACAATTGTCTTGTTTTGATCCGCTACAAAAGATGGTTTGTAATCAGCTACAGGACTCTGACAAGCACTCTTCAATATACATCTCTGATAACTTTGGAAAGTGTGCCACTAAAACAGAGAAAAAAACTTTCAAGACTCTCTTGGAAAGCTAATGTGTTTATAGATATTGAGCAAAACAGGAATTAATTGCATAGATTGAACTAATAAAATACTAAAATAATCTTTTTATGATTTTTTGCTTAAAACACTGCTGATCCTTTCTGTTTTGTTTTTCAGAGTCAGAAAATCTTTTGAGCTATTTATAGCTTTCAACAATTGAGTAAAGTATACTCCTCTAAGGAGTATAAAACAAAGTTTTTGTCCAAAAACAAAATATAGAGCATGTTTCTTTCTCTCTATCTGATTTCTCCAGAATTTGGAAATTATTTGTGAGTATTGTTAACTTATGGCAATGTTGTTATTTGAATAAGTGTAATAAGAATCTGTTTTCTTTTGTAATGGGACACAACTAGAGACACTGGTTATTTTACCAAGGTTTTGACTGGAATGGCATGCTTTCAAATATAAACAGACTGTTTAAGGGATCAAAGTTGACTTATAGAGCCAATAAAAGCCCCTTAGGAAAACTGACCTCATACCTTAACTACACAGTCCCTGTACAGAGTTCCTGACCTGCAGTAAGTAAAAAATGTCACTTTCTGACAGGCCCAGGAGATACAGGTTATCTTGGGATCTCAAGAAAAGAGGAATTTACCCAACTCATACAAGTATCTACAGGCACAGATGAATTCATGGCTGGACTCAAGGCTTATACAAGTCTGAGAAGGCTGGGCATGGTAGCTCATGCCTGTAATCCTAGCACATTGGGAAGCCGAGGTGGGAGATCACCTGAGCTCAGGAGTTCAAGATCAGCCTGGGCAACATGGCAAAACCCTGTCTTTTCTAAAAAATACAAAAATTAGCCAGGTGTGGTGGTGCACACCTGTAGTCCCAGCTACTCAAGAGGCTGAGGTGGGAGAACTGCCTGAACCTGGGATGTTGAGGCTGCAGTGAGCCAAGATTGTGCCACTGCACTCCAGCCTGGGTGACAGAGTGAGACTTGTCTCAATCAATCAATAAAGTCTGGGATTCCTATGGAACAATGTTTCATCAAAGACAATTTAAAAAGGAGTTTCTATGGCAAATAATTATTCTTGCTGCACTTTATATACATGATCAGGCCAAGTTTAATAAGACTAAAACTTATTTTGCAAACAAACTGGTTTTTTTTTTTTTTTGAGATGGAGTCTCACTCTGTCACCCAGGCTGGAGCGCAGTGGCGCAATCTTGGCCCACTGCAACCTCCGCCTTCCAGGTTCAAGCAATTCTCCTGCCTCAGCCTCCCAAGTAGCTGGGACTACAGTTGTCCACCACCACATCTGGCTAATGTCTTGTATTTTTAGTAGAGACAGGGTTTCACTATGTTGGCCAGGCTGGTCTCGAACTCCTCACCTTGTGATCTGCCCGCCTCAGCCTCCCAAAGCGCTGGGATTACAGGCATGAGCCACCGTGCCTGGCCTGCAAACAAACTGGTTCTACCATGATTTGTCTTTAGTAAAAATGGAGACTGGAGAGAGAAAAATTATGATTCAAAAACTATGGTATACCTGTTATTAGGTTCTAATCACATCCATTGTTTTTGAATTTTTTCTGCAATTTAGACTGATCCTGCTTACTCCTGTGAACCAACCAGTGATCTCTGGCTGCTGCTCAGAAGAAACAATAGGGATGGGTAATGTGAAAATCTGAATGAGTATTCTAATTCTGGGCATGACCTCATATTAGCTTGGTTACAACTGCCCAGTTCATGAAAAGCCTTCTTATTTAGTTTACTTGAGATAATTTCACTTATTTTGCTTTACTACTGTGGAATATATTGTCATTGTACTCTTTGTGTAGGAATGCAGGATAAGCCTACTCAACATTTTCTTAAATTGAACACTTAGGAATCTTCCAGATTATACCTTCTGTTGAGACTCAGTTATGAATGGCCCTCACCATACCAACACTTTCTCATTGAGCTCCTCTCTACCTTGAATACAAGAGACCCTAATAATTAGGTAAGAATATCATTGCCCCTGTTCAGCCTGAAGAAGTTACAGAAGATGGATCTTCATCCCTTTACAACCCTTAGGATTAAGGGTGCCCTTGTAAAAGGGAGGGAGGAAATATGTCAGAGGTGTTCTAACCAGAGTGACTCCATCTTGAATAGGTGCTAGATGAGGATGAGACCTGCTGGGCTGCATTCCCAGGAGGTTAGGCATTCTTAGTCACAGGATGAGATAAGAGGTCAGTGGGACTGGTTTCACAAGATACAGGTCACAAAGACCCCACTGATAAAATGAGATGTGGTAAAGAAGCCGGCTAAAACCCACCAAAAAGAAAATGGTAATGAAAGTGACCTCTGGTCATCCTCACTGCTCATTATACACTGATTATAATGCATTAGCATGCTAAAAGAAACTCCCACCAGTACCATGACAGTCTATAAATGCCATAGCAATGTCCAGACATTACCCTATGTGGTCTAAAAAGGAGAGGAATCCTTAGTTCCAGAACTCCCCAATCCTTTACTGGAAAACTCATGAATAATCCATCCCTGTTCAGAATACAATCAAGAAATAACCGTAAGTATAGTCAGTCAAGTAGTCTGTGCTGCTGCTCTGCCTATGGAGTAGCCATCCTTTTATTCCTTTACTTTTCTTAATAAATTTGATCTCACTTTACTCTGTTGGCTCACTCTTGAATTCCTTCCTCAGTGAAGCCAAGAACCCTCATGGCCGCCTAGGCTGAACCCCAATTTTGGGATTCACCCTGTGACACTTAAACACAGTGGGCCATTTGGTCCAATATTCCACAGTTTCCATGTATAGCTGCATCAAATCACATTTGACAAACATTAACCCACAGATGTTAAGATCTTATGCCAGAAGTTAAAAACCTTTGTGCTCCAACCTTTTTGTTTCGCCCAATCCAAATCTCTTTTGTTCTTTATTTCATTTCCTCTATGGACCAGGTTGAAGTAGAGATGAAGAACTGGAGTCTTTTTCTGTGTATCTTTGAATTTTAATCTTCTTTCCAGGCTCCAGGATCTCAATTAGAGTGTTTAAATCCTCCCTGTAATCTAACTAGTTGAAGTATGCTCTTCCTTTCTCCAGGACTGTACTCTGTGTACTTTCGGTTTGATATTAAATATTTTGGGGAGAAAAAAGGTAAAAGCATAAAATGGTCAAAGGATGCAATACATATTTGACCTCCTTAAATCAGTTACTGAAAAAAGGGATCCAGAAAAACTACTTTTCCTCCTGTCTTGGATGCCATTTACTTGGGTACTAAAGTATATGGATCTCTAGGGATGACACCCTGGAGAGCCACATGCCCTCAGCAGAAACATCTTGTTGATCCAGTCAATGAGGAAACAGGAGACAAAATATAGATCTGACTCTGTTCATGTGCCCCTTTTTTGTGCTCGCTAACATCTACTCTTTTTTCCCTGCATTTCAGGGCCTAGAACTCTACCTCACTACTGTTAAGAAATACAATAGAAGAATCACTGGTTTCTTGTAACATTTCATGAATACAATTTATTGCCACATGTGAGCCAGAGTCGACACAGTTTACAATTTCTGTCAAGGTCCAAAGGAAATTAGATTGACATGGCAGATCCTGACAGGCAGGATTTCCTCTCCAAAAGCCATTTAGAGAATTAAATAATTTAAATGCAATTAATTTTTGATGAAATTCATCATTAAAAAATTCGTAGGTAAATTTTGATCTATTAACAACAGTTACTTTTCAGCCTTGAATTTCCCCTGCAGCTCTGGGGAAATCATCTCTGTTCTGACTTCAGTTTCCCTCCTCACATAGCCCTTTATGAACAGAAGAGGGATCTTAGTCAATATAATGTACGCAGCTACAGTGCAGCCCAGACATAAAATGCTGTGGGATAAAACAATGCTGTGTGCATTTGTAAGCCTCTTTATCTGCAAAATACTTATATGTCTATTATCTTGTTTGAACCTCACAAGAATCTGAGATAGGTAGAACAAAATATTATTAACCCTGTATCACAAATAAGAAAGTAAAATTTAGAAGGGGCTCATCCCTTTTAAGTCCTAAAACAAAGGACTAAAATGCAGCCAACTGATTGCCCCACATCTCTGACATTTCAAGGTCCTTGCAATTTTCATCTTTCTTTGTTTAACTTCGTAAGGCATGGGTAGAAGAGAAGCCAGTGACTTAGTCTTAAAATGGTGCATAAATAACAGGGTACAATGGAAATAAGTTCCAGCATGGGCAAACACCAGAATTGGCACTGAGTAGTCTTGGTTAAGGGCTGGAATCCTATTCATTCTAGTCTGGAGAGGAGAAAAAATTCCCCTCTTCTTTCCCACTTTCAAAAGTGGAAAGAACGGAACACTTCCGATTTCCTAACCATAAAGGATGACTGATAATGGCCTTGTGAAAGCTGTTAAAGCCCTATATGGATGCACATATTAGAGCACTGCAGAGTGTTGGAGCCAAAGCCATCTTCTGGTCTTGATGAGGCTTGCCAGGCACACAGGTCACAATAGTCACTGGGCAAAAATGCTGGGTAGTCCCTGGATAGATTTCCCCCTACTGGTGTCTACATGTCAGGACCCATTTTTCTCCCTAAGGCTAATTGTTGATCTGCTGCTTTCTTCATTCATTTCCTCTGTAAGGTAATATAACCAAGAGGTGACCCTGAACTAGGAGTGGGTTAGAAAAGATTTCAGGGGCTCTTAAGCTTTCCCTTTCCAGTCACACACAGACCACACAAGTAGGAATGATTTAGATGCAAATTATAAGTAAATAGACTTTGACAGGCTTAGATTGGGACCATGAGAAGATCCCTGTGGGACAACTTATTAAACAAAAAGAAACTTGATAGTGGAACTATTGTTGGTGTAAGTAACCTACCAAGAATGTTTTAAAGAGACAGAGAGATCTTCTTATCTTCAAATTCTTCTTCTATTAGCAAATTGTATTGCCTCAGATTATATTTAATCATTCAAACTTTATTCCTTTGCATTAAATAGTCTCCTTATTGAAAATACAAAATAAGCTGGGTGCCGTGGCTTATTCCTGTAATCCCAACATTTTGGGAGGCTGAGGCGGGAGAATTGCTTGAGCCCAGGAGTTTGAGATCAGCGTGGGCAACATGGTGAAACCCCATCTCTACAAAAAAAAAATTTTTTTTTTTAAATTAGCTGGACGTGGTGGTGTGCGCCTATGGTCCCAGCTACTTGGGAGGCTCAAGTGGGAGGATTGTTTGAGCCCAGGAGGTAGAGACTGCAGTGAGCCATGATAGTGCCACTGCACTCCAGCCTGGGTAACAGAGCAAGAACCAGTCTTTAAAAAAAAAAAAAAATCCCAGGAATGGCCACACAATAGGAGGCTGCCATCACCTCTTAGCAAATATTAGTATATCTGCTACCTGCTTCTTATAGGCTGGGAAAGAATAAGAGAAAGATTTGAAGGTAGGGCAATGTCTGAAATTTGATTACTTTCTAGAGATGGTCAAACCTGGGTAAGGACCTGTAGAGGGAAGTTTTAAATGGGAGAGGGGAAGAAAAAAAGAGGTAAGTGAGGGGCACTGAAAAAAGGCACAGAGGCCCTACTTTACACTTAGACTTGCAAAAGGATGTTTTCTTTCTGTTTCTTCAGAAAACAGAGTGATGTGCAAATAAAATCCATAAATAAATATCTTTCAGAGTAAAACAATGTACAGGAAATGCTTTGTATTACTGGATTTTTGGCAACTCAATGAACTAAAATAACACAGAAACATAGACAATTTGAAACAGGAGATGCCAGGACTTCTATAGTTACGTATTAACTAGATTACTCATTCCATCTCAACAGCTCATTGAACTCCAAGATTGGCTTAATCAGTGCATAAGCTTTCAGTTTACACAAAGTTACCCTATGAGGAAAATCTACAATAACTGACTCTACCCTAGTGTGTTACCAACAAGACAAACAGATTGGTTCTCCTGAAAAGTGTGCTCCAGACAGTAAGTGCCTCCAGAAACTTCCTTGAAGGGTGAAATTAAAACAAAGTCCAGAAATGTAATAATCAGGAAGGAAAAATTCTAGGTTTGTGGTAACTTATTTTAAAAACTGAAAGAAGAAAAAAATCCTAGATATTTTAAATGACGGAGACTGTCTTTACAATTCTGTAATCATGAAAGTATTAAAACTATTCCAGTGATTTAATTAATTTAATTAGATATATAAAAGTTCAAACTCATTAAAGCATGACCAAGAGTTGGTTAGCCTCGTAATATTGACAAACACAAATCAGGAAGCCTGTGGATTGAGACTATAACTTCATGTTTAAATTATTAACAGATCATCCATCCCTCAAGTGCTATGAATCAATTCCTACTATATCAAGCCATGGAGAGGAAAATTAAGTAACATTGTCTTCCTACAAGGAACACTGTATTTCAGTTACACTGTTGGTTTACTCTCTTGCAAGTCCGTAAGTCAAAATGAATGCAAAAATCTATTTCAAAACTTGCAGAGAGAAAATCAGGTGCTTCATTATTCTGTGTTCTTTCTCATACATATATTGAATTAGAATCCAAATGAATGCTTTAATTTATTCTGAATTAGAATAGTGAGATGAGAAGACAAAAGTATGAAGACACTGAAAATAAAAATAACAGCAGAATAAAATGCTGAAACATCTAAGCATAATTATGTTGTTATCTTTAAAGAAAGAACCCCTTGCCAATGACATCTTGTGTCTCCTAAGCCAGTGATTCCTGCAGCTGGTGATTTTTAGAAAAGAACTGCAATATCCACTTGAATCTATTTAAAGAGATCTAATTATAAAAGATAAGATTTTTCTTTTTTCTTTTCTTTTTTTTTTGAGACAGAGTCTCCCTCTGTCACCCGGGCTGGAGTGCAATGGCGCATCTTGGCTCACTGCAACCTACGCCTTCCGGATTCAAGCGATTCTCCTGCCTCAGCCTCCAGAGTAGTTGGGACTACAGGCGCGAGCCACCACGCCCAGCTAATTTTTGTATTTCTAGTAGAGACGGGGTTTCACTATATTGGTCAAACTGGTCTTGAACTCCTGACCTCAGGTGGTCCACCTGCCTTGGCCTCCTAAAGTGCTGGGATTACAGGTGTGAGCCACCGTGCCCGGCCAGATTTCTGCTTTTTTAACATAGAATACAAAGCTTGATTTGAGAGGGAAAAAGGACATAAGAATGACTTGGAAAGATGAGTAATTTCCAAAGAATCTCTGTTGAAAAGCAAACAAGGAACGGCTGTCACAGAAACAAATACATGTACTTGGATTTTTCTCTGGAGTAGAACAGGATGATCGCACATTTTACTCAACTGAAGGGCTACTTACTAGGGTTGGCTTTTGCCTTGGCATAATGCAGCAATATGAGGTATTCATTCAAAAATAACAACAAAAAAATAGCAACCAACATTTATTCACCCCTTACCATGAAAGACACTGGTTCTGAACACTTAACATAAATTATCTTATTTAATTTCATTACCATCCTATCAGATATTTAATAGAATTATCCCCACTTTACAGATAAGGAACAAAGAAGTTATATAACTTGTCCATGCTACTAAAGGTTAGAGTCGAGATCAAAACCCAGTTAGTTATGACTCCAGGGTCACAGATAGCACTTCTGTTAAAGAAAACTAAAATGCATTCAAAGTTAAGTCCATATGTCGAATTCTTATTTACCTGCCCAGTGGCTGCCACTGTAGATGGTCCCACCTCCCCACTTTGATATCTGGCAACCCTACTAGAAGACTAAATATAGTGATAAATAGATCTCTGTGATGATACTCATATATTTATAAGCGATTTCATATATATTACTTTATTTGAGCCTCTCAATAGTTCTGTGAGAATAGTTGCTGGGTGGATTATAACCCCGTTTTCACTAAATGTTTAAAAAAAAAAGGATGATGGTCTCTCATTTATTCCTCTGAATTGCCTATAGTATTCACATTTTCTCACCATTTTCACAGCCATTCCTCTAACCAAAATCCTCATCTCTTTGTGTCAAGGAATACCACAACCACCTCCCAGCTTTCTCTCCGGCTCCAGGCTCTCCTTTCTTTTGTATTTTTATTTTGCGAGACAGTCTTGCTCTGTCACCCGGGCTGGAGTGCAGTGGCACGATCTTGGCTCACTGCAACCTCTGCCTCCCTTTAATCGGGTTCAAGTGATTCTTCTGCCTCAGCCTCCCGAGTAGCTGGGATTACAGATGCATGCCACTATGCCCATCTAATTTTTGTATTTTTATTTATTTATTTATCGATGAAATCTCACTCTGTCGCCTAGGCTGGAGAGTACAGTGGTGCGATCTTGGCTCACTGCAACCTCTCCCTCCTAGGTTTAAGCAATCCTCCCACCTCAGCCTCCTGAGTAGTTAGGATTACAGGAGTGCACCACCACACCTGGCTAATTTTTCCTTTTCTATTTTTAGTAGCTTTTTCTATTTTTAGTAGAGGCAGGGTTTCACCATGTTGGCCAGGCTGGTCTTGAACTCCTGACCTCAAGTGATCCACCCACCTCAGCCTCCCTAAGTGCTGGTATTACAGGCATGAGCCATCATGCCCAGCCCAGGCTCTCCTTTCTTCAGCATCCTTCATGTCCCTGCCAACCACATACCTATACATTTATCATCATGCTGTTTCCTTTAAGAATCTACAGTGATTCCCAAATGGCCATCATGGCAAGTCTAGACTCCTCTGCTCAGCTCTCAGAGCTGTCTGTGGTATGGCTCTACCCTGTCTATCTAGCCTTTCTTCTCCAAGGTACCCAACACAGCCTCAACAGAGGGACAGGTTAAGTCTCAGTTCTTCATTCTCACCATATACATCCCACTTCTGTTTTGTTCTTATGCTTTCTTTCCTATCTGGGGACATCTTTTTTCTGTCTTTATCACGTGTAAGCCTTTGTTCGAGATCTACCATCATCTCTTGCCCCAACAACATCCTAATAGGTCTCTCTGCTTCAAGTCTTGTCCCATTCTAAGTCATCCTTCACAGAGTGACCGAAGTAATTTTGCCAGAATATAATTATTATTACTTCTTTCCTCCTTAAAGTCTTTCAATGGCTCCCATTTTATAAAATCAACATAAACTCCAAATCCATTAACACAGCATATGTATCCTTTCATGATCTTGACTCCCTGAGCTAAGCCAGGCCATGGAACCTAGTCTGAGTTCAATGATGAATGAGAATGGTAGCCAGGCATGGTGGCTCATGCCTATAATCTCAGCACTTTGGGAAGCTGAGGTGGGAGGATCACTTGAGTCCAGGGGTTTGAGATCAGCCTGGGCAACATAGTGAGACCCTGTCTCTACGAAATATACAAACAAATTAGCCAGGTAATATGGTTTGGCTGTGTCCCCAACCAAATCTCATCTTGAGTTGTAGCTCCCATAATTCCCAATTGTTGTGGGATGGAGCTGGTGGGAGATAACTGAATCATGGGGGCGGTTTCCCCCATACTGTTCTCGTGGTAATAAGTAAGTCTCATGAGATCTGATAAAGGGAAACCCCTGTCGCTTGGTTCTCATTCTCTCTTTACCTGCCACCATGTGGCAAGATGTGGCTTTGCTCCTCCTTGCCTTCTGCCATAATTGTGAGGCCTCCCCAGCAATGTGGAACTGTCAGTCCATTAAACCTCTTTTTCTTTATAAATTACCCAGTCTCGGGTATGTCTTTATTAGCAGCGGGAGAACAGACTAATACGCCAGGTGTAATGGTGCATGCCTGTGATCTCAGCTACTCAAGAGGCTGAGGTGGGAGGATCACTTGAGCCAGGAGTTTGAGGCTGCATTGAGCTGTGATCGCACCACTGCACTCCAGCCTGAGTGACAGAGCAAGAGTCACACACACACAGAGCGAGAAAGAGAGAAAAAGAGAGAGAATAAGATTTCATCTCTTTTAATTTTATGTACTCCAAAGCAGAAAACAAGCAGGACGAAGATCATGAATAAGATAAAGATTCAGGTGGGTGAATACAGTCCCCTATTTTATCTCTTGGATCTCAGAAAAATGTGCTAAAATTCACCATGCATAGAGTAGACTCAAAGCAGCAGCTAAGGCTAAAAGAACTGAACTGAGATTTGAGCTGCTGCCCACCACAGGCATGACAAAGTTTGCCATTTCAGCCTACGTTAATTGCCTGTTGAAACAAAAATTTAACACTGTTCAGGGTATTATATCAGAAACCACAGTTTCTGCAACATAATATTCATAATGTCTAGTACAGAATCCAAAACTTCTAATTATGTGAAAATATAAACCATTTTCAAGGAAAAAGACAATCAACAGTGGCCAACACTGAAATGACCCAGATATTTTAGTTATCAGATAAGGATTTTAAAGCAGCTATTATAACTATGCTTAATGAAATAAAGGAAAATACACTTCTAATGAACAAAAAGAGAGGAAATCTCAACAAAAAAAGAGAAAGGGACCAACTACAAATTCTAGAAATGCAAAATACAATATCGAAAATAAAATATTCACTGGATGAGTTAAACAGTGAAATGGCAATGACAGAGGAAAGAGTCCATGTACCTAAAGATAGATCAGTTGAAACTATTAAATCTGAAAAAGAGAGAGAAAAAGATTGAAAAAAAAAAATTGAACAGAGCCTGTTCTTGTAGAACAAGAACAAGAACAAAAAAATCTAATATATGTGTAAAGTCCTAGAATGAAAATTTAAAAATTAAACAGAAGTAGAGCTATTAAGCCAAAAATGGAGATTAAGAATCATGGGCTGGGCGTGGTAGCTCATGCCTGTAATCCTAGCACTTTGGGAGGCCAAGGTGGGCAGATCACTTGTGCCCAGGAGTTCAAGACCAGCTGGGCAACATGGTGAAAACCCATTCCCACAAAATATACAAAAATTAGCCAGGTGTGTTGGCATGCACCTGTAGTCCCATACTTGGGAAACTGAAGAGGGAGGATCACCTGAGGCTGCGAGGTCGAGGTGCAGTGAGCTGTGATCATGGCTTTGCACTCTAGCCTGGAAGACAGAGTGACATCCGGTCCCCCCACAACCAAAAAACAAATTAGCTGTACGTGGTGGCACACACCTGTAGTCCTAGCTACTTGGGAGACTGGGTGGGAGGACCACTTGAGCCCTGGAGTTTCAGGCTGCAGTGAGCTGTGATTGTAACACTGTACTTCAGCCTGGGAGACAGAGCAAATGAGACCCTGTCTCAAAAAAAAAAAAAAAAAAAAAGAGAGAGAGAACTTAAACTCTAACTATTCACCAAACACAAAAATTAAATTGAAAAATTGAAACAGGTCATAGACTGAAACATAAAAGCTAAGATCATTAACATTCTAGAAGAAAAAATGGGAGAAAATGGGTAAACAAAAATTTCTTAGGATTTTTTTCTATTAAAAACACTTATAAAATGGGCTTCATAAAAGTTAATGTCTTGAGTAGCACTATGTGCATGGAAGAGAGAAGAGGACCAAGGGCAGAGCCCTGGGGGACTCCAAACTTGAGAGATCTGTTAGTGGGGGAGGAGCCAGCAAAGAAAACTGAAGAAAAGCAGCTCTGAGGCGGCAGGAGAAAAAGGCAAGTCAATTGTCAGGAAGGCCTGGAGAAGAAGGCGTTTCAAAAAGCAGGGGTGGTCAAACATATCAAGTGCTACTGGAAAGTCGAGTCATATGAGGAGGAATAACTGATCACTGGCTTGTCAATATTTAGGCAGATAAAGGAATGTTGGGGATGAAAGACCCATTAGAGTGTCCTGGGAAGAGAATGGGGAGGGAGAAAGTGGAGGCAGCAAGGCAGACAGCTTTTCCAAGAATTTTACTCTGGAGGAGACCAGATAACTAGGGTGACAGTTAGAAGGAGATGTGGGGTCAAGAGAGGTTCCACTACATATAAAGAACCCTCGCAACTCAGTAATAAGAAGATAATTAGCCCAATTAAAAAATGCAAAAAGATCTCAACAGTTACTTCACAAAAGAGATACATGAATAGAAAATAAGCATATGAAAAGTTGCTCAGTATAATTAGTCACCAGGAAAATACAAATGAAACCCACAAAAACAAATTCTTTTCCCACAATGCACTCAGGACAAACAACAAAATAATATCAAAGGACTTTCTTCATCCATTCACTTTGAACAAACACAGTTTTCAAAAGATATTTTTCTTTACTTGACAAAAGACATAGCAGATGGCTTAAAAAGCCCCATGTCACTTAAAATTTTAGGAAAAGATCTGTTAGTATATAAACAATTTAAAGGCTGGGTGCAGTGGCTCATGCCTATAATTCCAGCACTATAATTCAGCCAAGGTAGGCAGATCCCTTGAGCCCAGGAGTTCGAGACCAGCCTGGGCAACAGGGCAAAACACTGTCTCTACTAAAAATGCAAAAGTTGGCCGGGCATGGTGGCACATGCCTGTAGTCCCAGCCACTCGGAAGGCTGAGGCATGAGAATTGCTTGAATCCAGGAGGCAGAGGCTGCAGTGAGCCGAGATCATGCTACTGCATGCCAGCCTGGGTGACAGACCAAGACTGTCTCAAAAACCCCAAACAACAACAACAACAGCAACAACAACAGCAACAAAATTTAAAATTTAAATAGCCTATGACCCAGTAATTCCACTTTGGTGAATATCAACCCAAAAGAAATAAAGGTTCTAGCACTTTAACATGTACATGTATACAAGATATACACATATAAAAATATATTTTTATTAGCACACATAGATGAGAATTTATATTGCAGAGCTGTATATCATAGAAAAAAAATAGAAAAAAATGGATACCCATCCACAGAAAAATGGTTGAATAAATGATGTCAATTGTGGTATGGCCAGCCTATAAAATATGCAGCTGTTTAAAACTTTCTCCCTCATCTTAATTACCAGGTGAAGCCAATTGGAACTCACCGTAGCCTGCTAGATAAATCCAATTATTCAGTTTTCCTTTGTTTTCTCCAACTGGCTGGAAGAAGGTATCTGTCAGAGCAGAATTTGGGGCTGAATTTTCTCCACTCTAGACAGATTATAGGGGTCTCACTCTATCCCCAGGCTGGAGTGCAGTGGCGCAATCCTGGCTCACTGCACCCTCTGCCTCCCAGGTTCAAGCAATTCTCCTGCCTCAGCCTCCTGAGTAGCTGGGATTACAGGTGTGTGCCATCACTCTTGGCTAATTTTTGTATTTCTAGTAGAGACCGGGTTTCACCACATTGGCCAGGCAGGTCTTGAACTCCTGACCTCAAGTGATCTGCCACCTGGGCCTCCCAAAGTGCTGGGATTACAGGTGTGAGCCACTGCGCCCGGCCCAGATGATACGTTTTCTAAAATTGGATTATGGCTTCATTCTGGAGCTGCATGAACCATTAGAGACCTGGGGCCATGTGATACTCATCACTTGGATGAACTGAAGGGGTAAAGTGATTGCTAAACTAAAACACAAAAATCAAGCAGGTGACATGGAAAAGAGTTGACAAAGCACATTGAATCAGGGTGTTTTACAGCCGGAAACACCCCGTAAAGCCTAGGACTCACCCTTTTCCTAGAATATAGAGTAATCTGAGGAGCTGCTTTGCCTCAGGATTCCTGGGGGTCACTCTACTTACCGTGGCATACGACAGAAGAGATCAGAGACTTAATTCTCACCCCTCAGTCCTCATTCAAAATATGAATTCCTGATCTCTCCTAAAAGCAAACTCTTCAGATGGAGCAACATGAATCTGGCTATTTTTGTTCTGACTTTTAGAAGTCTCTGGCCTAGAGTAAACTGGAACTTGTCTTAGCTTGCTGATTACAAGGCTACATTCTGCCTCTAAAAATAATTAAGAAGTACTGTTCTTTGTACGTCATGATGACACCACCAGCTCTGAGTTGCTCTTCCAGGGAAGCAAAGGGTTCACACTGAGTCATGTATCCCTCAGTCCCTCTCTCCCCTCTTCCACCCACCCACCTCCCCTGACAGGTTCCTTGATTCTGGGAGCAAAGCTGCACATTTTGGAGATGGCTGGTCAGGGTTAAACATTTAGTTTATACCAAAGGTGTCAGAAGAGAAAGAAAAAAGGCAAAACAAAACCCGAAAAACATTTAGTCTGAAGCCATGAAATAGTTTTTCTCTATGAGATATTAGCAGTTTAATTCACTGCTGAAAAGACTGTACATTTCTGGAGGACAGCTTGGCACTAAGTATCTTTTAAAATTAAATTTAAAAAATGTGTTTTTTGAGACAGGGTCTCACTCTGTCACCTAGGCTGGAGTACAGTGGCACAATCATGGCTCACTGCAGCCTTGACCTCCCGGGCTCAGGTGATCTTCCCACCTCAGCCTCCTGAGTAGCTAGGACCATAGGTGCCTGCCACCACACCCCCAGCTAATTTTTGTATTTTTGTGTAGAGATGGGGTTTCGTCATGTTGTCCAGGCTGGTCTTGAACTCCTGGGCTCAAGTGACCTGCCTGCCTCAGCCTCTCGAAGTGCTAGGATTACAGGCATGAGTCACTGCACCCGCCGGTGCTAAATATCAAGAAGTATATGTTGACCTAATAACTTCCCTTGTAGAAACCAATCCCAAGGAAAGAACCAAAGAATCATCAAAAGGAGTTATATGTAAGAATAATCAACAGAACACTTGTCATAATCAGTAATAAACTGGAAACAACCTAATTAAACAATATGTTCCCAGAGATAATTAAATAAAAGTATAATAAATTCAGGTAGTTACATAATTAGATTATAACACAGTCAATATTATATTTTCAAGAAATAGGCCAGGCATGGTAGTTCACGCCTGTAATCCTAACACTTTGGGAGGCCGAGGCAGGAGGATCACTTGAGCCCAGGTGTTGGAGTCCAGCCTGGGCAACATAGTGACACACCATTTCTATTTAAAAAAAAACTAACAACAACAAAGAAATATTTAATGACATAGGAAAGTACTTACAAATAATGTTAACCAAGAAAAAAAAAAGCAGTATATATACATACAGTGTAATTACAATTCTGAGAAAGAAAAAAAAAGCTTGAAGAAAATACATCAAAATGTAAACAAAGAGTAGTTACTCCAAAGTGAAATTATAGGTGATTATTTTCTTTTTCATACTTTTAAATATTTTTCTGGGCCAGGTGTGGTGGTTCACATCTGTGATCCCAACACTTTGAGAGGCTGACACAGGCAGATCACTTGAGCTCAGGAGTTTGAGAACAGCCTGGGCAACATAGTGAGACCCCACATCTACAAAAAATAAAAAAATTAGCTGGGCATGGTGATGCATGCCTACAGTCCTAGCTACTCGGGAGGCTGAGGTGGGATGATGGCTTGAGGCCAGGAGGTGGAAGCTCTAGTGAGCCAGTGATGGCACCACTGCACTCTAGCCTGGGCAACAGAGCAAGATCCTAGCTTGAAAAAAAAAAATCCAAACTGTCTAATATAAGTAGGAAGTATAGTTCAATCTATAGACTTTTCCCTTCCCCTTATTATATCAGTAATAAGTTATAGCCATCAAAAAATTGATGTGAGAAAGAAAAAGAGAAACGGGAAAGGAAAAATAGTTACTTAGTCTGGATTTCAACCTTCAATTCTGGCCATATTAGTATTTCCATTTATATTAATATAAATGTTTGTTGAATTGAACTACACTGATGCCAGCCTAGGCAGACTCAGCAGGGAGCATTTCATTTGATCCTGAGTTTTGATGAAAATTTCTTCTTTAAAAATATGTGAGCTCTAACACTTGACTGCTGTTTATTGCTGCCAAAATCCATGAATGCTAAACTCCCAGACTGGTATCCAATTATTCACACTTCCAACCTCCCTTTTCACCTGAATTTAAGACTGTGCTGTGAAATGGAAATCTCTGAAAACTATCATACAAAAGCTATTTTTCTTTTTTTTTTTTTTTTCTTTTTGAGACGGAGTCTTGCTCTGTCGCCCAGGCTGGAGAGCAGTGGCGTGATCTCGGCTCACTGCAACCTCTGCCTCCCAGGTTCACACCATTCTCCTGCCTCAGCCTCCCGAGTAGCTGGGACAACAGGCACCCGCCAACACGACTGGCTAATTTTTTGTATTTTTATTAGAGATGGGGTTTCACCGTGTTAGCCAGGATGGTCTTGATCTCCTGACCTCATGATCCGCCCGCCTCGGCCTCCCAAAGTGCTGGGATTACAGGCATGAGCCACCGCGCCCGGCCCTACAAAAGCTATTTTTTCAAAAACGGACCTGTTGTGCTGTGATGATGATGAGGAACGGATGTAGCCTTGTAGCACACTGCCACACTCAACTGCAGGGTTTGGAGAAGAAAAAGGACAGACATGACCATTTCTTCTGTGCCTCACAATACTCCATACAGGCCTCTCCCTCCATGGGCCGGGCTTCTTACCAATGCAATTTGTCTATGAGTTGACCTCTCCCTCTAAATGATAAGCTCCTTGCAGGAAGAGACCATTGCTTTTTCATGCTCCTGTTTCCAGCTACAGTCACAGAACCCAACCACTCAGTGGCTACTCAATTAATGTTTCTGAACTGGACTACATTAATGTCCCATCCCCAGGATTAAGAAAAAAAAAATAAGTGTTTTCAAGATAAAGAATTTTGAGCATTAGAAAGAGCAACCAAATAACCCAGGAATTTATATGACTTAGAAATTGACAAAAACAGGAAACTAAATTAGAATTCAGAGAGTATTTGGGTGTTACTATGGGCAGAGGTGGACATAAATTGTTTTTCCACCAAGGATTTCCGACCCAAACTGGGGATCCAAATGAGAGCCACATACAAAGAAGATGTAACTTCAGCCCAGTGCGGTGGCTCACGCCTGTAGTTCCAGTACTTTGAGCAGCCAAGGCAGGAGGATCATTTGAGGCCAGGAGTTTGAGACCAGTCTGGGTACTGGTCTCTAAAAAAAATCAAAATAAAAAAAAAGAAATAACAAGACCTGCAAATCTGAGGCTTCCTGAAGTGATTCAGGAGCAACCAAGTATTTAAAAAAAAAACACTTCATTTTCTCTTCTGATCCCTTTGGAGGAGAAATAAATATTAGCAAGGAACATGAAATATTATCTAAATACAAAGGATAATTTAAAAATATACTTCATTTTATGGTCTATTAAAAGGAAGGAAATAAAGGGTAAGAGGCATATATACGAAGGTTCTAATAGAGGTGAAATAGAGGACTGGGCACCGTGGCTCATGCCTGTAATCCCAACACTTTGGGAGGCCGAGGTGGGAGGATTGCTTGAGCCCAGGAGTTCGAGACCAGCCTGGGCAACATAGTGAGCCCCTGTCTCTACAAAAAAAAAAAAAAAAAAAAAAGGCCAGGGCATGGTGGCTCATGCCTGTAATCCCAGCACTTTGGGAGGCCAAGGTGGGTAGATCATCTGATGTGAGGAGTTCGAGACCAGCCTGGCCAACATGGTGAAACCCTGTCTTTACTAAAAATACAAAAATTAGCGGGGCGTGGTGGCAGGCACCTGTAATCCCAGCTACTCAGGAGACTGAAGCAGGAGAATCGCTTGAACCCAGGAGGTTGCAGTGAGCCAAGATTGCACCACTGCACTCCAGCCTGGGCGACAAAGTGAGACTCTGTCTAAAAAAAAGGTATGAGATAGGCTAGAATTTAGTTAGGGCCAGCAGGATGACTACATAGGTTGTATATTATACAACTCCAGGGCATGCCATTCATATAATGAGGCCCCTAGGAGTTTATACAGCAGTGAACAACCTGCATAATTATATGTGGCAGCCCTGGATTTAACACATTTGAGAGAAACAGAATGGCCCACGTGGGTTCTAGAACAAGGTGTTTCAACAAGGGCCTTACTGCCATTTTGAGCCACATCTTCTTTGTTGTAGGTGGCCATCCTGTGCATTTTATGATGCCTGGTAGTATCCTGGGCGTCTACTACATGCCATAATAATCCCCTCCCCAGCCAGTTCTAACAACCAAAAGTGTCTCCAGACATTGCCAAAGAAAGAGAAGACATAGGTTGAGTATCTCTTATCTGAAACACTTGGGACAGAAATGCTTTGGGGTTTTTCAGATTTTGAATTTTTTTAGAGTTTGGAGTATTTGCAGAATATATACTGGTTGAGCATCCCTAATCCTAAAATCTAAAATGCTCCAATGAGCATTTCCTTTGAGTGTGTCATGTCAGTGCTCAAAACGTTTTGAATTCTGGAGCATTCCAAATCAGGCATCAGGCATATGTGAGAAAGGAGTGTGGTCTACAGCAGATCAGATTAATTCTCTAGGCAATCGCAAAAGGAAATACCCAAAAAGATGCATTTAATAATCCCTTTTGATTTAATTCAATTTGCCAAGTAACATCCCAATGACCAATTCATTATCTTGGGCACAGTAATAGTAATATCAGGAACATATTACTAAACAGAAAATATGTTATATTTTAAGAGAAGTTTTAAGAAATGCAATGGCTGGGTGCAGTGGCTCACGCCTGTAATTCCAGCATTTTTGGAGGCCGAGGCAGGTGGATCACCTGAGGTCAGGAGGTCGAGACCAGCCTAGCCAACATGGCAAAAACCCGTCTCTACTAAAAATACAAAAATTAGCCAGGTGTCGTGGTGCATGCCTGTAATCCCAGCTACTCAGGGGGCTGAGGCAGGAGAATTGCTTGAACCCGGAAGGCAGAGGTTGCAATGAGCTGAGACCACACCACTATACTCCAGCCTGGGCAACAGAGCAAGACTCCGCAAAAAAAAAAAAAAAAAAAAAGGAAAAGAAAAAAGAAATGCAATGACATGTAACAATCCACAAGTTATTGTCAACATTGACATTGGACCACATAAGAGGAAACAGATGGAAAAACATTTGGAATGATTGGTAATTTAACAACGTGTTAAGATTAAATTTCTAGGAGTACAAAAACTCCTAAATTGTTCCTTAAATAAAAGAGACTGAACCAAAATCTTTCCACAATTCTTTTTTTTTTGAGATGGAGTCTCACTCTGTTGACCAGGCTGTAGTGCAGTGGCGTGATCTCGGCTCATTGCAACCTCCGCCTCCAGATTCAAGAGATTCTCCTGCGTCAGCTTCCCGAGTAGCTGGCACTACAGGCGCCCGCCACTATGCCTGGCTAATTTTGTATTTTTAGCAGAGACGGGGTTTCACGGTGTTAGACAGGATGGTCTGGTCTCCTGATCTTGTGATCCGCCCACCTCGGCCTCCCAAAGTGCTGAGGTGAGCCACCTCGCCTAGCCTCCTTCCACAATATTTTCTACATTGAAAAGTAGACATAAAAATATATAAAGCCTTGCTGGGTGTGGTGGCACGCACCTAAAGTTCCAGCTACTCATAACAACCTCAAACCCCTGGGCTCAAGAGATCCTCCCACCTCGGAGTCCTGAGTAGCTGGAACTATAGGTGCAGTGGCTCGTGTGCATAATCCCAGCTAATCATGGGGCTAAGGCAGGAGGACTGCTTGAGCCCAGGAGTTCAAGCCCAGCCTGGGCAACATAGCAAGACCCTATCTCAAAAAAAAAAAAAAAAATATATATATATATATATATATATATAGAGAGAGAGAGAGAGAGAGAGAGAGAATGACAGACAGATAGATTCATACTCATGTAATCCTGGTTTGGGAAAGCTGTTTTCTATATAAGAGAAAAATCATAAGGTAAAAGATAGATTTACCTTCATTGACATTAAAAACTTCTGTGTGTCAAAAACAAAATGAAAAAGAAAATATGAATAAAACTAAAAGAAAATATTTATGATATAAATGTCAATGGTTCAAGATCTTTAAATACATAAAACTTTTAAAAATCAAAAAACAAGGGCAGGGCGTGGTGGCTCACGCCTGTAATCCCAGCACTTTGGGAGGCCGAGGCGGGCAGATCACGAGGTCAGGAGTTCGAGACCAGCCTGGCCAGCATGGTGAAACCCCGTCTCTACTAAAAATACCAAAAAAAATTAGCCGGGCATGGTGGCACACATCTGTAGTCCCAGCTACTCAGGAGGCTGAGGCAGAGAATTGTTTGAACCTGGCAGCCGGACGTTGAAGTGAGCTGAGATTGAGCCACTGCACTCCAGCCTGGGTGACAGAGCGAGACTCCACTACAAAAAAAAAAAAAAAAGTCAAAAAACAAAATTGATACCCTAATGAAAAAACAACGGACTAGAATATGTAATTCTCACACACACATGCACACCCTCCACATACACGGAATCTTAACTAGTCAATATATGGAAAATATTTAACCTTATCAATTGAATAAATGGAAATAAAAACAAGATAGCATTCCTTTATATATCTTCTTGATAAAGATTTTTAAAAATGATAATACATAGAATATATCATACTTTTGAGGGTACAGACAAACATTGATAATATAAACTGGCACAACTTCTCTGGAAGACATTTTAGCAACAAATATCTTCAAAAATATTCCTGGGCCCGGCGCAGTGGCTCACGCCTGTAATCCCAGCACTTTGGGAGGCTGAGGTGGGTGGATCACCTGAGGTCAGGAGCTTGCGACCAGCCTGGCCAACATGATGAAACCCCATCTCTACTAAAAATACAAAAATTAGTTGGACGCAGTGGCACGCGCCTGTAGTCCCAGCTACTCGGGAGGCTGAGGCTGGAGAATCCCTTGAACCTGGGAAGTGGAGGTTGCAGTGAGCCAAGATCACACCACTGCACTCCGGCCTGGATAACAGAGCAAGACTCCGTCTCAAGAAAAAAAAAAAATTCATATACTTCAGGCTGGGTGCTGTGGTTTACGCCTTAATCTCAGCACACTGGGAGGTGGAGGTGGGAGGATCACTTGAGCCCAGGGGGTCGGGATCAGCCTGGGGAACACAGCGAGACCCCCATCTCTATAAAAAATTTAATAAATAGCCAGGTATGGTGGCGCACACCTGTGGTCCTAGCTACTTGGGAAGCTGAGGGAGGCAGATCAGACTGACAGGCCAAGGATGCAGTAAGCCATGATCGCACCACTGCATTCCAGCCTGGGCAACAGAACGAGACCCTGTCTCAAAAAAAAAAAAAAAAATCATATACTTTATATACTTTACTGTATATATGTATTACCTCAATTTTTTTTTAATGGAAAGAAAAAAAGCTCCTGCTGATTTTGCACTATGATCTAGTGGCAGGAAGACAAGTAGGTGTGGCTAGGGAACTAGCATGATGTGGAGAGGTAACATAGTGTACTGCACCCTGCTCCCACGGGTGGGCCGCATTCTCCCACCAACTCCCACCACTGCAGAGAAGAGGTAGGGGTGGGGAGAGAGCAAGGCCTAGGCTGAGGGAACTAGGGGACTTATTAGAGAAGCTTTACCAAGTGGCTATTCACAGCATTTCCACAACACTAGAAAACAAAGAATATTGGCTATGTTGTCAAATTGGGCTTTAATGTTATTCAAAGGATTTCAACACACCACTTCATCTATGCACCAGGACAAGTTGATGATGTGAAACAGAAACTAGCAGTTAAAGCTAAGGCTATGTTTACAGTTGGACACTCTGAAGAGTAGGCTACAGAAAGAAGGGAACTTTGAGAATTAGTGGAATTTGCTTTGAAATGCCAGAAGGCTGTTTTGGAAATTGGGCTAATTATAAGACTATGTAAGGAGGAGTAAGGCCTCACCTCAACTCTATCCAGCCTTTCATCCCCACCTCCACTTTCACCCCAGGAAATGATTTGGACTGGCCAATGGGGACTCTGAAATATGTACTTTTAGTGTTTATCATCCCAAAGGTAGCGGTCTACCAGAGAAAATACATGTTACGTTGATGTTGTCTATGTATGGTTTATATTCTTCTCAGCTCTGATAATCCCAGTGGTACACCCTTCACACCTACTATGAGAGAATGATTTATTATAATGGTGTACTTGTCTGGCATGTTTTAGATCCAAATTCAGAACTAAGGCAAATATAGAAAGTTCATCTTTCTTCTTAGAAAAAAATGTATTTTTAAATTTCACTCTCAGCTGGGTGCAGTGGCTCACACCTGTAATTCAAGCACTGTGGGAGGCCAAGGCAGGCGGATCACCTGAGGTCAGGAGTTCGAGACCGGCCTGTCCAACATGGTGAAACCCTGTCTCTACTAAAAATACAAAAATTAGCCGGGCGTGGTGGTGTGGGCCTGTGGTCCCAGCTACTCGGGAGGCTGAGGCAGGAGAATCGCTTGAACCCAGGAGGCAGAGGCTGCAGTGAGCTAAGATGGCACCACTGGACTCCAGTCTGGGTGACTCCATCTCTTTTTTTTTTTGAGACGGAATCTGGCTCTGTTGCCAGGCTGGCGTTGCAGTGGTGAAATCCCAGCTCACTGCAACCTCTGCCTCCCGGGTTCAAGAGATTCTCCTGCCTCAGCCTCCTGAGTAGCTGGGACTACAAGCACGTGCCACCACGCCCAGCTAATTTTGTATTTTTAGTAGAGACAGGGTTTCACCATGTTGGCCAGGATGGTCTCGATCTCTTGATCGTCGTCTCGGTCTCATGATCCGCCCGCCTTGGCCTCCCAAAGTGCTGGGATTACAGGCGTGAGCCACCACGCCTGGCTAAGACTCCATCTCAAAAAAACAAAAAAAATTAAATAAATAAATAAATAAATTTCACTCTCTGTGACATGAATCCATTGGTCAGAAAAGAAAAAAAAAAACAAAAACAAAATAAATTTCACTCTCAAGTAATTCTCCTTTCACTGATACAAGGATTTAAGTGGTTGGAGACCTAGGTTCTATCATCCTTAGCCAGAACAGTCACCTAGAAATTAGGAAAATTAAGGGCTATGTCCATACAAACAGTGCATGGCTATATGGAATTTCTATAAATCCTCTGAAGTGCTGATGAAGGAGGGATTCAGTGTGATCTCCTGATGCAAGTGGCAAAAAGATACCCCACCTCCACTTTGTTCTCCAAAATCTTCCCCTACCAGATAAAGAGTAAAATTTACAAGTTTTACTATAGCTCACAGACAAATTGCCCAAGCTGAAGTTAAGATTATATCTTCTTTTTCTGCCTTAGATAATAGGCTAGTGAGTATATAATGGAATTACTAAAAAGCCAAGGACAAATACAGCAGTACCTAAGAAGTGCTGATATAACTTAAAGAATAAAAGAAGTGTGGCACTGTTATTAAGCCAAATATTAACCACCAACAGCTATACTTTATAACACAATCTGATATAGGCCATGCATGACAAGAACACAGCCCTAAAACGGAACCTCATTCTCAAAATTCAATATGGCCGCTAGCTGGCTCAAATGGATACTGTACACCACTGGCTCTCACCTGTATGATTGATTTGCCTTATTTTAAGGCTTCTAGTGATATTCAGTGTGACAGCTAATGGTTAAGTCTATGGAGCACAGGTTAAATAAATGAATCTTCTCTCAATTCTATGTTATATAGCCCAGTATAAAAATATTCAAAGTGTACTTGCTGGCTTATGGAGAAATTCATCTTAATTTAACCTCTCTCTTCAGAATGAACTATTGTTTTCTTTGTCCTTGTTCCCTAGGGTCCCACCTCCTAGCTTCATATGAGCACTCAATAAACAGCAAAAAATATTTGTTTTCCTTCATTTTTAATCTTTAAAAAATGTTTAAATCTTTTTTGCGTAGGCAAAAATAAAATTTTACTGAGCCCTTATTGTATGCCAAATAACACTGTAAGAATCACCTTATTTAATCTTTACAACAGACCTATGAGTTAAGTGTTATTAATATCCTCATTCTGGCTGGGTGCAGCGGCTCATGCCTGTAATCTCAGCACTTTGTGAAGCCAAGGTGGGAAGACTGCTTGAGGCCAGGAGTTCAAGACCAGGCTGGGCAACATGGTAAAACCCCATCTCTACAAAAATACAAAAATTAGCCAGGTGTGGTGGCATGTACCTCTAGTCCCAGCTATTCAAGAGGCTGAAGTAGAAGGATACCTTGAGCGTAAGAGGTCAAGGCTGCAGTGAGCCATGACCGTGCCAATGAACTCCAATGTGGGCAACAGAGGGAGACACTGTTGCAAAAATAACAACAACAACAACAAAAACCAAACCCATAATATCATCATTTCACACATTAGAACACTCAGGCACCCAAGGTTAAGAAACATTCCCCTCAGCTGGGCACGATGGCGCACACCTGTAATCCCAGCACTTTGGGAGGCAGAGACAGGAGGATTGCTTGAGCCCAGGAGTTTGAGACCAGCCTGGGCAACATAGTGAGACCTTGCCTCTACAAAAAATAGAAAATTAACTGGGCATGGTGGCATATGCCTGTAGTCCCAGCTATGTGGGAGGCTGAGGAGGGAGGATAACTTGAGTCCAGGAGGTTCAGGCTGCAGTAAGCCATGAATGCACCACTGCTCTCCAGCCTGGGTGACTGAGTAAGACCCTGTCTTGAAAAAAACAAAAAAAAAAGAAAAGAAAGAAACATTTCCCTGATCACACAGCCAATAAGATGCAGAATGGCTCATGCTTATAATCCCAGCACTTTGGGAGGCTGAGGTGGGAGGATTGCTTGAGTCCACGAGTTTGAGACTAGCCTGAAAACATAGTGAGACCCCAACTCTACCATGAAAAAAAAAAAAGCGCGGCAGTTCAGGATTTGAAGTGAGGCAGTGTAAGTCTAGAGCCTATCCCTTAACTACTATTGTCAGCTTATACAGCCTAGAGTAACTTCCTTCAAGTTGGTGGTTCAGTTCTCAGCACTATCACTTACCAGCTGAATGAGTCTTGGACAAATTGCTGAAAATGTTTGAGCTACAGTTTCTTCATCTGTAAAACAGGTTTAGTAACAGCCTGTTTACAAGATTTGTTGGGGAATTAGATGAGATTATATATATGGACAACCTGGCATGCAGTAGACATTCAGCAAGAGTCAGCACTCTTCCTTCCCTGCTTGACATTCCTATTCTTTATTTCTGAGTCTCGCTCTATTGCCCAGGCTGGAGTGCAGTGGTACAATCATTGCTCACTGCAGCCTCGACCTCCCAGGCTCAGGTGATCCTCCCACCTCAGCCTCCTGAGTAGCTGGGACTACAGGTGTGTGCCACCAATCCTGGCTAATTTTTGGTAGAGATGGGGTTTTGCCATGTTACCCAGGCTGGACTTGAACTCCTGCCAGGCCTAAAGTGATCCTCCCAAAGCGCTGAGATTACAGGTGTGAGCCATGGTGCCCAGCTGACATTCCTCTTCTTTTTGTGCTTGCTGCTGCTCAAGTGTGAGACTTCTAATTCCAGCTCCATTGAAAATCAGGGCCCAACACAGCTCCCAGGGAAGGAGACTAAGCAGTTTTTTTTGTTGTTGTTATTTTTGAGATGGAATCTCATTTTGTCGCCCAGGCTGGAGCACAGTGGCGCGATCTCGACTCACCACAACCTCTGCCTCCCAGGTTCAAGCGATTCTCCTGACTTAACCTCCCGAGTAGTGGGATTACAGGCGTACACCACCACGCCCAGCTAATTTTTGTATTTTTAGTAGAGACAGGGTTTCACCATGTGGACCAGGCTGGTCTTGAACTCCTGACCTCAGGTGATCCACCTGCCTCGGCCTCCCAAAGTGCTGGGATTACAGGCAGGAGCCACCGCACCTGGCGAGAGACTAAGCAGGTTTAAGAAAAAGGACATTGTTGCTTTCAGTCTCATAGTAGACATCGGAATATTTCCTAAATTCCTAAATGGGTACATCCCAGCCCTCAAACTACCCTCACCACACTAGTGTAACAAGCCCCCAGGTACACACATTTTGGTTTCAAAGTCACACTGATCCTCCACCCTTTTCCAGGTGGATGGAACAAGAAAACTCACCTAATGCCCTGACGATTCGCATAAGGACTTCCCCGACTTTCATTCTGGTCTCTGGTGTGTGCTTGTCTTTGCTGCTGTCATATTGAGCCAACAAGTCCGGCAAGATTTTCTCAGGATAGACGTCTGACAGCAGGGCAACCCCTGGGGTTGAAAACAAAAAGAAAGGATTCATTACTGTTTACGATCAAAAGGCAAATAAACCAGTCACCCTGTGATGGGATGAACGCAGAGATGCTGAAAACCATCTCTAAAGCTCTCCCAGCAAGGGCTGCCTATTGTTTGGAGAGTCAGCATAGTGAGTGGAACGAAGATGGGCCTGGTAGTTGAGACTCCTGTGTTTGTCTAGTCCCAGCCTGATACGATCTCTAAGGTCACTCCCAGCACTGACGTTCTATGATCCAGGCAATGCCTCCTGCCTTTGCTGCAGTTCTCCATTCCTGTATAATTTCCCTCTGTGGAACTGCCAGTGATGGGAGCAGTTTCCACAAGGAAACATTTTCAGAGCATCCTGGACATGATCAATATTAGATCTAAGCTCATGGCTGAGTTTCCTAATCAACAGAAATAGGGAAGACCCTGACCCTGAGTCCCCCCTTCGTAGGACTTGCTGATCCTCTCTCCTATCCACAGCAGCGCCTTCTAAATGTGTAGCCTGGAACAGTGTTATCATAATCTGAGCCCAGCCCCATACTCAGCAACCTTTTTAGGGGTGGCAGGGAGGTGAGAGATGACCAGACAGATCCAGAACAAAACCCCTGGTTGGCCTCAAAACTATATAACTACAAATTCTACCATTCATGTCTATACTGTTGTTTATTCCTATTTTCTCTCATTAGTCTTTAGCAGAGAACAGGAAAAAGATTACACACTATAAAGAACAGTGACGAAAAAGAAAAAAAGTAAAGAAGGAATAAGTAGAAATAGGGGTTCCAGGATGAGAACCCACTTCTACCCCAAGCACCCTGGCCCATCAACTCTGCTTTGGGTTTCTCCAATAATCCCCTCATTGGTCTCCCTGCTTCTACCTTTTTCATCCATTGCAGATGGAGCTATTTGGTTTGAATCATAAGTCTGGCCCCTTCATGCTTCTGCCCAGACCCCTCAGTGGTTTCCCTTCTTCCCTGAATATGAGCAGTCCCCATCCCCCGCCTTCCTTTGTTCTCTCTCTGATCTCATCTTTTAACACTCTCCCTTGCTTCCTGGCCTCCTTGCTATTCTCCAGTAGGCCAAGTGATCCTGGCTCGGAGGAGTCGGCCTCACTTCCCCTCTGCATCTGCTGCTGCTCCTCCTGGTGGCCTCACAGCTTGCTCCCAAACCCTATCATGTCTCTGCTCACAGATCACATTTGTCACATATAAAACGGCACCCTCCTTCCCCTGCCACTCTTTACTCCTCTCACCCTGCTTCATTTGTCTTAGCACTTAATATCACCTGACAGGTTGTGTATTTCCTTATTGTCTGCTCTCCTCCTTGGAATGTGAACTCTATAATAAAGTCAAGGATTTTCTTTTGTTCCCTGCTGTATCCCCAATGCCTAGAAGAGTCCTAGCACATGTCAGGTGCTCAGTAACTACCTGCTAAATGAATGAATGGATGAATGGATGGATGAGTAAACAGGATTCAAATATACAGTCCTGATATAAATTTCAGGAATTAAGAAAGAGAGGATGGGGAAGAAGTAATATAAATGCTTGAGAAATCTATACTTATTTTTCATCTAAATTTACCATTCTCGTGTTTAAACTGACAGCCTTGCAGGCAAAGTCTACGTGCAGTTTTTTATGTTATAGGTTGTGATTCCATTCTCTTCTAAATCACATCCACACTCTTCACTGGCCTTATCCGCCGCATCTGCTGAGCTGTGAAGGCGGAGCACCTGCTGAGGGCTGCACCTGTCTGCCCATCCTCCTTTCTGCCCTCCCCACCCCCATCTTTTCTTGCTTCCAAAGAGCCTGGGAAATCTCTGCATGTGGTCCTAAGCCTGCACCTCTGCATGTGGTCCTAAACCACACCTCCAATCCAGAGTCCATCTTAGGACTTCAGTCCTAAGATGGGCTCTAATCTTATGCAAGCAGAAGCTCTGCTCTTAAGAGAGATTCAGGCTGTGGCACAACACTGTTGCCAAAATGTGACACTGTAGTTGTAGTTCACTCTATTATATAAAATGATGAAGAAGTCCTTGGAGGTTCAACACGGAGTTATGGAATATTGTAGCATAGAAAAAAATGTCTGCATCGGCTGGGCGCAGTGGCTCACGCGTGTAATCCCAACATTTTGGGAGGCCGAGGTGGGTGGATCACTTGAGGTCAGGAGTTCAAGATCAGTCTGGCCAACATGGTGAAACCCCGTCTCTACTAAAAATACAAAAAGTTAGCTGGGCGTGGTATCGGGCACCTGTAATCCCAGTTACTCAGGAGGCTGAGGCAGGAGAATCGCTTGAACCCCAGAGGAAGAGGCTGCAGTGAGCCGAGATCACACCATTGCACTCCAGCCTAGGCAACAATAGTGAAACTCTGTCTCAAAAAAAAGAAAAAAAGAAAAAAATGTCTGAGGCCTAAGGGTAAATGAATTGTTTGCTAAGAGAAAGAAGAGGGGGCTAGGTGCAGTGGCTCACACCTGTAATCCCAGCACTTTGGGAGGCTGAGGTGGGAGGATCACTTGAGGCCAGGAGTTTGAGACCAGTCTGGGCAACATAGGGAGACCCCATCTCTATAAAAATAATTTTAAAAAAATTAGCCAGGTGTGGTGATGTGTGCCTGTAGTCCTAGCTACTCGGAGGCCGAGGCAGGAGGATTGCTTGAGCCCACAAGTTCTAGGCCGCAGTAAGCTATGATTGCAGCATTGCACTCCAGCTGGGTGACAGTGAGGTCTCAAAAAAAGAAAAACAGAAATAGCCTCCAACTTCTAAAAGACCTCCACAACTGCAATTCTGGCAGGTGTTATATCACTGATATATTACAAGGCCTGGTATATATTACAGATTTGCAGCTATCATAACTTTCTTTTTTTTTTTTTTTTGAGATGGAGTCTCGCTCTGTCACCCAACTGGAGTGCAATGGCTTGATCTCGGCTCACTGCAACTTCCACCTCCCGGTTCAAGCAATTCTCCTGCCTCGGCCTCCCAGGTAGCTGGGATTACAGGTGCCTGCCACTATGCCTGGCTAATTTTTGTATTTTTGGTAGAGACGGGGTTTCACCGTGTTGGCCAGGCTGATCTCGAACTCCTGAGGTGATCCGCCCTCCTCGGCCTCCCAAAGTGCTGGGATTACAGGCGTGAGCCACTGCGCCCGGCCCATAGCTACTTTCTAAAATCAGAAGTTCTCAACTCAGAAAATCTGGTGGGTGTTTCCTTTTAGGAATGTAGTCATGACTTTGCAATGGAAAACAGTGGAAAAATGGGATTTGCTTTATAAAACTTTGATCTATTTCTAGCTTTTCTGAAACCTATTACTAAAGTCCCTCTTACTGTTGTTTAACATAGTCTTTTTTTTTTTTTTTTTTGAGACGAAGTTTTGTTCTTGTTGCCCAGGCTGGAGTACAATGGCGTGATCTCAGCTCACTGCAACCTCCATCTCCCGGGTTCAAGTGATTCTCCTGCCTCAGCCTCCTGAGTAGCTGGGATTACAGACATGTGCCACCATGCCCAGCTAATTTTATATTTTTAGTAGAGACAGGGTTTCTCCATGTTGGTCAGGCTGGTCTCAAACTCCTGACCTCAGGTGATCCACCTGCCTCGGCCTCCCAAAGTGCTGGGATTAAAGGCATGAGCCACCGTGCCGGGCCCTTACTGTTGTTTATTCCTATTTTCTCTCATTAGTCTTTAGCAGAGAACAGTCATTTACTTCTGTGAACATACTATCCTGGCCAAATGAGCTCTGGACTTCCTCTCTGTAGTGGGCAGACATGTGATTACACCTAGCATCTACTCTCTCTTCTGGTAACAACACCACCATGGTGTTCTTTTGGAGAAATATCCCTTTCTTACTCTCAGTCTGTGTGGTTTGAGTGGGCTAACTATACCCACTTTCTCCCCCTCCAGGTGTGAACTTGTATCCCAGGCTGGCCAGTTAGGATCTTCCATTCCATCCCCACCACCATGACTGGTTCAGGAACAGGGAATGAGATTCGATCCTGAAACCCACATTGACACTACTGGGAAAGATAAATTCCCCTCCCCACCACCCATTGAAGAGACTAATCTGGAGCTGCCAGTGGCCACCATGTGGAAAAAGCCCACACAAGAATGACACCAACACAGAGGGAGAGCCAGCCTGAGAGGGAGGGAGAAGAAGAAGAAGAGACCCGATGGCATCTTTTCAGCTCCGGGACCCAGGTGTACTCCACCCACTCGACTTTCTGGATAGAAAAGCCAATAAACACCCTCTAATGCTCATGCCAGTTGGACTGTTTTTCAATTAAAATAATCCTAACACACCCTTTTTCTGGTTAACAATGATTTTTCAGATTTTTTTTTTTTTTGCTTTTCCTATAATGCTAAACTTTAAACTCATTAGGGAGCTTTTAGTTCTCCCAATCTTCCATAAAAAGGTTCCCAAAGCAAAGCCCAGTTTCCTTGCTTCCCACAGTCCCAGATCTAATAGCAATTGTTTATCTTCCTGCTGGCCTGTTCCACAGACGGCTGCCAAATGGCTGGCTGTTTGAGTTTTACCTTCTAGGATACAGGTGCCACCTATGAGTTTATAAATCCCTGGAGAATAACAGCAGTTCCCCCTTTACCCACCAAGCAGTGAAGAGAGTCATACATGATGGTTAAGACTGTATAAAAATGAAAGGGATGAGATTTTGTGTGCTTGTTTTTATTTATTTCGAAAAAACTTTCTGTACTTAGACACTCTGTGGAAGCACGGCCATAACCTTCACATGACCATGGGCCCATCACACTTGATAATTCCTTTGTGACTTGAAAATGGGGTAATTTCTGGGTCAGCACAAGATTCAAGAAAACATCACACATCAATCCCTTTGGTAATGAGACCCAAAGGATTGTGTGAGAGAGACCTCTTTCTGCTCTGACCGTAGGAAACTAGCTATGCATTTTAGGATGTGGTGCAACAGATGAGATATAGAGAAGGTAAAAGTGAATCCAAACTGGGAAGAGTTCACAGACGCATTCTGAACTTTTTTTGGAGGCAGTGCGTAGAATATTGGTGAATTAACGTAACTAAAAAAATGTTAGGTGGCCAGGCGCGGTGGCTCATGCCTGTAATCCCAGCACTTTGGGAGGCCGAGGCGGGCGGATCACAAGGTCAGGAGATCGAGACCATCCTGGCTAACCCAGTGAAACCCCGTTTCTACTAAAAATACAAAAAATTAGCTGGGCGTGGTAGTGGGTGCCTGTAGTCCCAGCTACTCGGGAGGCTGAGGCAGGAGAATGGCGTGAACCCGGGAGGTGGAGCTTGCAGTGAGCCGAGATCATGCCACTGCACTCCAGCCTGGGCGACAGAGCAAGACTCCGTCTCAAAAAAAAAAAAAAAAAAATGCTAGGCTGGGTGCAGTGGCTCACGCCTGTAATCCCAGCACTTTGAGAGGCCGAGGCGGGTGGACCACCTGAGGTCAGGAGTTCGAGACCAGCCTGACCAACATGGTGAAACCCCCCTCTCTACTAAATACAAAAAATTAGCTGAGTGTGGTAGCAGGTGCCTGTAATCACAGCTACTTGGGAGGCTGAGACAGGAGAATCACTTGAACCCGGGAGGTGGAGGTTTCAGTAAGCCAAGATTGCACCATTGCACTCCAACCTGGGAAACAAGAGTGAAAACTCCATCTCACCAAAAAAAAAAAAAAGGCCAGGTGCGGTAGCTGACATCTGTAATCCCAGCACTTTGGGAAGCTGAGGTGGGTGGATCACGAAGTCAGGAATTTGAGACCAGCCTGGCCAATATGGTGAAACCCTGTCTCTACTAAAAATACAAAAATTAGCTGGGCGTGGTGGCGTGCGCCTGTAGTCCCAGCTATTCGGGAGGCTGAGGCAGGAGAATCTCTTGAATCCAGGAGGTGGAGGTTGCATTGAACCGAGATGGCGCCACTGCACTTCAGCCTGGGCGACAGAGTGAGACTCTGTCTCAAAAAAAAAAATGTTATTACGATAACTACATGTAACAAAACAGACTGTCAACTTTGTAAAATAACTGTTTTTTTTTCTTCCCCCAAGACTTCCCTGAAAGCCACACACATATTTTGAGCAAAACAGTGTTGACTTCAAGATGATCCCACAGCGTGTTACTCAGTGATTCTGAGTAGCAAAAGGAGTTTGGGTGTCGTGTACTTTTACTTAGTACTCTTGCATTAACAGGGAAGTCAGTCTAATTCTAAAATGTCTTTGCTAACTGGCTCTATCCCAGGGAACTGCTAAGCCATTCCTACCTCAAAACTAACCTGCCTCATTTCTCCTGGGCAGATAACAACTTCCCAAAATACCCACAGCAACCCGGAAAACCACCTACTCACTTGAAACTCACAGATATTTCTGCCAACAAAACTACAAGAAACACAAAAACCCACACATTGTATAATTCCATTGAAATGAAATGTCCAGAATAGGCAAATCTCTACATAGGAAAAGTAGATTTAGTGGTTACCTAGGGCTGTGGTAGTTTGAGAAAGCAGGGAGTGACTGCTAATAGTTACGAAATTTCTTTCTGGGGTGATAACAACATTCTAAAACAGGGGTCCCCAACCCCCAGGTTGCAGACTGTTACCGGGCATGGCCTGTTAGGAACGGGACCACACAGCAGGAGGTGAGCAGCAAGGGAGCATTATTGCCTGAGCTCTGCCTTCTGTCAGATCATTGGAGGCAACGGATACTCCCAGGAGTGTGAACCCTATTGTGAACTGCACATGCAAGGGATCTAGGTTGTGTGCTCCTTATGAGAATGGAAAGTCTGATGATCTGAGGTGGAACAGTTTCATCCTGAAACCATCCCCGCCCTCCCAACACCGTCCCGTCCATGGAAATATTGTCTTCCATGAAACCAGTCCCTGGTGCCCAAAAGGTTGGGGGCCATTGTTCTAAAATTCCAGCCTGGGCAACACAGCCAGACCCCATCTCTACAAAAATTTAAAAAATTAGCCAGATAGGCTGGGCACAGCGGCTCACACCTGTAATCCCAGCACTTCGGGAGGCTGAAGTAGGTGGATCACTTGCAGTCAGGGGTTTGAGACCAGCCTGGCCAACGTGGCAAAACCCCGTCTCTACTAAAAATACAAAAATTAGCAGGGCATGGTGGTGCATACGTGTATTCCCAGCTACTTGGGAGGCTGAGGCAAGAAAATTGCTTGAACCCAGAGGGCAGATGTTACAGTGAGCTGAGATCATGCCACTGCACTCCAGCCTGAGTGACAGAGCGAGACTGTCTCAAAAAAAAAAAAAAAAAAAAATTAGCCAGACATGGTGGTGCATGCCTCTAGTCCTAACTACTTGAGAGGCTGAGGCAAGTTGGTCACTTGAGCCCAGTAATTCAAGGTTTAGTGAGCTAGCACAACACCACCACACTCAAGCCTTTGTGACAAAGGGAGACCCTGTCTCAAAATTTTAAAAACTTCTAAAGTTGACTGTGGTGATGGTTACACACTCTGAAAATATACTAAAAACCAGTGCATTGTTTATTTCATTATTTATTTATTTATTTTATTTTATTTTTTTTTGAGATGGAGTCTCACATTGTTGCCCAGGCTGGCGTGCAGTGGTGTAATCTCAGCTCACTGCAACCTCTGCCTCCCGGATTCAAATGATTCTCCTGTCTCAGCCTCCCAAGTAGCTGGGACTATAGGCACGCACCACCACACTCGGCTAATTTTTTGTATTTTAGTAGAGATGGGGTTTCACCATGTTGGTCTGGCTGGGCAATCCACCTGCCTTGGCCTCCCAAAGTGCTGGGGTTACAGGCGTGAGCCACTGCAGCCGGCCTCATTTTTTATTTTTTAAGACAGAGTCTTGTTCTGTCGCCCAGGCTGGAGTGCTTTGGTATAATCACAGCTCACTGCAGCTTCAACTTCCTAGGCTCAAGTTATCCTCTCACTTCAGTATAGCTGGGACTATAGGTGTGTGCCACCACACATGGCTAATTTTGTTTATTTTTTGTGGAGACGAGGTCTTACTATGTTACCTAAGCTGGTCTCAAACACCTGGACTCAAGTGATCCCCCCTCCCCAGCCTCCCAAAATATTGGGATTACAGGCGTGAGCCACTACACCTGGTCTGAATTGTTCACTTTAAGTGGATCAATGGTATGGTATGTGACTTATATCTCAAAAAGTTGTTATTAAGAAACTATAAGAAAATATTTCATATCTGCCCTTTTAGGTTTTTATTTCTTATTTTAAAAATTTTATTATTATTATTGTTATTTTGAGACAGAGTTTTGCTCTGTCTCAGGCTGGAGTGCAGTGGTACAATCTCAGCTCACTGCAACCTCCAACTCCCAGATTCAAGCAATCTTCCTGCCTCAGCCTCCAGAGTAGCTGGGATTACAGGTGCATGCCACCACACCTGGCTAATTTTGTATTTTTAGTAGAGACGGGGTTTCACCATGTTGGCCAGGCTGGTCTTGAACTCCTGAGCTCAAGTTACCTGCCTGCCTTGGCATCCCAAAGTGCTGGGATTACAGGCGTGAGCTACCACGCCTGGCAGGTTTTTAAAATAGAAGAGAAAGGAAGAAAATAATATAGCATATCTTAAATATAAAGGGAAATCCACTGCCAAGAGCAGAATATCAGCTTCCTTTTGTATCCGAATCTGTTTTGGTTGCCCCTGCAGGGTGAGAGTAGAAAGAGGGGGAAAATGAATTGTAACCCGTTACTTGATTAAAAAAGAAAATCAAAATTAGCCAGGCATGGTGGTGTGTACCTGTAATCCCAGCTACTCAGGAGGCTGAGGCAGGGGAATTGCTTGAACCAGGGAGATGGAGGTTGCAGTGAGCTGAGATCGTGCCACTGCACTCCAGCCTGGGTGACAGAGCGAGACTCCATCTCAAAAAATAAAAAAAACAAACAAAAAAAGAAAATCAAGTATTTTGCATTTCATAGAATGTCTTGCATTCATAAGAAAATGGTGTATTACATTTAAAAGTCTAAATTCTGTGGTAAGCCAGAAATTCTACTCTAGAAATCTATCCTAATAGGTATATTAACACAGCAGGAAATCACTTTATGTACAAAATCATCACTGTAGCACTATTCGTAATAGAAAAGACTGGAAACAAATTTGCATCAACAGAAAATTGATTAAGTGATGGTCATTCATACAGTGGAATATAAGGCATCCATTTAAAAAATGAATAAGGGCAGGTGCAGTGGCTCACGCCTGTAATCCCAGCATTTGAGAAGCTGAGGTGGGTGAAAGAATCACTTGAGGCCAGGAATTCGAGACTGGCCAGGCCAACATAGCGAAATCCCGTCTCTACTGAAAAAAAAAAATTAGCTGTGCACGGTGATGCATCCCTAGAATCCCAGCTACTCGGGAGGCTGAGGCAGGAGAATCACCTGAACCCAGGAGGCGGAGGTTGCAGTGAGCCAAGATCGCGTCACTGCACTCCAGCCTAGGCGACAGAGCGAGACTCTGTCTCAAAAAAAAAAAAAAAAAAAAATTAATATGTTTTTAAATAACTGTCATGAAATGAATTCTAAGAGCTATTGTTAAGTAAAAAGCAAGATGCAAAATCGTCTCTATTGAATTCAACTATTTGTGTACAAAGGGGAAATATACACTCATTGAATAATTCTGGAAGGATACTCAAGAAACTAATAATATTGATTATTTCTGGGGAGGGAAACTGGGTGACAAGGGGATAAATGTGAGAGAGAGAGACTTTCTATTTTTGTATCTTTTAGTAAGTTAAAAATTTTTTTTACTTTTAATTTTTTAATTGGCAAATAATAATTGTACATATTCATAGGGTACATGGTGATGTTTCAATAGATATAATATAGCGATCAGATCAGGGTAACTAGCATATTCATCACTCAAATGTTTACCATTTCTCTGTGTTGGGAATATTTTGAATTTTGAATGATATAAATAAATAAAATGTTTTAAAAAATCTGTGATAAATTTTAAAATTTATGTTTAAAACATTTTAACAAATTTTGTCTTTCAAAGTAGAACAGCTAGTCAGCTGTTCTACTTTGAAAGTAAAAAGAATTTGCAACTAACACAGCAGAATGACCACAAACATTTGCATCCTCTTTCTCCTGAAATCTCACTAAAGTGACAAGGTGTAAAAAAGGTATGAATCCACAACCAAGGAAAAAGACAATGGGATAGGTGTCAAAGGCTGAAGTCTGGGTAAATAGAACAAAACTAGAGCAAAATTATGATATGTGCATGATAGAGTTGCTGGATCTTTGGAAAATATATCAGTATGTACGCAGAAAAGGAAGCAAATGTGCAGGGAAGGCTGACGACTGCACTAGGCTCAGCACTGAATAACATCCACATGGTCAGCAGTAAACAGTGCCCAATGATTTAGCCAAAAGTTGTGATGGGAAATGGCAGAAGTTGTTTGAGCATGTGTGTACCTATGCGTGTGCACCTATGTGTGTGCACTAGGTCCACATCTAACATGTAGAAAGTGAGTAGGTCATGTCCAAAATTTTTTAAATCAAGAGAGGTCTGTGTAAGCACTTTATTTATAAACAGAGAAATAATTACTAGAAGAAACTACTTTAAAAAGGAGGGGTATGAAGATGGCAATCTCTGGGGATTGGAACTAGGGTGTAAAAAGTAGGGCAAGGGGCTGGGCATGGTGGTTCACACCTGTAATCCCAGCACTTTGGGAGGCCGAGGTGGGCGGATCACTTTAGGGTCAGGAGTTCAAGACCAGCCTGGCTAATATGGTGAAATCCTACTAAACATACACAAATTAGCCAGGCGTGGTAGCCCACATCTGTAATCCCAGCTACTATGGAGGCTGAGGTGGGAGGATCGCTTGAACCTGAGAGGTGGAGGTTGCAGTGAGCTGAGATTGCATCACTGCACTGTATCCTGGGTGAGGTGACAGAGTGAGACTCTGTTTCAAAAAAAAAAAAAGCACAAGGACAAGCTTTTTTTTTTTTTTTTGAGACGGAGTCTTGCTGTCGCCCAGGCTGGAGTACAGTGGCGCGATCTCGGCTCACTGCAAGCTCTGCCTCCCGGGTTCATGGCATTCTCCTGCCTCAGCCTCCCGAGTGACTGGGACTACGGGCGCCCGCCACCATGCCAGGCTAATTTTTTTTTTTTTTTCATATTTTGAGTAGAGACAGGGTTTCACCATGTTAGCCACAGAGATGGTCTCGATCTCCTGACCTCGTGATCCACCCGCCTCGACCTCCCAAAGTGCTGGGATTACAGGCATGAGCCACCGCGCCCGGCCGCTTTTTTGACTCTTTATTTTATTATTATTATTTTTTTGAGACAGAGTTTTGCTCTTGTTGCCCAGGCTGGTGTGCAATGGCGCAATCTTGACTCACCACAACCTCTGCCTCCCAGGTTCAAGCAATTCTCCTGCCTCAGCCTCCTGAGTAGCTGGGATTATAGGCATGCACTACCATGCCTGGCTAATTTTGTATTTTTAGTAAAGAAAAGGTTTCTTCATGTTGGTCAGGTCTTGAATTCCCGACCTCAGGTGATCGGCCCTCTTTTTCGACTCTTTAAAGACTATGTTCAAAGTAATCAATAAAAATAAGTTCATTTAAAAAACTAGAAAGAAGATATGAAAATGTATATTAATCTCTAGTGGAAGCTCTAATTAAAGAGAATAACAAATGATGGTTAACAGAAGTGGGAAGGCACAATAAAGTTTTCCTCCTGATTAAGAAAAGAGAATCACCAGTCTGATTGGCCTCTCTTGCATCTCTAAGTCACAAAGATAATAAAGAACTCTAAAGAGAAGGAAATACCACCCTTTAGCAGGATACTTCAGTTGTTACGTATGTGAGACCTTTTATTATGATGGAAGCTAACAATAATTTCAGCTCTAAGAATTCAGGAAGTTGCACAAACTGGGGAAGTTGGTTATTAAATAAAGGAAGTATGGGGAACTCAACTGAATAGCTGGGCTGTCTTTGTAATTAGAGTAAATGATTACGTCTAGCATGCCAATTTGATATTTAGCTTCTCTAAAGCTCCAAAGTTTTGTTAACTGTGAACAGGCCCCAACAAATTTATAAAGATTCAGGATGAGTGAATGTTACTTAGGCCTGAGGAAAAAACAGGGTTAGACGAAAGAGCTACCGAAGCATCCTGCTAAAGGGTGATATTTTCTTCTCTTCAGAATTCTTTATTATCTTTGTGACTTAGAGCTGCAAGAGAGGACAATTACAGATTGGTGATTATCTTAATCAGCAGGAAAATTTATTTGTGCCTGACCACTTCTCTTAACTATCATTGACTGTTTTCTTGAAAATTTGTAAGAACCATACCCAGTGTCTACCTCTTTAAATCAGTATCTAAATAATATATCTGAACACTAAGATGATGCCAATATATTTCCTTAAAGTGTTTTCTAATTCCCATCTTGGAGGGAAAAAAGTAAAAACACGTGAATAATCTATATTTACTGACAGCCATATTTAGTGGAAGCCATTTGGATGATGAAATATTATTAATAAATACAAACACAACAGCAAAGACACTAATACTGAAGGTTTTCAATATGCCTTGTACAGTCGTAAGCACTTTACATGCATTCATCCATTAATGTTCCCAACAATCATTTGAAGTGGATACCACTGTAATTCCTTGAGAGAGAAGCTGAGGCACAAAGAGTTGAGGAACGGAGGTGAAAATATGGCCCAAGATGACAGAGCTGCCATGTGGCGGGGCAGGACTGCAAACCCGCATGCTCAGTCACTCTGCTACATGACAGCGCACCTGGCAGCAGTGCCTCGGAGAAAATAACTACCGGAATCATACTAGCTTTGCAAATCCTAACCCTCAAGATAGCAAACTTCACAGTTTCAAGTATATAAGGTCAGCCTCACTCCAAAAGAAATCTTTCTCATGGACTCCAAGGTCAGCATAAGGAGAGGAACTCTGCATCCCACATGCACAGCCAGCATCCCCCACTGTGGCTAGCTGGGCTTCACAGGGACTGCTTTGTTCCTAGTTGATATCTTTGTTTAGTATGTGGAAAAGGGAGGTAGTGATGTTAATGAAATTCACGAATGATTCTAACTTGAGGTGCTGCCAACATTAGGGATAACGGAAAAGCCATATGAAAGAAAATGAAGAACTTGGATTTTAATGAGTTTCAGTTTTTTAACCAGTGATTCTCAAACACCTCCACTCCACAACATCTTTATAGGCTACTGCAAGCCCCCTAAATCTCTTGTGCTACTACACTCAAACAAATAAAACAAATCCAAAAACACAGCTGGAGACACAGTGGCTCATGCCTGTAATCCCAGCACTATGGGAGGTTGAGGTGGGTGGATCACTTGAAGCCAGGAGTTTGACTAGCCTGGCCAACATGGTGAAACCCCGTTTCTACTAAAAATACAAAAATTAGCCAGGCATGGTGGCGTACACTTGCAATCCCAGTTTCCTGGGAGACTGAGGCAGAATTGCTTAAACCCCGGGAGGAAGAGGTTGCAGTGAGCCAAGACTGTGTCACTGCACTCCAGCCTGGGTGACAGAGCGAGACTCTGTCTCAAATAAAATAAATAAATAAGAATAATAATTAATTAAATAAAAAATAATTTAAAAAACAGCACTGGAAAGCTTACAGTCAGCTGTGCTGGGCTGCCTCTATCAAATACCTGTGAATGAATCCCAGAGGGGAAGGAGTGAGAGAGCAGAAGTCAGGAAAGCTGTGCCTTAAGAACACCATGATGATCAAGGTTCTGGAGTACGTACAGAAAAAAAAAAAAAAAAAGCTGCCCTAATACTGACTGAAGGCATAAAGAAGGAAGGGAAAGAAAACGGCAATTACTGCTGCATTGAAAGTAATCACTGCCCTAAGCATTCAGCGAAACTTATAATTCAGCTGATCACGGGTAAGAAATAAAGAAGCCAGGCGTCATTCATTTAATTTTCTTTATGTAGCTTTCAAAGAGTAAAAAAGCACATAAATATTCTCTTTATGCTATCAAAAGAAACAGTTACCAGTAAAAAGAAAAGAGGGGCTTCGGATATCCAAGAAAATAATGGGTACTTCTCTGTCCGCCAAATTTAGGTAAGAAAACAAAACATTCCTCACACCTCCTGAAAGCCCTGAGATGGGTGGTCCAGGTAGGAGGAGAACCACCTGAACTTCAGGTTTATTTTTCCCCTAAGTTTTCTACTGACATTTCACCTCAAGCCTATGCAAAGAAAAGCTGCAGAATCAGCAGAGCTGACTGACTTGTCAGGTTCTCACTAGTTTAGAAAAAGCCAAAGGCTTCCACGGAGAGTTGCCACCTGGCCTAAAGTTCTGGCAAGACAGGGCTGATCTTTCACATCCTCCAAGTGTCCTGAGAAAAGCTTGGTGGGCTAGGAGATGTGCCCTGTGTCTGGGGCACCAGCCAGTGACAGAGGCAAGGTGGAAACTCTTCCTCAGTTCTCCATTTTTTCCTTATTTATTTTTATTTTTATTTTATTTTATTTTGAGATGGAGTCTTGCTCTGTAATCCAGGCTGGAGTGCAGTGGCGTGATCTTGGCTCACTGCAACCTCCACCCCCCAGGTTCAAGCAATTCTCCTGCCTCAGCCTCCTGAGTAGCTGGGATTATAGGTGCACACCACCACACCCAGCTAACTTTTATATTTTTAGTAGAGACAGGGTTTCACCATGTTGGTCAGGCTGGTCTCGAACTCCTGACCTCATGATCCACCCACCTTGGCCTCCCAAAGTGCTGGGATTACAGTCGTGAGCCACCGCACTCGGCCCATTTTTTCCTTATTTAACCCTAACAGATGTCTTGATGACATGATTAGGCAAGTCTTTGTGATAGGTGCTCCAGGCTAGCAGTGGCTTGGAAAAAGCGATCATTGTGAAATGAGCAAACATGACATGCAGGACTTAAAACTGTAGTGTCACATGGAAACCAAACAGAACTACTGTAAAACTCTTCCAAAGAATTCTTTCCTAAAATATGAAAATACACACATAAACACTCTGCCTATAATTTCAGGGAGTTATCCAACCTAATCAGGCACCCTGTAGGGTTCTACACAGGGGTTAACTTGACATTAACCCTTCAGGTTAAAATCCTGTGTTTAGTGAGATATAACAGGACACTTGTTTTTTTAAATTTAGAGACAGGGTCTTACTCTGATAACCAGACTGGAGTGCAGTGGCATGATCATGGCTCACTGCAACCTTGAACTCCTGGCCTCAGATGATCCTCCTGCCTCAGGCTCCTGAGTAGCTGGGACCACAGGCAAGCACCACCACACCCTGCTAAAATATTAAAAAATGCTTCGTAGAGACAGGACCTTGCTATGCTGCCTAGGCTGGTCTTGAACTCCTGGTCTCAAGTAATCCTCCCCCATCTCAGTCTCCCACAGTGCTGGGATCACAGGTATAAGCCATTGTGCTCATCCTGGACATCTGTAAATAGAGGGAAAGCCTCTTAAAAATCTGTTTCTGCAATTAAAAGAGGTTTTTTTTCTTTTTCTTTCCTTTCTTTTCTTTCCTTCCTCCCTCCCTCTCTCTCTCCCTCCCCTGCTTCCTTCCTTCCTCTCTCTTTTTTTTTTTTTTTTTGAGACAGAGTTTCGCTCTTGCTGCCCAGGCTGGAGTGCAGTGGCGCGATCTCAGCTCACTGCAACCTCCGCCTCCCAGGTTCAAGCAATTCTCCTGCCTCAGCCTCCCAAGTAGCTGAGATTACAGGCATGCACCACCACGCCCGGCTAATTTTGTGGTTTTAGTAGAGACAGGGTTTCTCCATGTTGAGGCTGGTCTCGAACTCCTGACCTTAGGTGATTTGCCCGCCTCACCCTCTCAAAGTGCTGGGATTACAGGCGCGAGTGACTGCACCCGGCTCATACACTGAATTTTTAATTTAATTTGTTTTTTTTTTTTGAGATGGAGTTTCCCTCTTCTTGCCCAGGCTGGAGTGCAATGGCGCAGTCTTGGCTCGCTACAACCTTTGCCTCCCGGTTCAAGTGATTCTCCTGCCTCAGCCTCCCAAGTAGGTGGGATTACAGGGGACTGCCACTGCACCCGGCTAATTTTTGTATTTTTAGTGGAAACGGGGTTTCACCATGTTGGCCAGGCTTGTCTCGAACTCCTGACCTTAAATGATCTACCCTCCTCAGCCTATCAAAGTGTTGGGATTACAGGTGTGAGCCACTGCATGTGGCCTGAATTTTTAATTTTAGTTATTCTACTTTTTACTTTAAGACTTTCCATTTCATTTTTCAAATCTATTAGATAATTGTTGTTTCCCATTCCCTGAAGATATTTTCAAACTTATCTTGTATTTCTCTAAATATAATAAGTATGGTTACTTCATAATTTCTATGTGACAATTCCAACATCTAAAGTCTTATGCTTGCTGGGCATGGTGACTCACGCCTGTAATCCCAGAATTTTGGGAGGCCAACGTGGGCAGATGATTTGAGGTTGGGAGTTCGAGACCAGCCTGGCCAACATGGTGAAACCCAGTCTCTACTAAAAAATCCAAAAATTAGCCAAGCATGGTGCTGGGCGCTTGTAATCCCAGCTATTCAGGAGGCCGAGGCACGAGAACTGCTTGAACCAGGGAGGTGGAGGCTGCGGTGAGCCAAAATCGCACCACTGCACTCCAGGCTGGGTGACAGAGCGAGACACTGTCTCAAAAAAAAAAAAAAAAAATAGTGTTATGCTTGGTTATTTTGTGACTATGTACTAATTATTAGCCTTAAATAATTACATGGAGAAGGAAGAAATGGGGAATTATTGCCTAATGTTATAGAGTTTCTGTGTGGGCTGATGAGAAAGTTTTAGAAATAGTGATAATGACTACATTATCAATACAACTAATGACACTGAATTGTAGATTTTTAAATAATTAAAATGGCCAACTTTATGTTGCTATACATGCATGCATGCATGCATACACACATAAAACCGCAATAAAATATTTTTTAATTATTAAAAAATTTAAAAATTAAAGTAAAAATAAAAAATGACAATGAGGATTCTTCGAGGTCTAGGATGAAGGGGCCTTCTTCCATAGGAGATATGCTTTCATTTCTGCAAGACTCTTATAGACACTACAGGTATAGAAACATTTTAAATTCTAATTCCCTGCTTGAGATTTCCTGAATCCCAATAAAGCAAGTCAGCAGAAGAGGTCCATTCCGTGATCATAACCTCTCAAATACAAGTTTTCTTTTTCTTTTCCTTTTTTTTCTTTTGAGACAGAGACTTACTCCGTCGCCCAGGCTGGAGTGCAGTGGCGCAATCTCGGCTCACTGTAACCTCTGCCTCCTGAGTTCAAGTGATTCTCCTGCCTCAGCCTCTCGAGTGGCTGGGATTACAGGTGCCTGCCACCATGACTGGCTAATTTTTGTATTTTTAGTAGAGTCAGGGTTTTACCATATTGGCCAGGCTAGTCTCAAACTCCTGACCTCAGGTGATCCAACTGCCTCGGCCTCCCAAAGTGCTCAGATTACAGACATGAGCCACTGTGCCTGGCCTCAGATAGAGGTTTTCTTTCCTTATTCCCTCCTGCTCTGCTTAGTGCCAAGACAAGTCTACTCCCAGACCCTTGGGAACAGGTGAAGGTACTTGAAGGTACATCTGGAGGCGTATTCCTTAGCGGGTCTAAGCTTAATGTTGGAGGGCCTTCTGTTAGACTCCTACTTCAAACTTGGTCTGGGCTTTCATTTCTGCAATGTTGCCCTTCAAAGCCATGAAACCCACAGCTTAATTTCAAGCAAATGCCCTCAGAGTAAATGCAGGTTCTTATGTTCAGTTCACCTCATAGAGTTCTGGTTTTCTCTTTAGATGCTGGCTTGGTTATTCCCTGTTTTCTTATGAGCTCTTTAATGCTTTTAAAGTGTTTTAAATATGTTACCCTATGTAATAGTTGTTTTTATTTTTTGTTTTGTTTTTTTGAGACAGAGTCTCACCCCATTGCGCAGGCTGGAGTGCAGTGGTGCAATCTCAGCCCACTGCAACCTCCACCTCCTGAGTTCAAGCAATTCTCCTGCCTCACCCTCCCGAGTAGCTGGGATTACAGGTGCCCACCACCATGCCCAGCTAATTTTTGTATTTTTAGTAGAGATGGGGTTTCACCATGTTGGCCAGGCTGGTCTTGATCTCCTGACCTCAGGTAATCCTCCAGCCTCGGGCCTCCCAAAGTGTTGGGATTACAGATGTGAGCCACCATGCCTGGCTTATATAATAGTTATTTTTAGCTGAGTTATCTCATTATTACTGGAAGTGGAAGGCAGATATCTATTTTTTTATAGAATATGTATAGTTTGAATTTAAGATTTAATGTTTTAATCTACCTGACAAATATGCTGCATGTTAAGGTTTCTTTGTATTACTAATAGTATATCAGACTTTCCACTGATAAATTCTATCATGCTAAACAAGTATATTCACTCCTGAATCTTTCTCCTTTATACTGTTGTCTCACTGAGTAATTTAAATTGAATTTATTTTCACATTTTCACGTACAATTTTTGACCCAGTGACCCAACTGATCGTCTCAGCATCTTAATAAGTGCTGCAAGTAACAGCTTCTAATAAGTATGAGTGAAAGATCAAACACCACTGTGCCAATGCAGTCACAGTGAGGAGCAGAGCAGCGTTGCTCTATGAGCTGTCATTTTCCTTGTATGTCCCCTGTTATGAATGGCATCTGGACAGATATATCCCGGATGAAATTCTGCTCCTAGCTTAACCATTTGGTTGCTGAATTGCAAGACAAATAATAGATACATTCAATTTTATCTAATTAGTATACTCTGACTTAATAATTTTGCAAACTGAATCACTTTACAAACTAAATATAGAGAAGTTATTATTATGGTCTGGTTTCCAAGCAACGATTTCATTAAGAAAAGCTCCACTTGGGAAAAACATCTGTTTGTCAGTTAGGTTTCTGCTGTCATATAATTTCACAGTGAAAAAGCCATAGTCACTCTGTGCTTTAGTAATCCCTAGTTGTGAAAAGGTCAACGGGGGGTACTACACCGAGGGAAGCCATCTGTTTCAATCTGTACTAGTCCCTGAACCTTGTTGTCATGAAACAATTCAGTTTCCCTAAACAGCCATGTAATTTTAAAAACATTCTCTTCTTATTATAAAATCAATACGTGTTCATATTAGAAAACATGAAAAATATAAAAGACACAAAGAAGAAAATAAAAATCACCTGAGTTTTTGATGCCTTCATGTTAGATCTCATTTGAAAATGGATTCCACCGCTAAAAAATTACTTAAAACCCACTGGCCTAAAATAATGCCATATGGTTTTTTACCTTTTTAATCTGCAATTAGGATGTTTTTCATAATGGTTAAGGGCTGTGTGTTGGACAACCAAGCTCAGAAATTTGTACAGATATCCAAACATTCTCATTGCATTTTATGAAAGTAGGCTTAAGGAGAGACTGAATTCTCCATCAGTGGTGAAGAGGTGAGGAAGGGTGTGTATGTGGCATGACACATGAAATGTGGTATAAAACTTTCTCGCTAGGCACGTACATAGCCTGACAGTGAGTTCTCAAAACTTTTTTTTTCTTTTGAGCAGCAGAACTTTGTTTTTCCATGAAATCTTAAGAGAGGGCTTGATGAAAGAGAGAAAAGGAGAGCCATCTGGTTAGAGTGGGTTGCCTGGTGCTCCAAACCCACTCACCCATGCCCCTCCTTACTGATCCTAAGGGTCTGGAGGGCACAGGCGTTCATGCAGTTCTTGCCTCCTGCTCCTCCCTGCTGTAGTCCTGCTGCTTTGCTGTTTCGCATCCTACAACACTCTTTCCTCCTTCCTTTTTTTTTTTTTTTTTTTGAGATGGAGTCTTGCTCTGTTGCTCAGGCTGGAGTGTAGTGGCACGATCTCAGCTCACTGCAACCTCTGCTTCCTGGGTTGAAGCAATTCTCCTGCCTCAGCCTCCCAAGTGGCTGGGATTACAGGCACACACCACCACACCCAGCTAACTTTTCTTTTTTTTTGTATTTTTAGTAGAGACGAGGTTTCACCATGTTGGCCAGGCTGGTCTCGAACTCCTGACCTCAAGTGATCCGCCCACCTCGGCCTCCGAAAGTGCTGGGATTACAGGCATGAGCCACTGTGCCTGGTCTCCTCCCTTCTTTACTAGGTTAATTCCTAACTACCCACAGATCCTCACTGATGGGTTACTGCCTCGTTCCCTTGCTGTCAGGGAAAATGTCCCTAAAACATGTTTAGTGAAGCAATTAAATACATCTTAATTTCATGGTTTCTGGGGCTCATTTCAAGTCCTTCTCCTCCTATTCATATAGACTAGCTGTCACAAAGGCGGGTTTCACGACCAAGAAGACAGTATGAGATACCTCCAGGTAGAGTCAGTTGCTTAAATGTCTACTTTACAAGCTATTAAGGAGGTCTAAGTATCTTCCCTACAGAACGGCTATTTAAATTTTGCCCTGGAGCCACCCTTTATCTAGTAAAGTTGGAATCTGAAGGCAAGTTAAGGAGGATGGAGTTAGTGAGAGAACACCATGTACCTTTTATTTAGAGCACCTGTGTCAAAACCATGTTTTACATTTGTGTGATTTTGTATCATTTGCTCTTCTCCAACTGTAAACTCCATGAAGGCAAGACATGACTGTTTTTCTCAGTGTTGTACCTTGCACAGCACCCTCAAACATAGCAGTGCTCAATAAATATCTGTTGAGGCGGGTGCAGTGGCTCACGCCTATAATCCCAGCACTTTGGGAGGCCGAGGCAGGTGTATCACCTGAGGTCAGGAATTCGAGATCAGCCTGGCCAACATGGCGAAACCCTGTCTCTGCTAAATACAAAAAACTAGCCAGGCGTGGTGGTGCGTGCCTGTAATCCCAGTTACTCAGGAAGCCGAGGCAGGAGAATCGCTCGAACCTGGGAGGCAGAGGTTGCAGTGAGCCAAGATTGTGCCACTGCACTCCAGCTTGGGAGACAGAGCAAGACTCCGTCTCACACACACAAAATAATAATAATAATAATAATAATAATAATAATAATAATAAAAAATACCTGTTGAGTGAATGAACATTTTAAGCCATTAACAACAACAACAAAAAGAAAACCCTAATTGCCAAAGAAAATATTTTACAATTCTCTTTTTGTCCCTATTTAAAGGTTATCAATAGTGGAAAACAAAAGTTGAACACAAAGTACAAAAGTGATTCTAAAACAGCTTTCTCCTAAGAAACACCTTAGCAATCATGTCCCAGCAGGTGGACAGAGAGATGACCTAATGAGGTCTTTGGCAGCTCAAGGGGTTGTGATTCATTCCCTGAGGCTCAATTCATTCCCAACCTTCAATCCTCCTCTGGGGCAGGAGAGATACCACAAGGTCAGGAAGCACAAAAGCCTAATGTAAAAATCTAAAAATGTGTTGCCCAAACTGTACAGACACCATTTAAGTTTACCTTCCACCACTGCCAAGTTCTCAACGTGACCTGAGAGGGGGTAATTGATGCTTCATTCAGTTAAAAATTGTAAAGTTATGATTCACCAACAAAAGGAACTATGTCAGTGTTAATAAAAAATATAATTGGGCTTACTAAGTGTGTGAACAGCTTCAAGTATCATCTTAATCACATCTGGTGAGATTAGGAATTTTAATTTGTATTTGAGATGAAGGGTGACATAGGCTGCTTGCTCTTTAGTTGGGGAGGGAAACACAAAAGCAGGGTGCACCTCTAGCTGATACTGCAATAAAGCTCCAGTAAAAACCATGGATTACTTAGAGAGTGTGGGATGCTGTATTTAAGGGGAAGTCTGAAGAGGGACTTGCTGTTTTACTTACAAGCTCTCTCACTACTCCATCCTCCTTAACTTGCCTTCAAATTCCAACTTTACTAGAGAAAGGGTGGCTCCAGGGCAAAATTTAAATCGCTGTTCTGCAGGGAAGGTACTTAGACCTCCTTAATAGCTTGTAAAGTGGACATTTAAGCAACTGACTCTTTACCTGGAGGTATCTCATGTTGCCTTCTTGGTCATGAATCCTGCCTTTGTGACAGCTAGTCTATATGAATAGGAGGTGAGGGACTTTAAAGGAGCCCCAGAAGCCATGAAATTAAGAAGTATTTAATTGCTTCACTGAAAATGTCATGATCCATGGTTCCATGGTTTAATTTTACCATCCGTAAGAGCAGAGGCTGGCCAGGTGTGGTGGCTCACGCCTGTAATCTCAGCACTTTGGGAGGCCGAGGCGGGTGGATCACAAGGTCAGGAGATCGAGACCATCCTAGCTAACACGGTGAAACCTCGTCTCTACTAAAAATACAAAAAATTAGCTGGGCGTGGTGGCGGGTGCCTGTAGTCCCAGCTACTCAGGAGGCTGAGGCAGGAGAATGGTGTGAACCGGGAAGGCAGAGCTTGCAGTGAGCTGAGATCACGCCACTGCACTCTAGCTTAGGCGATAGAGCGAGACTCTGTCTCAAAAAAAAAAAAAAAAAAGAACAGAGGCCATGGTGTTGTGACAAAGGTGAGAAAATGCAATGGAAAAAGGAAGGAAGTACAGAGGCATAAATAAGGGCCTTGGCTTTGGAGTTGAATCCAGCCTCTATTACATACTGGTTGGCCAAGCAGTTGGCCTCTTAGCCCTGGTTTCTTTGTCTGAAAAATGGGAGATGAAGATACTGACTCCTATACCTTGCCTTCATGCCCATTTTGCTCCACTAACAACCTGAACTGCTTCCCTTCTGTTATACTTTATATTTGCCCAACCCCCCCACCCTGCCTTTTTTTTTTGAGACAGGGTCTCTGTCACCCAGGCTGGAGTGCAGTTGTATGATCACAGCTTGCTGCAGTCTTGACCTCTTGGGCTCAAGTGATTCTCCCACTTCAGCCTCCAGAGTAGCTGGGACTATAGGCATGCGCTACCACACCCGGCTAATTTTTAAAATTTTTATAGAGACAGGATTTTGCCATGTTGTCCAGGCTGGTCTTAAACTACTGGGCTCAAGTGATCGTCCACATCGACCTCCCAAAGTGCTGGGATTACAGGCAGCAGCCACAGCACCTGGTCTGGCCCCACTCTTGAACATCTTCCTACCTTTGCTTTTCCCTCAGCTTCAATCCCCTCACACTCATTTGAGTGTCTAAATCCTGCCCACCCATCTTTCATAGTCCTGAGAGCTCCACAAAAAACAACAGTACTGTTCTGAGTTTTTAACGTTATTTTTAAATTTTTTAAATTTACTTTTTTTTTGAGACAGAGTCTTGCTCTATTGCCCAGGCTGGAGTGCAACGGTGCCACATCAGCTCACTGCAACCTCCGCCTCCCAGGCTCAAGCGATTCTCCTGCCTCAGCCTCCTGAGCAGCTGGGATCACAGGTGCCCGCCACCACACCTGGCTAATTTTAGTACTTTTAGTAGAGATGGGGTTTCACCATGTTGGCCAAGCTGGTCTCGAACTCCTGAACTCGTGATCGACCCACCTCAGCCTCCCAAAGTGCTGGGACTACAGGTGTGAGCCACCGCGCCCATCCTAAATTTTTTTTTTAAAACAGAGTCTCGCTCTGTCGCCCAGGCTGGAATACAGTGGCTCGATCTCGGCTCACTGCAACCTCCGCCTCCCAGGTTCAAGCGATTCTCCTGCCTCAGCCTCCAGAGTAGCTGGGATTATAGGAACCCATACTATGCCCAGCTAATTTCGTATTTTTCGTAGAGATGGGGTTTCACCATGTAGGACCAGGCTGGTTTCAAACTCCTGACCTCAGGTGATCTGCTTGCCTCGGCCTCCCAAAGTGTTGGGATTACAGGCATGAGCCACCACGTGTGGCCTTTAATTTTTTTAAGTGTACAATTCAGTTAGTTTTGGTATATTTACCAGGCTGTGCAATAATCCCCACTATCTAATTCCAAAACATTTTCATCTCCTCACAAAGAAACCTCATATCCATTATCAGTCACTCCTTACTCCTCCATCCCCCACATCCTCTGACAACTATTACTCTACTTTCTGAATTTATACATTTGTCTGTTTTGGACATTTCATTCATATAGGAATCATACAACACATGGCCTTTTGTGTCTGGCTTCTTTTCCTTACCATATTTTCAAATTCATTCATGTTGCAGTATGAATCAATAGTTCATTCCTTTTTACTGCCAAATAATATTCCACTGTGTACATACATCAGATGTTATGAATCCATTCATCAGGCGGTAGATATTAATATGTATGTTGTTTCAATTTTTCAGCTATTATAAATAATGCCTATATATATATATAAATATAAACTTTTGTGTGGACATATGTTTTCATTTCTCATGGGTATATACCTAGGAGTGGAACTGATAGGTCACATGATAACCATGTTTAACCTTTTGAAAATGGCCAGACTATTTTTCAAAGCAACTGTACCATTTTACATTTCTACCGGCAACATTTCTTCACATCCTCATAATTTGTATTATTTTAAAGTAAGCTTTTTTTTTTTTTCTTTGAGACAGAGTTTCGCTCATCTCCCAAGCTAAAGTGCAATGGTGCAATCTCGGCTCACTGCAACCTCTGCTTCCCGGGTTCAAGCGATTCTCCTGCCTCAGCCTCCCAAGTAGCTGGGATTACAGGCACTGACAATCATGCCCGGCTAATTTTTGTCTTTTTAGTGGAGACAAAGTTTCACTATGTTGGCCAGGCTGGTCTGAAACTCCTGACCTCTAGTGATCTGCCTGCCTCGGCCTCCCAAAGTGCTGGGATTACAGGTGTGAGCCATCATGCCTGGCCAAGGTAAGCTATTTTTAAATGTCATTTATTGGCACCAGAAATACAACAGATCTCAAAAGTTCTATACAGAAAGCTACGTGCTTACTTAACTCACGCTCTCAGTAAACTGGATAAATCCCAGGATTGACTTCTTTCTTTCTTTCTTTCTTTTTGAGACGGAGTTTCACTATTGTTGCCCAGGCTAGAGGGCAATGGCGCGATCTCGGCTTACCGCAACCTGCCCCTCCCAGGTTCAAGCGTTTCTCCAGCCTCAGCCTCCCAGGTAGCTGGGATTAGAGGCATGCACCACCACGCTCAGCTAATTTTGTATTTTTAGTAGAGACAGGGTTTCTCCATGTTGGTCAGGCTGGTCTCGAACTCCCGACCTCAGGTGATCCGCCCACCTTGGCCTCCCAAAGTGCTGGGATTACAGGCGTGAGCCACCGCACCCAGCCACCCAGGATTGATTTCTGAAGCCTCTTTCCTAATGCTCCTAAAACAATGCTGATACTTTCAATGCTGAAACACTAATGATTGTCTGCAGGAAGAAGGGTGGGCAGTGTGTGAGGTAATACGTACTCACAGTCCATGTGAAAGATGAGTTTCAAAGATACACACAGAGATTGCTTAAAAATTAACACTTGACACATTGCCATGTTAGCAAAAATAAAACAAAAATCAAGCATGAGGTCAGCATACTATTAAGTTATAAACAGGGTTGATATATAGTGAAACAATTTTCCAAAGGTAGGCCTGGTTCTCCTATACTTAAGACCACTAGGAAACTCAGCCCTTGCATCTTGGGAACAAAAAGAATGAGGGCACTATGATTGATTATTTTTCCCTGTGGCAAAAATGTAGACTTCAGAGCCAGAGGCACAAATCCAAATCCTGATGTTGTCATGAGGTATCTGAGTCACTGTGGGCCAGTTACTTAACATCCTTAAGCCTCAGTTCCCTCATCTGTAAAATGGGGAGAATAATTCCTAACCTGCAGGGTTGCTGTGACTAGCACATAGATACTCAATAAATGCTAACTTGTCATAATAAATGACAATAGTTACTTACTGTCATTTCTCTTTACATCCAAGGCAATCTTGGAAAGTGAAAATAGCTAACAGTGAAGTAGCCGGTTCATCTTTTACTTACATGTAAGTACTAAATTGTTAAATATTCTGATGCAAATTTGAATGTATCAATCTTTGATTGATAAAGGAAACCACTGGACAGATATTCAAAAAATGAAGCTAGTGTAAAACTCAAGTGTTGTGGGCTTTGAAATGCAATCTCTGGCTTGGGAGAGGGAAAGAAGGCATCATATATATATATATATATCAGCTGCACTGTAGTAAGATAAGGTACAAGAGACTGGGAATCCCTGTAAAATGGCTTGATCCCAGCTCCATCACTCTCCCAACTTCTGTGACTGTAGGCAAGTCAATTCTTCAGTTATAAAAGATGGGTTGTAGTCTGGGCGTGATGGCTCACACCTGTAATCCCAGCACTTTGGGAGGCCGGGGCAGGCGGATCACCTGAGGTCAGGAGTTTCAGACCAGTCTGGCCAACACGGTGAAACCCCATCTCTACTAAAAATACAAAAATTAGCTGGGCATGTTGGTGTGTGCCTGTAGTCCCAGCTACTTGGGAGGCTGAGGCAGAAGAATTTCTTGAACCCAGGAGGCAGAGCGTGCAGTGAGCTGTGATCACGCCACTGCACTCCAGCCTGGGCAACAGAGGGAGACTCTGTCTCAAAAAAAAAAAAAAAAAAAAAAGAGATGGGTTATAATATCTAGTCTTATTATATTTCAGGCTTGTTGACAGAATCAAAGCTTTCTAGATAATTAAGCATTATTTAATTTTAATAAATATTATTGACAATCATAATACATCTTTTTAATTTTTTTTTTGAGACGGAGTCTTACTCTGTCGCCAGGCTGGAGTACAGTGGCACAATCTTGGCTCACCGCAACCTTCGACTCCCTGGTTCAAGCGATTCTCTTGCTTCAGCCTCCTGAGTAGCTGGGATTGTAGGCACACACCACCATGCCTGGCCAATTTTTGTAATTTTAGTAGAGACGGTTTCACCATGTTGGCCAGGATGGTCTTGATTTCCTGACCTCGTGATCCGCCTGCCTCGGCCTCCCAAAGTGCTGGGATTACAGGCGTGAGCCACTGCGCCCAGCCTTTAAATTTTAAAGATAGAACAACATGGCCAATTTCTATCATCATTTGAAAGCTCTAGAGAAGTAACCTAGCATACTGGGGGAAAAATAAGATTAAGATTAAGATTAAGAGGCCAAGAACATGGTTCAAATTATTTGCTGTGTAATCTTGAAAAACGAACTTAACTCATGTAGGCCTCAGAATTTTCACCTATAAAATGGGGATATCTCACATCACATCCAAAAATTAGCTCGAAATGGATCACAGACCTAAATGTAAGAGTGAAATCTGTACAACTATTGGAAGTAAACACAGAAATAAATCTTCATTATCTTGGGCTAGGCAACAATTTGTTAGAAATGATATCAAAAGTGCAAGCAATGAAAGAGAAATTAGGTGGGGTACAGTGGCTTACACCTGTAATCTCAGCATTTTGGGAGGCTGATACAGGCAGATTACTTGACCCCAGGAGTTTCAGACCAGCCTGGGCAACATGGCAAAATCTTGTCTCTACAAGAAATACAAAAATTAGCTGGGCATGGTGGTGTGCACCTGTAGTCCTGGCTACTTGCTACTTGGGAGGCTGAGGTGGGAGGCCAAGGCTGTAGTAAGCCTGGGGATATCAAGGCCACAGTGAGCCAAGATCGCACCACTACACACCAACTTGGGTGAGAGTAAGACCCTGTCTTAAAAGAAAAGAAAAGGCCGGGCGCGGTGGCTCACGCCTGTAATCCCCCCACTTTGGGAGGCCGAGGTGGGCGGATCACGAGGTCAAGAGATCAAGACCATCCTGGCTAACACAGTGAAACCCTGTCTCTACTTAAAAAATACAAAAAAATTAGCCGGGCATTGTGGTGGGAGCCTGTAGTCCCAGCTACTCGGGAGGCTGAGGCAGGAGAATGGCGTGAACCCGGGAGGCGGAGCTTGCAGTGAGCCGAGATCGTGCCACTGCACTCCAGCCTGGGCGACAAAGCAAGACTCAGTGTCAAAAAAAAAAAAAGAAGAAGAAGAAGAAACAGAAATTAGACTTCATTGAAAGTAAAAACTTCTGTGTTTCAAATGACACCATTATGTAAGAGAAAAGACAATCCACAGGATGGCAGAAAATATCTGCAAATCATGCATCTGATAAAGGACTTTTCTCCAGAATGTATAAAGAACTGTTATAACTCAATGATAGGAAGGAAAAAAAAAATTAAAAATGGGCAAAGAGGCTGGGCGCAGTGGCTCACGCCTATAATCCTAGCATTTTGGGAGGCCAAGGCGGGGGATCATCTGAGGTCAGGAGTTCGAGACCAGCCTGGCCAACATGGCTAAACCCTGTCTCTACTAAAAATACAAAAATTAACTGGGTGTGGTGATAGGCATCTGTAATCGCAGCTACTCAGGAGGCTGGGGCAGGAGAATCACTTGAACCTGGGAGGTGGAGGTTGCAGTGAGCCAAGATCATGCCACTGCACTCCAGCCTGGGCAGCAGAGTGAGACTCCATCTCAAAAAAAAAAAAGGCAAAGAATCTGAATAGACACTTCTCTAATGAAGATTTACAAATGGGCAATGAACTCATAAAAAGATCTTCAACATCACTAGTCATGAGTGAAGTGCAAATCAAATCACAATGAGATACCCCTTCACACCCATTAGGGTGGCTATGTGAAAGCTGATCAAACAAATTTGGTCATTTTTGTCATACCCACCTAAGAGTTGAGAGGCCAGGGAAACAAAGCACGCAGTGCACATAATATTGCCCCAAAAGTATAATTCCCTACAAGCCCAGCTGCTGAAACTCCCTATTGTGACCTAAAACCAAGAAATTAAAAAAAAATAAAATAAAAAAGAAATTTAAAAAAGTAACCTAAAACCAGTTTTATCTTAGCTACTGAAACAAACTTGCTGCAACTCTAAGACTAGTTTTACCCACCACTGTCACTCCTCAGAGCTTGTCAGCTGCTCAGAACTTTACAGTGCCAATGAACTTTCTTTCTGGAACAGTATGTAACATTTCTCCTTTTTATAAAATCTCCAAACTTCTTCCTCTTCTTCTTCTTTTTTGTTTTTGAGACAGAGTCTCGCCCTGTCACCCAGGCTGGAGTGCAGTGGCCTGATCTCAGCTCACTGCAACCTCTACCTCCTGGGTTCAAGTGATTCTCCTGCCTCCAGAGTAGCTGGGATTACAGGTGTGCACAACCACACCTGGCTAATTTTTGTATTTTTAGTAGACATGGGTTTTCACCATGTTGGCCAGGCTGGTCTCGAACTCCTGACCTCAAGTGATCTGCCTGCCTCAGGCGTGAGCCACCGTGCCCGGCCAAACCTCTAAACTTATCTTTGTTCTTCAGACATATGGAAGACCACCCTGTCTGTGTATGCCCTGAATTGCAATTCTTGCTTCTGCAAAATGTTTTAAATTTAGAGATTTGTCCTTATATTTTATTTGATTTTGACATATGTGGTGTCAGAAGTGGGATTCCAAACCTGACTCACCTTGGGAAAAATCATCGGCCCTTGGAACTATGACATAAGGTACTCACATTGAGGGCCTTTGAGCACCCTCTCTCCCACGAGTCAGCTAGGTGTTCCCTGGTGAGTCTCCTGGATGGCACTCCTGCTTTGGGTAAAGTTCTGTTTTGTTTGGGATTTGCTTAGAGAAGGGTCTTTCCTCCTCTTATTTGGAGGGGGGTCTCTCTCTGGTTGGGAGATCATCTGTTGGGGAGGACTCTTTTCCTCCTGGCAGACCTCAGCTGTGAGGTCTGAGTGAAGAGATATTTTTCCTCCAGGTTGAGGCCTGGGTGAAAGAATTTTTCCTTTTCCCTTCAGTTGGGAAAGGCAGCTGATCGTCCTCTTGGTAAGTACATACTTTATTTTCCATCAGCACTTGTGTTTATTTGGCTTTTGCATATTCAACACTTGCATTTAATTGGCTTTTGTATATTCAACATTAAACTGAGTCACCTAGATAAGTTTAATTACAAATGGGCTCTCAAAGTTCAAAGACATGCCAAGATATATTTTGAGATTCCAGCTGGTAACATGTTCAAACATTACAGGGATCATGCAGTCTGTTGTTCTTAAAACTAAACTAAAAGACCATGGCAATAAAATCATACATTCCAAATAAGACTCATATCTCAAGGGATATCTTTAGGCTAAAAAAACCAAACCCAACCCGGACTCAAAGACTGACTAGCTATAAAATACTATCTCAAAGTTGGTTGAGACTCTCCTCTTTGGAGCTTGCCCCTCCCCTTCTTAGAATTCCTTCTTACTCTCTTGCTCTAAGCTAACTCTCTTTTTCCAAAACTCCTCAGCTAGGCTGGCATGCTGACAATTTAAGTAAAAAACACGTAAAAACTAGCAGATATTTTAAAAAATATTATTTTGACCTTCGTGCTGTTTCTTAAAAGCAAAAAATAAAATTCTCATATAAAAGACCCCCTTTCCATACTAAAAGGAATGAGGAGATTCTTATCTTAAAGGGCAAAAAATTGAGACCAAGACAATACTTTACAGACACTGTTAAAAAAAAAATATCTTGGCCGGGTGCGGTGGCTCACGCCTGTAATCCCAGCACTTTGGGAGGCCAAGGAGGGCAGATCACGAGGTAAGGAGATTGAGACCATCCTGGCTGACATGGTGAAACCCCATCTCTACTAAAAAACACAAAAAATTAGCCAGTGCGTGGTGGCAGGCACCTGTAGTCCCAGCTACTCGGGAGGCTGAGGCAGGAGAATGGTGTGAACCCAGGAGGCGGAGCTTGCAGGGAGCCAAGACTGCGCCACTGCACTCCAGCCTGGGTGACAGAGCGAGACTCTGTCTCAAAAAAAAAAAAAAAAAATTCTCAGATTCAGGTTGCAGTGAGCTTTAATCATGCCACTGCATTCCAGCCTGGGTGACAAGGTAAGACCCTGTCTCAAAAAATAAAAATAATAAAATAAAATAAAGAAAAAAAAGAAAAAAAGAGAAATAAAAAATAAAAATAAGAATATAAATATAAATAAGGCCAGGCATAGTGGCTCACACCTGTAATCCCAGCCCTTTGGGAGACTGAGGCAGGCTGATTGCTTGAGCCCAGGAGTTTGAAACCAGTCTGGGCAACATGGCACAATCCTGTCTCTACAAAAAACACAAAAATTAGCTGGGTGTGGTGGCATATGCCCGTAGTCCCAGCTACTCGGGAGTCTAAGGTGGGAGGACTGCTTGAACTCCAGGAGGTGGAGGTTCCAGTGAGCTGACATTGTGCCACTGCACTTCAGCCTGGGTGACAGTCAGACCCTGTCTCAAAAAAAAAAAAAAAAATTAAAAATTAAATAAATGAAATAAAATTTCTCAGATTCATATTTCAGAGGCTTGACTTTTGCAGTATCTTGCTACTTGTGATTTATAGGTCATACATCACTGCATTTAGCATTTTCTCCCCTTAAAAAGGCCTGAGATGATAACTCTCTCCTTCAACTTTGTCATCAGCTCCTGAACTTTTTCTCCAGTTCTAACTCTGCCATTATGGCCTGACATGAAAGTGTTTATCTTAATGGCCTAAAAAAGCAATGTTTTCCTCCAATATAATTTGATTCTGTATTCCTCACTTTCCTTGATGTATCTAAATTGTTACTCTTATAACCTAGACCCATTCTTCCTATGTCAGATTAAATTCAAACAATCTTTTCATCAGGTTTGATTTCCATGTTATCTAAATGAGATTCCCTTTAGAAAAAACAATCACACTGTAAGAGGTTTTTCTTTACCTTTTCGGTAAAGAAAAAGACTTTACATTTTACCATGATAATTTTCTGCATTGCCTTATGTTTTTGATCACTTTTAAAAAACTGAGCTTTAAAAGGATTAAGGTTTTAACATCCATGTAACTTTTTTTTTTTTTGAGATGGAGTTTTGCTCTTGTCGCCCAGGCTGGAGTGCAGTGGCATGATCTCGGCTCAATGCAACCTCTGCCTCCCGGGTTCAAGAGATTCTCCTGCCTCAGCTTCCCAAGTAGCTGGGATTACCTGCCACCACGTCCAGCTAACTTGTATTTTTAGTAGAGATGGGGTTTCGCCATGTTGGCCAGGCTGGTCTTGAAATCCTTACCTCAGGTGATCCACCTGCCTCGGCCTCTCAAAGTGCTGGGATTACAGGTGTGAGCCACCGTGCCTGGCTCTACATTACTTTTAAAGTCTTTTGATTATCACGCTGGTTAAATAAATGGCTATAATTTTACAGTAACCTGTAATTCTGTTTTTTTTCCCCCTAAGAGATGGGGGGTCTTCCTATGTTGCCCAGGTTGGCCCCAAACTCCTGGGCTCAAGAAATCCTCCCACTTCAGCCTCCCAAGTGGCTGCAACTACAGGCACATGCCACTATGCCCAACTGTAATTCTGTTTTCATCAAATATTTTCAGCCTTTTAATATCTTTGAGAAACTTCCCCAAAATCAAACCTAAGTTGTCTTTTTTTTTCCCTCAGAGACAGTCTTGCTCTGTCACCCAGGCTGTAGTGCAGTGGTGCAATCTTGGCTCACTGACGCTTCCACCTCCCAGGTTCAAGTGATTCTCCCACCTCAGCCTCCCAAGTAGCTGGGACTACAGGAATGCACCACTGTGCCTGGCTAATTTTTGTATTTTTTGGTAGAGATGGGGTTTTCACCATATTGGCCAGGCTGGTCTCAAACTCCTGTCCTCAAGTGATCCACCCACCTCGTCCTCCCAAAGTGCTGGGATTACAGGTATGAGCCACCATGCCCAGTTCTGATAACTTTAAAATCAACAGACTCAATACAAATTTCCAAGACTCTAATAAAAAAAAAACCTAATAGATTCATAAAACTACTAATAGAGATCAAATAGGAGTTAATTATGAGATTAACTGTTTTATGACTTTTATTTAAAACATTGTTACTTTATGCAAATACTTTGTTTCCCCAATTTAAAAAAAATTTCTCTTAAGCTATGTATCATTTCCAACAAGTTGACAGAGTGTACTTTTGTAAACAAAGATAAAAACATGTTTTTTCTTTTCCTTACTTAATCCCTCCAAAATTCAAAAACTATTTCTAAATATTCTTAGGACAATATGGTTATTTACATAAACCCAATAAAATTCTGCTCTTAAATGTTAGTTATATTACCAAGGCTTTGACTAAAATGTCATATTTAAAAATACACATAAAATGCCTGACTTCAAGGGTTCCCAGCCTTATAGTAAGTAAATAAAACTGTCACTTTCTGGCAGGCCCAGAAACTTTAAGACTATAAATAAATGCAAAGTCTGCCTTCGTTTGGCTTCCCAGCCGCAAGACTGTTTAAATGTGAGATTCCTATATTTCAATAGGAAATATTTTATTTTTCAATGTAAAAAATAAATTATGTTCCCAAAAGAAAGCTATAATATACCTGTTATTAGAATATAACTCTGTACACTGTTTTCAAGTTATTGTTATCTATTTTTGAGTAGTCTAGGTCCTAAAATCTCCCAAGTTCCTACAATCCAAGTTTCTTTCATAAAATTACTAAAAAGGGAATTGCTCTGTTCCTAAAGCCCTATAAGCTAAAACCTGAGAAATTTTTATAAACAAGTTTTGTGCCTGTCGGCCTGATGTATAGGCCACATAGAAAGTTCACCAAACTGTCCAATGCCCTAACCAGTGACATTCAAACTACAAACCAGGATGAGAAGTGGACATTGTCCAGGCTGCAAACAGCTTTTCCTAAGATGTCAAAACAAGACTCCACATATCATGAGACCCTTACTTCCCTTAATGCTCCTCTTTTCATTTGATAAGATGCTGTAATTAAAATTTCACAGTCAATAACTGTTATTGATAACCTGACAAAAATCTGACCTAAAAAATCCTTTTAGGACTAGGCTTGGTGGCTCATGTCTGTAATCCCAACACTTTGAGAGGCCGAGGCAGAGGGTAGTTTCAGCCCAGGAGTTTGAGACCAGCCTTGGTGACACAGTGAGACCCTGTCAAGAAAAGAAAAGAAAAAAGAAACGAAAAGAGAAGAGAGAAAGAAAGAAAAGAAGGAAGGAAGGAAGGAAGAAAGGAAGGAAGGAAAAACAAAATAAAAAGAAAGGAAAGAAAGAAAAGAAAGAAGGAAAAGAAGGAAGGAAGGAGAGAGAGAGAGAAAGGAAAGAAGGGAAAGAAAGGAAATGAAGGAAGGAAGGGAGGGAGGGAAGGAAATTAATTATATTTTTAAAAAAATCCTTGTAGTCAGACCAAATCAGAATCCAGCTCAGGTGCTACACAGTTTATGCCTGACCCCAAGTTCATGAATCACAGGCAGTCCCACCCAGAAGATGTAGATATGTACAGCACACTAGAAACTGAAGCAGACTGCAAAAAGAGACTGCATAGACAACTATGAGATGTGTGAAGTTGCAAATAATTATTTTAAAAATCATGTAATCAAGATATGAACACCAATGAGATTAAAATCTGAAAATATGTACGTGTGTATATACATATACATATTTATACATATGCACATGCATATCTGCTCTAGCTTTTCTGAATTAATGTCAGTTAAATTGGAATGGTATGTGGAAAGATGTGTTCCCTGTTTTGTTTTGTTTTTTCCGTTTCCTAGAATAAAATATCCATGCTTTATGGCAAAAAAAAAAAAAAAAAATTCCTTTTAGTACACCTAGTGGACAGCTTAGACAATATCCCTAACACAACTTACTGTTCAAATTGTACTGGTGGTCCCTTTTCTAAAGTTGGCAATTTTCTGTTTAATGCAAGCAAGTCATAAAATACTACTTAATGACAACTACAGGTCTCACCCAGTTTCCACTATGGTTTTTGTTTTTGTTTTTGAGACAAAGTCTCACTCTTGTTCCCCAGGCTGAAGTGCAATGGCGCGATCTTGGCTCACTGCAACCTCCGCCTCCCGGGTTCAAGTGATTCTCCTACCTCAGCCTCCCAAGTAGCTGGGATTACAGGCGCCTGCCACCACACCCGGCTAACCACCATGGTCTTTTAATTTGTTTAGTTTGTTGCCCTTAGTCTTGGGCTCTTAGTTCAAAAGCATTTTACAAACTAAATTTATTATATTGTTGTTATTTTTTATATTATAACTTTTAAGGTTTTTTTTGTTGTTGTTATTGTTGTTTGCTTTTTTTTTTTTTTTTTTTGGGGACAGGGTCTCACTCTGTCACCCAGGCTGGAGTGCAGTGGTGTGATCATAACTCACTGCAGCCTTGACCTCCTGGGCTCAAAAGACCCTCCTGCCTCAGCCTCCCAAAGTGTTGGGGTTACAGGTGTGAGCCACCATGACTGGCCGGCTTTGTTCTTACTGCTTGTTTAATCTTTATAATGCCAGCTCTCCCAACAAAGTAATGTTAACCCAATCCTTCGAGATGATTGCTAATGCTTATAGAACTGTTAAGATAGAACTTGATAATTGACTCTAGAACAATGTACCCTAGGAACACTTTTCCTTCTGGACTCTGCTACTCAAATGTGGCCCAGGTCACTGACATAAGCCCCCATACTTCCCTGCTGATGTGGGACAGAGACAACCAGAACAGGTCCATCCTAGCTCTGAGGGACAATTAAGCTAACTTATAAGTAGTTAATTGGCAATGCTTTCAAAAAAAGATCTTAATCAAAAGGGGAAAATGTGAAAGTGGATCATATTAATTGGGTCATGCCTCTCATATCCAACTAAAATGGAGTTGAGAGACCAGGGAAAAAAAAAACAAGGCACATAATGTTGCTCCAAAAATATAATTCCCTATAAGCCTGGCTTTTGAAACTGCCTGTTGTAGCCTAAAGCCAGTTTTATCTAATAGCTACTGAAACAAACCTACTGTGACTCTAAGACTCATTTTACCCACTGCTGTCACTCATTAATCAGAGCTTGCCAGATCTCCAAAACTTTACTAGTCCCAATGATCTTTCTCCAGAACAAAATGTAACATTTCTCCTGTTTACAAAACCTCCAACCTTCTCATTGTTCTTCAGACATATGGAAGACCATTAGGTCTGCATGTATGCACCAAATTACAATTCTTCCTTCTCAAATAAGATGTTTTAAATATAGAGATTCACCTTTATACTTTATTTTACCTCGACAGCTTTGATAAAAAGACAGACAATAACAAGTATTGGCAAAGCTGTGGAAAAATTGGAACACTCATACATTGCTGGTAAGGATGTAAAATGGTATATCTGCTTTGGAAAATAGTCCAGCAGTTCCTCAAAAGGCTAAACATAGACTTACTATACGATCCAGCAATTCCACTCCTAGGTATATGTATATACCCAGGGGAAATGAAAACATACGTTCACACAAAACTTGTACACAAATGTTCCTAACAACACTATTCATAATAGCCAAGTCTACGGGGATACCACCCCGAATGCGCCTGATCTCGTCATAATAGCCAAAAAGTGGAAACAAACCAGTTGTCCACCAATTAATGAGCTGGATAAATAAAACATGGCTAAGCAATACCATGGAATATTATTCAGTCATAAAAAGGAATGAAGTCATAAAAAGGAAACCTCAAACCTCAAAAACATTATGCTAAAGTGAAAGGAGCCAGACAAAAAAGACCGCATATTGTATAATTCCATTTATATGAAATGTCCAGCATAGGCAAATCCATAGAGATTAAAAAATAGATCAGTGGTTGCCAGGGGTTGGGGGAGTGAGCAAGGGGAAGTGACTTTTGATGGGTATGAAATGATAAAAATGTTTTAAAATTAGATAGTGGTGATGGTTGCACAACTCTTTAAAGACACTAGAAACCACTGACTTGCATGTTTTAATTGGGTGAATTTTAGGTATGTAAATTACATCTCAAATAAGAAGTTTTAAAAATGGAGATAATGTCTACTTCCCAGAACTACTTAGAGAATTTACTGAGAGACCATATATGAGAGACATTCTCTAAATGCTTATTTGTTAAGTAAGTGGTACAGAAACCAGGTCAGGATGTAAAAGAAATCTTCCCTTTTCCAGGACATAAATGGAGATGATAAACTTCGCAGGACTGCATTCCAAATTTCCATGCCAGGTCCAATTAGATGATCCTTCAAGGGACAGAATTATTTTCAGTTAGTGGTTTCTCAACTTATTTTATTTGAGGTAGAAATCTGAGAATGAGATAGAGATTCAGGCCCTGACAAGTTAAGACTTGTAATCCTGCTCAATTTGAAACTCTGTGAAAACAATTTCATCTTGTATCTACCTTCCCCCTTCCGGGCTTTTGCCTTCCCTCCACTCAGCTCTTTTGCCAGAAATGAAAGCTCTTCTCTGAAAGGAAGAGGGTGGAAGAGCTTGTGTGATTTGTTTGGGCATGTCAAGATGGCTAGATCTCTTCACTCTACACACTGGCATGCTTTCACCTCCCATGGTTGGCCCAGAGCCCAGGTGGTTTTTTTTTTTTATTTTTTTCTCTTTTAAAAGAAGGCTGGTAGTTTTATCCAAAGATCCTTTTGACACTGAGAGGGACCACTTGGATCCCCAAAATGCATCTGTTGTTTTCAAAATACCCTTTAAATAATTGAAAGTGACTGAGAGGACATATGAACAGATCTACAGTATAGAAATAATCTGGCTATAGGCAGGGTGCGGTGGCTCACGCCTGTAATCCCAGCACTTCAGGAGTCTGAGGCGGGTGGATCACCTGAGGTCAGAAGTTTGAGACCAACCTGGCCAACACGGTGAAACCCTGTGTCTACTAAAAATTCAAAAAAATTAGCCGGGCATGGTGGTGGGCACCTGTAGTCCCAGCTACTTGGGAGGCTGGGGCAGGAGAATTGCTTGAACCCGGGAGGTGGAAGTTGCAGTGAGCCAAGCCCATTGCACTCCAGCCTGGGTAACAAGAAAGAAACTCTGTCTCAAAAAAAGAAAAAAAGAAATAATCTGACTATGTCTTATTGAAGAATATCACTTATTTATCATACTCATTATTGAACATCTATTTCAAAACTAAAATGTGAAAAAATGCCCAAATATCTAATGTACACTATGGGAATCTCAAAGATGTATCCTTTTTTTAAATTTTCTTTTTGAGATAAGGTGTCACTCTGTCACCTAGGATGGAGTGCAGTGGTGCAATCATGACTCTCTGCAGCCTTAACCTCCTGGGCTCAAGTGATCCTCCCACCTAAGCCTCCTAAATAGTTGGGACTACAGGTGCACACCAGCACACCTAGCTAATTTTTATTTTTGTGTGTGTGGAGACAAGGTCTCACTATGTTGCCTAGGCTGGTCTTGAATTCTTGGGCTCAAGCAATCCTCCCACCTCAGCCTCCCAAAATGTTGGGATTACAGGCATGAGTCACTGAGCCTAGCCTTCAAGGACATATTCTAACTCCCATTTTGGAAAAGAGAAGGGCTTCTGCCTTTTACCTTATATACTTCATTCTTGTTGAAATTTTTTAAAAACATTGAGAATATATTACTTGTATAATAATAATGATGATAAAAACAGTGAAGAAAGAATATACAAGGAATACAAAAGGGGAGACATTTATCTTTGTCTGTGTAAGATTAAGTTCTCTATCTGTAAACTCTATAGGGTAACCGGAACTCAGAGACTTTATACATAATTCTCTGCCTGAAGAAGCTGTTATTGAGTACCTGGGAGAAGCTGCTAGAATGACTAAGTCAACCACTGCTTCTCAGTAAGAATAAACAGAGATACACACAGTTTTTCCTAAAATTAAATTTAACTCCTAGGGTATTGAGTTCTCAGATTGCTGTGATAGATAATATAGACATCAGAAATTTCTAAGTCAGGCATCAATATATAGCCGTTGAATGAACTGCTGTATTTTATTCTCTTCTGCTCTCCACCTAGACTGCAAAGTTGGTAAGACTTTATAAAAGAAATATAAAACATCAATAAATTAAGCAAAAAGTACACTATAACTTCCACATGGAGCCATTTGGGCAGCTCAAAAAAGGAAAACTTTAAAAATACACAGTCCCCACAACTGAATGCTACTCAAACCACAACCAGGCACTCCCCATCCTGTACTACAGGACAAGTGGGCTGGTCTTGTCTGACTGGGAGCCCAGAATGGCTTTGTTCCTGTAGTGCTTTAGGCCCAGGCAAACTACACTGGCAATGCAGGTGGGAAAATTCAGCTATTTTCTTTAATGGGAAACTCACCTGAAGCCTTGGCTTTTAAGTGCATATTACAAACACCAAAAACATCAATTAGTCCAAACTTGTCCATCATCTTGGGGAGCTGAGAACAGAAATTACGCCTCTACCCCTCATGTTCTTCATCACCAAATTAGCTAGTAACTGATTTGCACACCAACGAAAATTACTAAAAACAAACACAACACCAACAGCTGCGATTTTGATAGCAGGCCCTAGAGGCTAATGAGCTCAGTGGGTTAATCAACTAAGACGCTTATTCCAAACAGCAAAGTGGTCACATTAGAATGACATGCCACCCATTCCCAAAAATCCAGTCTTAAAAAAAATAAATCAATGAAAAACATCTCCTTGACAGTAGTACAGTTTCTTGGGGAAAGTACAGGATGACTTGTGTTCTGAAACTTCTGAATTATAAGCACTTTAGGTTCTTGCTTCTTTGATTTATCTGACTTCCATAAGCACAACTTATGGTCATGTGGCCTCCTGGACCCCCAGGCCTATCTCAATTCCTGCACTCTTTGGCCTCTCAGCTGCAGGTAATTACTTTCTCTCTTGAAACCCGTTACTCGTAGAGCTTTCGTTCTCACCTAGTTGTCCTTTACCACTTTGGGTGGTCATTTTGTCTCTTTGAATAATTCTCTTTTTGCTTTTGAACCTAATTACAACTTTCAGTTAATCTAAAGTGTTTTGTATATAGGAGATATACAAAATTTTTGTTGAATAAAGAAAGAATTTGGCTGGGCACAGTGGCTCATGCCTGCAATCCCAGCACTTTGGGAGGCTGAAGTAAGAGGATTGCTTAAGTCTAGGAGTTTGAGCCTGGGCAACATAGTGAGACCCCCATCTCTACAAAATGTTTTTTAAAAAATTAGCCTGATGTGTGTTGGCATGCATCTGTAGTCCCAGCTACTCAGGAGGCAGACGTGGTAGGACTGCTTGAGCCCAGGAGTTAGAGGTAACAATGAACCACGATCATGCCACTATACTCTACCCTGAGTGACAGAGCAAGACTCTGTCTCTAAAAAAAAAAAAAAAAAATTCCAGAATTCCAAGGCTCAGGCCTTCTTTGCTATACGATTTCCCCTCTGCATGCTCTCTTAAGCTTCAAGTACTAAGTCTGTATAGAGCATATCCACATTAAACCCTGAAAGAATTAGCCAGTAAGAACCTGCACTTACCTTTGTGCTCACTGACAACCTTGCCTCTGGGAGGTAAACAGAACACATCAACGTGAAGAAGGGCATTACTGCATCAATGCCCTTTGCTATGTGACTTGGTAGTGTGTCCCACTAAAGGGACAGCATATATTTCTCTATCCCTTGACTTTTGGGTTGGGCCTCATGACTTGCTTTAGCCAACAGAATAAGGCAGAATGATAGGATGTCTGCTCCGAGTCAGGCCTGAGGAGGAATTTATGGTTTCTCTTTGACACTTCATGGTTCTCACCATGAGCAGAACAAGCCCTGGTAGGCCACTGGTTCAGGGATGATCAGGAACACATGAAGCACAGCTACCACAGCTGGCCTGAGACCTGCTGGGAGGGGCCAGCTGCCCAGCCAAGCCCCGCTGAACCTTCAGTGGGTCTACAGATGCGTGAGTGATAATAAATGATTGGTGTTTCAGGTTACTGAGTGTCAGGGTAGTTTGTTGTTGTTGCTGTTTTCTGAGAAGGAGTCTTGCTCTGCTGCCCAGGATGGAGTGCAGTGGTGCCATCTCGGCTCACTGCAACCCTCATCTCCTGGGTTCAAGCAATTCTCCTGCTTCAGCCTCCCAAGTAACCGGGACTACAGGCACACACCACCATGCCTGGCTAATTTTTGTATTTTTAGCAGGGACAGGGTTTCACCATGTTGATCAGGCTGGTCTTGAACTCCTGACTTCAGGTGATCCAACCACCTCGGCCTCCCAAAGTGCTGGGATGATAGGCGTGAGCCACAGAGTAGTTTGTTAAATATCAATAACTGACAGAATCGGCCTACTCAGGCTTCAGATCTGAGAAGTTACAGAGATCACCACATTATTACCTAGTCATCCAACAGTAGACGTAATAGTGAAGATTCTGATGATGATAACAACACTAAAATATTAATAGCTAACACATATTGAACACTGTGCTAAGCAGTTGCAAGGAATTAACTCATTTAATCCTAATATTAAGCCCCCTTTTTATTAATAAACATTTTATGATAGAATAGTAAACTAATATTGACACTTTATTATCAACTGAAGTTTATAATTTATTCAAATTTCCTTAGTTTTCCCCTAATGTCCTTTTTTTTTCTTTTTTTCTGAGACGGAGTCTCACTCTGTTGCCCAAGCTGGAGTGCAGTGGTGCAATCTCGGCTCACTGCAACCTTGGCCTCCTGGGTTCAGGCAATTCTCGTGTCTCAGCATCCCAAGTAGCCGGGATTACAGGTGCCCGCCACCACACCTGGCTAACTTTTTTTGGTGTTTTTTTGTAGAGATCAGGTTTCACCATGTTGGCCAGGCTGGTCACAAACTCCTGATCTCAAGTGATCTGCTTGCTTCGGCCTCCCAAAGTGCTTGGGATTACAGGCATGAGCCACTGCTCCCGGTCCTAATGTTGTTTTTCTATTTCAGAATCCCATCTATCACATTACATTTAGTCATCATATTTCCTTATGCTCTGACAATTTTAGCCCTCTCCCCTTTAATTAAATTTTATTTTGGCCAGGTGCGGTGGCTCACGCCTATCATCTTAGGACTTTGGGAGGCCGAGGCGGGTGGATCACCCAAGGTCAGGAGTTCGAGACCAGCCTGACCAACATGGAGAAACCCCCGTCTCTACTAAAAATACAAAATTAGCCAGGTGTGGTGGCACATGCCTGTAATCCCAGCTACTCGGGAGGCTGAGGCAGGAGAATCGCTTGAACCCGGGAGGCGGAGGTTGCAGTGAGCTGAGATTGTGCCATTGCACTCCAGTCTGGGCAACAAGAGTGAAACTCCGTCTCAAAAAAAAAAAATTTTTTTTATTGTATTTTTTTGATAATAGTTTTATTGAGCTATAACTCACATACCATACAACTCACCCATTTAAAGTTCGTAACTCGGCTGGGCGTGGTGGCTGATGCCTGTACTCAGGAGGCTGAGACACAAGAATCGCTTGAACCCGGGAGGCGGAAGTTGCAGTGAGCCAAGATTGTGCCACTGCACTCCAGCCTGGGCGACAGAGTGAGACTCCATCTTAAAAAAAAAGTGCATAACTCAATGGTTTCCTAGCATACTCACAGAGCTGTGCAAGAATCTGGGAACATTTTCATCACCCCAAAAAGAAGTCTTGTATCCTTTACCTATCACCCTCAACTATCTCTCCTTTACCCCAGCCCTAGGAAAGCACTAATCTATTTTCTGTCTCTAAAAAACTGCCTATTCTGGATATTTCATGTAACTGGAATCATATAAAATATAGTATTTTGTGGCCAGTTTCTTTCACTTACCATGTTTTCAAGGTTCGTCCATATTGTGGCATGTATCAGTCCTTCATTTTTATAGCCAATAATATTCCATTGCATATATATACCACATTTAGTTTATCCATTCATCAACTGATGGTTGTTTGAGCTATTTCCACCTCTTGGTTATTGTGAATAATACTGCTGTGAACATTCACACACAAGGTTTTGTGCAGACATATGTTTTCATTTATCGGGTATATTCCTGGGAGTGGAATTGCTGGGCCAAGTAGTAACTCTATGTTTATCTTTTCGAGGAACTGCCAGACTGGTTTCCAAAGTGGCAGTACCATTTCACATTCCTATTTAGTCCCCTTTTCACAGATAACAAAAAATTGAAGCCCACAGGGATTAAGTAATTTGCCAACGCATGGTAATGGGATGGCCAACCCAGGTGGTCTGTTGACTGTACCTCGCTGATGGAGCCAAGGGAAACTGAGTTAACTCTGACCTCACCATGTCTGCTTCTGGACCTTTTGGGAAGGGTGCCTTATTCTCTACATCCTCTCTAGATTTGGAGCCCACAAGTTAAAGGGGATGTGGAGAACAACAAAGAACCATAAAAAGAGAAATAAAGTTACTGCAAAAAATTTTTTGATAAGAAAATATTTAATACCCTGAGTTCTTTTAGCTTAACGAGAGAGCAAAGGTGCATATAGACAGTAGTTGAGGCTGGGCGTGGTGGCTCACGCCTGTAATCCCAGCACTTTGGAAGGCCAAGGTGGGTGGATCACTGGAGGTCAGGAGTTCGAGTCCAGCCTGACTAACATGGTGAAACCTTGTCTCTACTAAAAATATAAAAAATTAGCTGGGCGTGGTGGCGGGCACCTGTAATCCCAGCTACTTGGGAGGCTGAGGCAGGAGAATCACTTGAACCCGGGAGGCAGAGGTTGCAGTGAGCTGAGATCACACCACCGCACTCCAGCCTGGGTGACAGAGCGAGACTCTGTCTCAAAAAAAAAAAAAAAAAAGACAGTAGCCGACTAACATAAAAGGTTAATGTGATAAGAGTTCATGTGTGAGTCATTCTTTACCTCCTTGAATTAGAGGAAATACGATTTAATCTACAGAATATGTAAACATTAATAAAAACTTCCTCATCATTATGAGACACTGAAACTCTATAGGGACTCTTTGGAAACCCTTCAGGAATATTATTATTATGACTTAAAGTGTCCTAGCTAGGAGGCAGGAAGACGGACAAAATGACCAGTAGTCTCCTGGCCCTAGGACTTTAGAGATTTTGTGCAAATAAACATGATACAGTCTCTGGTCCACATACTTAAAGTCCTTTAACCAGGACTGACTTACCCTGAATTGCAGATAGATATACAAAAGTGTCTTCATGTTCCAAGTTTTCCAAGAATATCTGGAACCACAAAATACAGCAGTGATAAGATTTACAAAGAACAAGGAAGATTTAAGAGGCTCCCTTATCAGCAGCTCAAAGGAGTAAATGCTTCGCTTCTTGTTTTTCTTGGGTAGAAACTGGTCTGACAGAGTTTTGTGGGGGAAATGGCATATATGCTTAAGTCTCATTTTTATAACCATTAAAAAAGTATAGAGACTGGGGGAGATACTTGTATTCTTCCAGCAGTAGTCCTGGAAACCGATGGAAGAACAATCCTCAACATTTTTCCATGACAGCCATGGTGAATAACATTCTCACATATGGCATGACAGACTACGGGGTGTGACACACAAGAGACAAGGTTTGGGGTTATGTGCAATGGATGGCACATTTGCTGCAATTTGATCCTTTTCTCTTGTACTCACAAAGCATATGGAAGTGCAAGTGAGATAGAGATGTTATTATTGAGATAACTTTGAATCTGTTCTAATTTATTTTTGAAAATCTTGTAAATTTCAGCACTTTAATTGATATTAGTAACAAATTACTCTCAAAATATCTTACAATTTAGGAACCTATCAGGGGTATCAACTACAGTGAGTACAGCTTATCTGGAAGATATTACATGATATGTTAGGTTTAGGCCCCAACATGAGAGCCAGAGAAAGGAAGACGGAAGTGTCTGCTCCATATATAATGCTGTGTTCTTCGTTGGCACAGTAATTCTTGACATCAACTTGATGCTGCTGGTCTCTACATGTGAAGTATGTACGGAGAGCCTAAAATTACCCCAGTTAGGAAGACGGCCAGTTTTGAAGGTAGGGAATCTTTTATGGAGTAAGCAAGGGAAGCTTAATTTAGGGTAATGGCCATGGAAATAAAGAGGATAAGATACATTTGAAAGACTTCTTTGAAAAAAGAATTGACAGGACTTGGTGACCAATTATGTACAGCAGAAGAAGGTTTAATTAAGCTAAAAAAAATTCCAAGATGTTCATTGAATTCACCTTCAAATAGGTGTATAAAAGGATATTTAAGGCCAGGCGCGGTGGCTCATGCCTGTAATCCCAGCACTTTGGGAGGCCGAGGCAGGTGAATCACTTGATGTGAGGAGTTCAACACCAGCTTGGCTAACATGGTGAAACCTCATCTCAACTAAACGTACAAAAATTAGCTGGGTGTGTTGGTGGGCACCTGTAATCCCAGCTACTTGGGAGGCTGAGGCAGAAGAATCACTTGAACCCAGGAGGTGGAAATTGCAGTGAGCTGAGATCGCACCACTGCACTCCAGCCTGGGCGACGGAGCGAGACCCTGTCTCAAAAAAACAAAACAAAACAAAACAAAAAACAGCTATTTCACCACGATGAAGGGAGAGAAGAGGGGAGGAGACCCAGTTTTGCCCAACGCCCCACTAAAGATGCCCAGAGAAAACAGGTGGCTTATCTGGGCTGGGTCACAGTGTTGAAGCAGACCTATTTATCACAAAAGGTACTTTCCCATCTCTGGGAATTTGTTCAAGCTATCCCACCCCTCTTTCATCTGCTCAAACTTTACTAGTTTGTTATGGCCATATTAAGGCCTACATCCTCCAGAAGATTTCAACTTTCTCTTTTTCCTGACTGCCCACAGCATTTCTTGCATGCAAAAATTTTGAAGGATGGGTGTGGTGGCTCACGCCTGTAATCCCAGCACTTTGGGAGGCCGAGGCAGGTGGATCACGAGGTCAGGAGATCGAGACCATCCTGGCTAACATGGTGCCCGTCTCTACTAAAAATACAAAAAATTAGCCGGGGGTGGTGGCAGACACCTGTAGTCCCAGCTACTCGGGAGGCTGAGGCAGGAGAATGGTGTGAACCCAGAAGGCGGAGCTTGCAGTGAGCCGAGATTGCACCACTGCACTCCAGCCTGGGGGACAGAGCGAGATTCCATCTCAAAAAAAAAAAAAAAAAAAAAAAATTGGCACTCAGTTCATATTCATTTGAGGAGTTTAAGTCTTTCCTGTGTCTAAATAAATCTTTCCTGTGTCTAAGTGTTGCCTCCTCACAAAATTCACAAATTTCTGGAGGGTGGTCCAGAACAGCACTTGACACATAGTCCAGGCTCCAAAAATACTTGAGTTGAATGAATGCCCCACCCTGTGCCCATGTGTCTTTACAGTGTGTTCTACTCACCTTGAGAAGCTTCTCTTGCATCTCAAGGGCTTTTGCTTCTCTCTGCTCTATCCAGTGGGAAAGAGTACGCAGGGCAGCAGCCCGTGTTGGAATTTGAGGGTCATAAGCTGACAAAAGAACCTCTTGGAGCTGTTCTGTGGTTACGCTTCCAGATTTCTGACTTGTAGTAGTGCTGGGCTCATTGACTCCTTGAGGAATGATTGGAGCATTTGACTGCAGGCCTGTCTGGGGGGCTGTCTCATGGCTCTGCTGTTGTTCAAGGTGGCTATGAGCTACATCAGTGGGTCTTTCATGACTGGTTTGTTGCTGCTCTTCTATTTTCCCTTCCAGATCTTTTCTGTTCAGTGTACTTTGGGCAGCCATGCTGACGGCCTCAGTGGCAAAGGCTCCATGGGTAGAGATGGTGATGCGGAGATCAACAGCGAGTTCTTGGATGACCGGATCAGGGTATGTGTTGGATACCTTCTCCAACAGAGGCAACAACTGCTTCAGAACAGCAAAATCACTTGACTTCAACTACAAAATGAAATAAAAAATGTCAAACCCAAATTAACATAGCAAATTTCAATATGACCTGAGCACCAGGAAACATATTCTGAGAAAAAAGGGCAGGGATCAAATCTTGCTCATGGTGTAATCAGTGTATTGCCTGGGTCCAGCACTGAATACCATTTGTTGAATAATCATACCTAACATTTATTGAACACTTATCATATACAGGTTCTTTTCTAAGATAAAACACACACACACACATTCATATCCTTGTGATATAATGACTATTATTATCTACATTTTAAACAGGTGGAAACAGAACGGTTAAGTAACATGCCCAAGGTCACAGACTGGAAGATAGTAAGATGTGAACTCAAGAAACTGGGATCAGAGCCCACACTCTCACCCAATACCCTACGCAGTCTCCCTTGAAAAGATAAGGCTGTTCTTAACTACATGATCTAAAGTGGCCAGTCAGTATGCAAGTGCACCATAGATCTGGAAGGGATCACAGAGAAAACGGGAAGAAAGGGATTTCTTCTGGAAAGTGGAAGTGAAAATTATATAACATTTTATTCTCCATGGAAGCTTTGTCTGAATAATGTCATATGCCTTACTACTAAGAAAGGTGCATGAGTGTTACAGCTCTATTAGAATTTGTCTAGCAGGTTTTCTGGTCTTCACTGGAAAGCACCCCCCTCACCCACTGCCACCCAAAAGGTGTATGTGTGATCAATGAAAAGTAAGAATCAATGGTAATACTTTTCTGTTTGAAAACACTGGAGAAATTATCAGATGAGGCTTCAGGAGACCCTGAAAATTTGAATACCTTAAGGATCTTAAGTCCTTTTTACTGGCCAACATGGCGAAACCCCACCTCTACTAAAAATACAAAAATCAGCTGGGCATGGTGGCATGTGCCTGTAGTCCCAGCTACTCGGAAGGCTGAGGCAGGAGAATCGCTTAAACCCGGGAGGCAGAGGTTGCAGTGAGCTGAGATCACGCCACTGCCCTCCAGCTTGGGCAACAGAGCGAGACTCTGTCTCAAAAAAAAGAAAAAAAAATCCTTTTTATTTTTATTTTTTTCTTTTCTTTTTGGAAACGGAGTCTCGCTCTGCTGCCTAGGCTGGAGTGCAATGGCGTAATCTCGGCTCACTGCAACCTCCACCTCCCGGGTTCACGCCATTCTCCTGCCTCAGCCTCCCGAGTAGCTGGGACTACAGGCACACGCCACCATGCCTGGCTAATTTTTTATAGTTTAGTAGAAACGGGGTTTCACCATGTTGGCCAGGCTGGTCTTGAACTCCGGACCTCAGGTGATCCGCCCACCTTGGCCTTCCAAAGTGCTGGAATTACAGGCATGAGCCACGGTGCCCGGCCGAGACATTTTCAAATAATTATACTAGTATTATCATTATGCTAAACTTCATTCAGTGCCTCGGTTGTATCATGGACTTTTTTAAAGCATCTAAAATGAGAATAATTTACCTACAGTCTATTTGGCCTCTTTTTTAATTTCTCTTCTATATAACAATTTCTTCTAAAAAAAAAAACCAGCCAAGACAAATAGATCAATGGGACAGAACAGAAAGGCCAGAAATAGACCCAGATAAATAGAGTCAACTGAACTTTGACAAAGGAGCAAAGGCTTTAAATGGAAAAAAAAATACAGTTTCTTTTTTCTTTTTTTTTTTTTTAATTGGAACAAGTGTCAGTAGAAAAGACAGTTTTTTCAACAAATGGTGCTGGAACAACTGGCATGCACATGTGAAAAAATGAATCTAGACACAGACCTTGCACCTTGCACAAAAATTAACTTGAAATGGATCATAAACCTAACTGTCAAATACAAAACTATAAAACTCCTACAAGTTAACATAGTAGAAAATTGAGATGACCTCTTAAAAGCAATGACCTTTTAAATACAACAGCAAAGGCATGATCTATGAAAGAAATAGTTAAAAACCTGGACCTTATTAAAATTAAGAATGTCTGCTCTGCAAAAGAAACTGTCAAGAGAATGAGAAGACAAACTACAGAATGAGAGAAAATATTTGTAAAAGACATATCTGAAAAAGGACTAATATCCAAAATATACAAAGAACTCTTTAAACTCAATAAGAAAATGAACAACCTGACTTAAAAATGGGCAAAAGACCTTAACAGATAGGTCTACCAAAGAAGAATACCCTACCAAAGAAGATATACAGATGGCAAATAAGCATAGGAAGACATACTCAATGTCATAAGTCATTAGGGAATTGCAATTTTTTCTTTTTTTTGAGACAGAGTCTTGCTCTATTGCTCAGGCTGGAGTGCAATGGCACAATCTTGGCTCACTGCAACCTCCACCTCCCAGGTTCAAGCGATTCCCCCACCTCAGCCTCTTGAGTAGCTGGGACTCCAGGTGCGGCCACCATGCCTGGCTAATTTTTGTATTTTTAGTAGAGTCAGGGTTTTGCCATGTTGCCGGGGCTGGCCTCAAACTCCTGACCTCATGTGATCCGCCCACCTCAGCCTCCCAAAATGCTGGGATTACAGGCGTGAGCCACCACACCAGGCTTCCCACCCACCCCTCTTTGCATCCACAGAGTTCTCAATCCTGGGCATGGCAGAAGCACCTTGATCCCTCCCTGATCAAGGGTGTGACCTGGGATCCCTGGCCTCGGGCTGGACAACCAGGTGCCCACAACCTGTATGGGGGTATTTACTCATTGAACATCTAGCCCCTGGGGTTGTCCAGGGAAATGCACTGGGTGGCAGCAGCTATGTGAGGAGTTTGTTTCTGTTTTCTTTTTTTTGAGACGGAATTTTGCTCTTGTCACCCAGGCTGGAGTGCAATGGCATGATCTCAGCTCACTGCATCCTCCGCCTCCCACGTTCAAGCGATCCTCCTGCCTCAGCCTTTCAAGTAGCTGGGATGACAGGTGCCCGCCACCATACCCGGCTAATTTTTTTATATTTTTAGTAGAGATGGGGTTTTGCCATTTTGGCCAGGCTGGTCTCGAACTCCTGACCTCAGGTGATCTTCCCACCTCAGCCTCCCAAAGTGCTGGGATTACAGGCATGAGCCACCGTGCCCAGCTGAGGAGCCTTTTTTTTTTGAGAGGGAGTTTCACTCTTGTTGCCCAGGCTGGAGTGCAATGGTGTGATCTCAGCTCACTGCAACTTCTGCCTCTTGGGTTCAAGCAATTCTCCTGCCTCAGCCTCCCGAGTAGCTGATCTGGTCTGGAACTCCTGACCTCAGGTGATCCTCCTGCCTCGGCCTCCCAAAGCACTGGGATTATAGGCGTGAGCCACTGGCACCTGGCCAAAGCTCTGAAAATCTTTAACGATGTGTATAAATGAGCACAATGAAGACAATTCCAGAAATAGATGGTTTAATCTCAAAAGCAAAAGAATTAGAGAGAACTAGTCAGCTTAGTTAACTGGAAAGTCATTTTCTTTTTAAGTTGTAAAATTGGAGGCACTGTGGTTTGCAAGTAAGGGCTTTTTTAGCCAGTTTGATCACCTGCATACAAGCAGTTGAAGGATGCCTCTCCACTCTAGGGAAATTCTGATAAAAGACTGGATTACCTAGAGGATAATCAAGTGAAAGCCTGTGAAAACAAGAAGCATGGCTCTCCTTTGCCCCTGATAACACATGACTAACATTCACAACACTCCCATGGGTGTGCCCAGATCTGGAGGTTGCTCACTATGGGTGAGGGCAGTGTTTTTCAACTTTTTGAGCTCATGCCCTTTTGAAAAAACAAAACAAAACAAAACAAAACAAAACAAAACAAAACAAATCATGCCTCCTTCATTAGACATCACCTTTCCTTTCTTCCTTTTATTCTTTCTTCCTTCCATTTATCCATCCATTCAAAAACTGTTAATTAAGTACCTACTGTGGCAGGTTTATTAAATATGGCAGAAAGTAAGACATCTCTAAATGAGGCTGCTTGAAAGCAACAGCAATTAAGAAGGATTGTCTGCTCTTTGGAGTTCTATATAACAGCTTGAAATAATGGGAATTTTCCCAAGCAGTTCTATAGAGCACCCAAATTGGGCTCGGTGAAGAAGAGAAAGGACAGCATTGTAGCACAGGAACTGACTCAACCAATTCGCCTCACCAGCATGCAACAGATTTCAGCGGCTCGTCCCTCTCTCCCCTTCCTCCATTCTGCAATAGACCTCTAGCTTGCTTACCACTACTTCTACCCCAGCCTCTAATCGTTTGCAATGATTCTAATATGTAAGTCAGCAGCACCTAAAACACAGTCCATGCTCCTGGTAACCTTTCTGCCAAAGAGTCTGAGCAATGGTCTTTGATCAAAAACATGACCTAAGCAGGCCAGGCGCGGTGGCTCATGCCTGTAATCCCGGCGCTTTGGGAGGCGGAAGCGGGCAGATCACCTGAGGTCAGGAGTTCGGGACTAGCCTGACCGACATGGAGAAACCCCATCTCTACTACAAAAAAAAAAAAAATACAAAATGAGCCGGGCGTGGTGGTGCATGACCGTAATCCCAGCTACTTGGGAGGCTGAGGCAGGAGAATCGCTTGAACCCAGCGGGCGGAGGTTGCGGTGAGCCGAGATCGTGCCATTGCACCCCAGCCTGGGCAACGAGCGAAACTCCATCTCAAAAAAAAAAAAAAAAAAAAAAAAAAACATGACCTAAGCAGTGTAGAGTAAGACCAAGCTAAAGCCCCCTTCCCCTTTAGAGAAGAGATGCACCTTTTCTCTCCCAATAATGGGCCCCCACCCCAGTAGAATCTAGATTTCAAGATTTGGAGCCCAGCTTTTAACCAGAAGCTCTGCTGCCTCCCTGGAACAACATGGTTTTGGTTTTTCCTAAAGAAGGTCTGGAATGGTCTGCTCAGCCTCGTGCTTTAGAGACCAATGGACAATACAACATCATGCAGAAACTGCTTCTTGAGGGGACAGGGAGGAGTAACCAATGTATAATACTTTTAGTGGTGACTAACTCTGAAATTTAGAAAATGAGCCTGGAACTACAGTTATCTTGTCAGCAGTCTTTTTTTTTTTAATTATAAATTTTTGTTTGTTTGTTTTGAGATGGAGTCTTGCTCTGTTGCCAGGCTGGAGTGCAGTGGCATGGTCTCCGCTCACCGCAACCTCCCCCTCCTGGGTTCAAGCGATTCTCCTGCCTCAGCCTCCCAAGTAGCTGGGATTATAGGCACGCGCCACCAAGCCCGGCTGATTTTTGTATTTTTAGTAGAGATGGGGTTTCACCATGTTTGCCAGGCTGGTCTTGAACTCCTGACCTCGTGATCCACCCGACTTGGCCTCCCGAAGTCCTAGGATTACAGGCATAAGCCACCGCGCCCGGCCTTTTTTTTTTTTTAATTTTGTTTTTGTTGTTGTTGTCAGCAGTCTTAAATACATGCTTTTTCCAAATTAACTCCTCTTCCCAGACACAATGTTCTAATAATCACTTTGATTACATAAATTAGAAACAAAAAAGGTTCAGATGATGTTAGATTCTTTTTTAATAAGCCAAAACAACGAATCCTAGTAAGAAATAGGAAAAAACAGTATATTGTTAGCCTGACAATGATTAACTGAAAACACAATTCAGAACCATGACATTTTTTTCTAATACAAAGAAAGAAAATCCAGCATTACTATAGAAGCCATTTACAAATCCATGATTCAAACAGAAAAAAAGTAGTAGATCTAGGGCAAAGGTATAGGGGGTGACGTGCTTATGTTCACTTAACTAACTGCAAAGTCAGAGGAATGCCGGATGTAATCAGTGAGTCAGGATGGCTCACAGAAAGGCAGGGGCCTGCAAGGTATAACCTTGATATCAGTCAGGTGAGTCTGTCTTAGAACACAACTAATGTGCACAGCCAGCCCTCCAACAATGGGCTTCTAGAAAGGGAAATGGAGATTTTTGTGATCTATCTTACATTGGGATGTGGTTTGAAATGATAAGTGTGAAGTAAAGAGAAGCCAAAAAAAAAAAAAAAAAAAAAAGCACACTCTCACCTTGTGGAAAAAGACTATTCAAATCAATATTCAACCAAAAAAAAACAAAACAAAACAAAACAAAAATCTATTTGGCCAACTAAATCCAATAAGAATACAACTTAAGAAAAATGATTCCGGCCGAGCGTGGTGGCTCATGCCTGTAACACTTTGGGAGGCCGAGGCGGGTGAATCACTTGAGGTCAGGGGTTCGAGACCAGCCTGGCCAACATGGCAAAACCCTGTCTCTACTATAAATACAAAAAATTAGCTGGGCGTGGTGGTGCATGCCTGTAATCCCAGCTACTTGGGAGGCTGAGGCAGGAGAATTGCTTGAACCCAGGAGGTGGAGGCTGCAGTGAGCTGAGATTGTGCCACTGCATTCCAGTCTGGGTGACAGAGTAAGACTCTGTCTGAAAAAAAAAAAGAAAAGAAAAAAGAAAAATGATTCCATCAGTGAAACTTTCCTTGATAGTTCTTTTTTTTTTTTTTTTTTTTGAGACAGAGTCTCGCTCTGTTGCCCAGGCTGGAGTGCAGTGGCGCGATCTCGGCTCACTGCAACCTCCGCCCACTGCAACCTCCGCCTCCCAGGTTCACGCCATTCTCCTGCCTCAGCCTCCCGAGTAGCTGGGACTACAGGCACCCGCCACCTTTTTTTTGTATTTTTAGTAGAGACGGAGTTTCACTGTGTTAGCCAGGATGGTCTCGATCTCCTGACCTCCTGATCCGCCCACCTCGGCCTCCCAAACCTTGACAGTTCTAACAGCAAGGGTATACTATGGCTCTAGAAACTGAACCAAAAGCTTTTTTTTTAAAACAATATGGAAAATATATAATTAGAAGTGCTAAGTAAATCTAAAGAAATGGGCTTCACACTAATAACAGGCCCAGATAAAATTCCCTTTCCTTTTAGACAGGCTAGTGAAAGGTATATTCTAATACATCGAGAATCAGAATCAGATTTGAATCCTCAAGCTCAAAAATCCATTCCCAGAGGGTATCCTACTCATTGCTAAGGGTTATGAGCAGGCTGGCTGCAGGGTAGATTTCATAAGACTCACACTAAGCCTATTCTGCTTTCCTGCAGACTCCTCACCTAACTCGGTATGTAATCAGCCAGTCACACACACATGCATGGTCTAGCCCTTGACTATCTTTTGTCCTTGCAGGCATGCTCTTCCCCTTGGTCTCTACAATTCACTAACACCAGCCTTCCATCAGTGTCTCAAGTATACCAAGCTCTTTGCTGCTTCTAAGCCTTTGTACGTGATGTTTTCCTTACTTGGAAGAGTTTCCTTCAAATCTTAGCTTACGCTTACACTTCCTCAGTGGAAATCTTCCCAGCCTAGGTTAGATGTTATGTGCTCTTGGTACCCGCCACTTCTCTTTTGAGACCCTTCATTCAATTCTAAGTACATTTCTGAACAGTCATTTAGTGTCTGACTTCCTTACTGGACTGCAAGTTTCATGACGGTCTGCCCTGTCCCCTGCTGTATTCCCAGCACCCTAGCTTAGTATGTGTGGCACACAAGTATGCAATATGTAGGTTTTGTTTGTTTAATTTTTTTTGAGATGGAGTTTAGCTCTTGTCACCCAGGCTGGAGTGCAATGGCACGATTTCGGCTCACTGCAACCTCCGGCTCCTGGGTTCAAGCAATTTTCCTGCCTCAGCCTCCCGAGTAGCTGGGATTACAGGCACCCGCCACCACGCCCAGCTAATTTTTTTTAAATATTTTTAGTAGAGACGGGGTTTCACCATGTTGACCAGGCTGGTCTCAAACTCCTCACCTCAGGTGATCCACCAAACTCAGCCTCCCAAAGTGCTGGGATTACAGGCTCAGTGAGCCACCGCACCCGGCCAATATGTAGTGTTTAAAAAAATAAATTTAAAAATTATAAATTAGGTATGTAAAAGACATACATACTTAAAAGTGGCTGGAAGCAAAGCTTTAACATGCTACCTGATAAGGGATGAAGAATGAATCCTGTGCTAAAATGGAGCATTCAAAATAGATGGATCCTATGCAACCAGTTGAGGACTTTCCCCAACAACAGTAGCAGAAACAAGGGCTGAGCTTTGGAGAGTGAGAGCCAGAAAATCTAGTATTCACCTCAGATGCAAAACACCAGGCTAGATGTTCCCAAATTAAGATTGTAACAGGTAGAAAGGACCCTGCCCTTCTGATAGTGAAGTCTATGCAGGTGACAGAGTAGAAATGGTGCAACTTTCTTGTTCTCTACTTTGGAGAGAATTCTCATTAACAAACTAACTTCTTTATCTAGGTTCTCCTATGTACAATATCCATTCTTATTTCTCACAAGGATATGGAAGGAAAACAACTGGTATTTCGCTTCTCCCTTCCCTCCATTCAAGCTTGCCTCATGTCTACAACTCACCTGAACAGCTCCTCCTAGCATGACAGCCACCAGCCCCATGGACATGCTCAGCGTCTGTGATTCCACGGTGCTCTCTGCCTGATGGGCCAGGCTTGCACAGGCTCTCTGCAATGTTGCTGCTACAAAGTCCACCACCTACCCAAAAAAGGGAATTGAGAATCAATGAGGAATGAAAAAAAAAAATCATAATTCTCCTTACATCTTATGTCTACATCCTCATCTTCTTCATCTACATCATGATAGCAAGAACCATCCAGAACAACTGCTACTTACCATGCAGATGTGATGTTCAGTGTTTTTTTTTTAAACATTTACCGGTTTATTATAAAGGTTATTACAAAGGACACAGATGAACAGACAGATGGATAGGACAAGCGGGTGGGGGTGTAGCTTCCATGCCCTCTCTGGGCTAGCCCCACTCCCAGCATCTCCACATGTTCAGCAAGCGGGAAGCTCCCAAGTGTTTCACATGTACAATCTCATTTAGTTCTCATATCAACTCTATGAGGTCAGTACTATTATCCTCATTGTGAAATGAAGAATCTGAGACTTTAAAAGGTTGTTTGTTTAAGGCCATACACTTAATAAATGAGAAAGCCTATTCATACTTTTCCAAATGTTTTAATATGCTACTCCAACTTCCTTAACTTTTCATGAATTTTGCCTGAAAATTAAAAAGCAAAATGACTTGTAAATTAACTTAAAATGGATCACGGACTGCAATGCAAAATACAAAATTATAAACTCCTCGAAGATAACATGAAAAATCTAGATGATCTTGGGTATGGTGATGACTTTTCAGATACAACACCAAAGGCACAATCCGTGAAAGAAAGTAATGATAAGCTGGACTTCACTGAAGTTAAAAATTCCTGCTCTGCGAAAGACACTGTCAAGAGAATACAAAGAGAAGCCACAGACTGGGAGAAAATATTCATCCACAACAGTCTGACAAGAGACTGTTTTCCAAAATTTACAGAGAACTCTTAAAGCTCAATAATAAGAAAACCTGGGTTGAGCACGGTGGCTCACGCCTGTAATCCCAGCACTTTGGGAGGCTGAGGTGGGTAGATCACTTGAGGTTAGGAGTCGAGACCAGCCTGGCCAACATGGTGAACCCTGTCTCTACCAAAAAATTATCTGGGCATGGTGGCACACCTGTGGTCTCAGCTACTCGGGAGGCTGAGGTGGAAGAATCGCTTGAACCAGGAAGTGGAGGTTGCAGTGAGCTGAGATAGCACCACTACACTCCAGCCTGGGCAACGGAGTGAGATCCTATCTCAAAAAAAAAAAAAAAAAATTAGCCAGGCATAGTGGCAAGTGCCTATAGTCCCAGCTACTCAGGAGACTGAGGTGGGAGGACTGCTTGAGCCCAGGAGGTCAAGGCTGCAGTAAGCCATGATGGTGTCACTGCACTCCAGCCTGTGTGACAGAGAGAGATCCTATCTTGAAAAGAAAAGAGCCCAATTAAAAATGAGCAAAAGTCCTGAACCGACATCTCACCAAAGAAAATATACAGACGGCAAAAAAGCATATGAAAAGATGCTCCACATCCTATGTCACTGGAGAACTGGAAATGAAAGCACTGGTGATATACTGTTACACACCTAATAGAATGGCCAAAATCCAGAGAACTGATTTCACCAGGAATGCTGGTGAGGATGGAGATCAACAGGAGCTCTCTCATTCATTCATTGCTGCTGGGAATGCAAAATGGTACAGCCACTTAGGCAGACAGTTTGGCAGTTTCTTACAAAACTAAACATACTTTCACCATACAGTCTAGCCATTGCTTGCCTTGATATTTATCCAAATGAGTTGAAAACTTATGTCCACACAAAAACCTGCACATGGTTGTTTATAGCAGCTCTAGTCATAATTGTTAAAACTTGGAAGTAACCAAGATGTCCTTCAGTAGGTGAATGCATCAATAAACTGTGATACATCCAAACAATGGAAAAACAGCACCAAAAAATGGGCAATCAAGCTATGAAAAGACATGGAGGAAACTCGAATGCATATTACTAAGGGAAAGAAGCCAAGCTGAAAAGGCCACATGCTGTATGATTTCACCCATATTACATTTTGGAAAAGGCAAAACTATGGAGACAGTAAAAAGATCAAGGGTTGCCGGGGTGAGGAGAGAGGGAGAACAGAACAGGTGGAGCATAGAGGATTTTTAGGGTGGTGAAACTATTCTGTATGATACCATCATGGTAGATACAGGGCATTGCAAATTTGTCCAAATCCATAGGCTGTACAACACCAAGAGTGAGCCCTAGTGTAAACTATGGACGTTGGGTGGTGATGTGTCAATGTAGACTGATCAGCTGCAAAAAATGCATCACTCTGGTGGGAGATGGTGACAATGGAGGAGGCTATGTTGTGTGAGTGCAGGGAGTGTAAGGGAAATCTCTGTCTCTTCTGTTCAATTTTGTTGTGAATCTAAAACTGCTCTAAAAAAAAACTCTTTATAAAAAATGACCTGTTACTTTCTGACTATGTCAGAGGGTCCTGGATCTGCTTCTCAAAAGGAGGTTTCCTCCTCAGGGATTCCTGCCCTGACTCACTCCCGACATTTTGACAGTCTAATTCTAGTAAGTAAAGAATGGAGGGGTAGTGTTCAGTTTCATCTAGAAGCCAGTGTCTTCGAGCCATCTGTGCAAATGATTGACAGTAGTGATCCCCAACCCTTTTGGCACCAGGGACCGGTTTCATGGAAGACAATTTTTCCACACACTGGGGTTGGCAGGGGCGGGAGGGGGAGAGGGGCGGGGAATGGTTTCAGGATGAAACTGTTCCACCTCAGATCATCAGGTGTTAGTTAGATTCTCATAAGGACTGCGCAACCTAGATCCCTCGCATGCACGGTTCACAACAGGGTTTGTGCTCCTATGAGAATCTAATGCTGCTGCTGATCTGACAGGAGGCGGCGCTCAGGTGGTAAAGCTCACTTGGGCGCTGCTCACCTCCAGTTATGCGGCCTGGTTCCTAACAGGCCACAGAACAGTACCAGTCCGTGGCCTGGGGGTTGGAGACCCCTGATCTAGAGTCTTTTTTTAAGTATTAAATATTTGAAAGGATTAAGACTGTTCCTAGACAAGATTTTATATAGCATTTGGCTAACAACTAAGCTTTAAATAGAATTAATTTGGTCAGCATCATTTTCAATGCATTTGGATTAATCAACTTAAGTAAAAACACCTTTGAATAAATGACAGCACACAAATACACATGCATGCACACACACATGCATACTTAGGATTAATGACTCAAAAGAGAGAAATCATTTTAGAAATGGAAAGGCTGAGAAGGTCATAATAAGCCTCCAAATAACATGCAAGCTTGCATGTTTAATTCTCTGGACAAATCACATGCTGTGCTAGAATCTTTATTGCAAGCTTAAAGTCAGGAGAATGGCTTGTTAACACTTGTCTTCTGAAGCAACGCAGGAAACTAGAAAGGTTATTAAAAGTTCCACTTACTGAAATGAACAATGCTGTTTAAGGCAGTTTTCACCACCTCCTCCATCCCTAAGATTTTATTCATACTAGAAGATAAGGACACTAGCGCTTTCTAGAGAAACTAGGTAGAAACTGTTTCTACTATCTTGGGCCAACTATGTTGCCTCCAGGGAGTCTTCTAAAGCACTCCTTAGCTGGGCACAGTGGCTAACGCCTGTAACCTAATACTTTGGGAGGCCAAGGCAGGAGATCACTTTAGGCCAGGAGTTCAAGACTAGCCTGGCAACAAAGTGAGACCCTGTCTCTAGAAAAAATTAAAAAATTAGCCAGGCACAGTGGCACACATCTGTAGTCCTGGCTACCCAGGAAGCTGAGGTGGGAGGATTGCATGAGCCAAGGAGTTCAAGTTTGCAGTGAGCTGTGATTTAGCCATTGCACTCCAGCCTGGGCAACAAAGAGTGAGACCCTGTCTCTAACAACAGTAACAAAAAATATATAAAGCATTCCTAAATTACTCAACTAGGACTATTTAGCCTTCCAACTTTTTCTAAATTCCTCTCCACTTTTTTTTTTTTTTTTTTTGAGACAGAGTTTAGCTCTGTCGCCCAGGCTGGAGTGCAGTGGTGTGATCTTGGCTCACTGTGACCTCCACCTCCCGGGTTCAAGCAATACTCCTGCCTCAGCCTCCCGAGTAGCCTCCCAAAGTGCTGGGATAACAAGCATAAGCCACTGCGCCCATCCTCCACTATCTATATGTGTGTGTGTGTGTGTGTGTGTGTGTGTGTGTGTGTGTGTGTAGATATCAAAACAAGTAGTATGATCCTATTACTAAAATAGACACTTTCTATGTTTGTATGTATGTTTAAAAAAAAAAAAACCCAGGGAACTGTTAACTGTAAAGAGATAGCCAACAATCATTGCCATCTATGAAGTAGCCTTTCTGCCAAACATTCTTTGTGTTAACCCCAAAACCCCCTACCCATTTGGACAGCAGCTCCTCCCCCTACTATACATTTCCTGTGATTTTGGTGGGGCTTCCAGCCACAAGAATAGGTGTGTGACTGAAGCCTGTTCTAAAATTTATATATGTTGTGGACAGTGGGGACAGACCTTTACTTTTTACTTAAAACTTCTTATAAATGTACATAATTTTAAAAGCCAAATATTCCTGAAAGCTTATAGTGAAAAATAGCAGTGCCCGACATCATTTCTTCCCATCTGATTCAGGCTCTACAGAAGCAACCACTTTTAGTTTGGTTTAATAATAAACTGTTTAGTTTGTTAATAACATTAAGTCCAGGCGCGGTGGGTCATGCCTGTAATCCCAGCACTTTGGGAGGCCAAGGCAGGCAGATCACCTGAGGTCGGGAGTTTGAGACCAGCCTGACCAGCATGGAGAAACACCATCTCTACTAAAAATACAAAAATTAGCCGGGCATGGTTGCAGGCACCTGTAATCCCAGCTACTCTGGAGGCTGAGGCAGGAAAATCGCTTGAACCAGGGAGGCAGAGGTTGCGGTAAGCCGAGATCACGCCATTGCACTGCAGCCTGGGCAACAAGAGCAAAACTCTGTCTCAAAAATAATAATAATATTAAACATTCACTATTTACCAAGCACAATTCTGAACATGTTACAGGTATTAACACATTTAATCCTCACAGTAGTCCTATGGGGGCGTCTAAACCTGCTGCCAAGACTCTGACACCTGAGTGGAAGGGGTGGAGGCCTCATTGTTGAGGATGCAGACTTCAATTTATACCTCCTATTTTTCAGTTCTCCTCTCCCACCCAGTTCAGAGTCCCTTGGGCTCAACATCTCTTAAGAGTAAACCTCCAGTCTTTCGCTGGGAAGTGGAGGTGGTTGTACAAAGGGAAGAAACGAATGAAGGGATTTACTGAATCCTATACAGCCTTTCAAACTGTTTTAAGCTCTAAATTCAACTCCATTTTTAGAGCTTATCTGGTGCTTCCTGTCCATCCAGGGTTCTGCAGTAAAAAGGAGCCTGCTCCTTTTTTTCTTATTTTTCTTTTCAAAAAAAAAATTTAGGCTGGGCACAGTGGCTTACGTCTCTAATCCCAGCACTTTGGGAGGCCAAGGTGGGTGGATCACCTGAGGTCAGGAGTTTGAGACCAGCCTGGCCAACATGGTGAAACCCCATCTCTACTAAAAATACAAAAATTAGCCAGGCATGGTGTCAGGTGCCTATAATCCTAGCTACTCGGGAGGCTGAGGCACAAGAATCGCTTCAACCCGGGAGGCAGAGGTTGCAGTAAGCCGAGATTGCGCTGCTGCACTCCAGCCTGGGCGACAGAGTGAGACTCTGTCTCAAAAAAAAAAAAAAAAAAAAAATTAATAATTTTATTGAGGTATAGTAGTGTGCTTCTTGGCTTCTCCACATGCAGACATCTAGATTTCCAGTTTCTCAAGTTGCTAGATCAGCTACTAGGGCCCAGACTGGCCTGGGCAATACAGTGAGACCCCATCTCTACAAAAAAAACAAAAACAAAAACAAAAAAAACAATTAGCTGGGCATGGTGGTGCATGCCTGTAGTCCCAGCTATTTGAGAGGCTAAGGTGGGAGGATTGCTTGAACCCATTGGGTGGAAGGCTGCAGTGAGCTATGATCTCGCCACTGAACTTTGCAACATTTGTTATTACCCTGTTTTTTTTTTTTTTTTTTGAGTCTCACTCTGTCACTCAGGCTGGAGTGCAGTGGCGCAATCTCGGCTCACTGCAACCTCCGCCTCCCGGGTTCAAGTGTTTTTCATGCCTCAGCCTTCCGAATAGCTGGGATTACAGGCGCTTGCCACCACACCCTGCTAATTTTTTTTTTTTTTTTTTTGAGAGATGGGGTCTTGCTATGTTGATCAGGCTGGTCTCGAACACCTGGGCTCAAATGCTCCGCTCACCTCGGCCTCCCAAAGTGCTGGGATTACAGGCGTGAGCCACCACACCTGGTCGGCTATTACCTTTTAGGTCTCTTCTCTCCTGCTCTGTTGGTCCCTGTGGCTTCCAGAGGGAGCAGATAAACGTGTTCAGTACACTGTCTTTCACCAGAAGTCCCTATTTTTTACATTATGAACTTCCCTGTTGTTTAAATGTTTTTTGTTTTTTGAGACGGAGTTTTGCTCTTGTTACCCAGCCTGAAGCGCAGTGCAGTGGTGCGATCTCGGCTCACTGCAACCTCCACCTCCCAAGTTCACGCAATTCTCCTGCTTCAGCCTCCCAGTAGTTGGGATTATAGGCACGTGCCACAATGCCTGGCTAATTTTTTGTATTTTTAGTAGAGATGGGATTTCACCATGTTGGCCAGGCTGGTCTCAAACTCCTGGCCTCAAGTGATCTGCCCACCTCAGCCTCCCAAAGTGCTGGGATTCCAGGCGTGAGCCACTGCACCCGGTCTAGTTTTTGTATTTTCAGTAGAGGTGAGGTTTTGCCATGTTGCCCAGGCTGGTCTCGAACTCGTGGGCTCAGGCAATCCTCCTGCTTCAGACTCCCAAAGTGCTAAGATTACAGGCGTGAGCCATAGCACCCTGCCAAGACGTAATTTTCTAGTTTTCTTTTTGAATTTTTAGCTATGATTCTCCTATAAAGAAAGATTTTCCTTCGTATACCATTTGGTTACCCTGACATACAATTCTTACAGGAAACACAAGACAAATGCTTTATTCTTTCCCTTTACTTAACAAGGTACCAAATAATGAGTTGATGCCCTGGCAATCCCAAAGATGTCCTATGAGGGTTTTTTTCTTTGACTCAGATTTTTATATCTTTGATGTACTTCAACCATTGCAGGCATTATTCCTTTTAATGATCTAATTGTCCTATCTATGGCAATGGGAGTCCCTTCAAGTTGGCTCCAGTGTGCTACAGATATGATCCCATTCATCTCAGGTCGCTTCCTTGTATTTAAGCACAACAAGATGCCTTGAGGCTTATAAATGTATGATTCCTGCCTGCCTCAGACTTCGAATCAACCTTATTCCATATAAAGCTTAGAATTCTTTTAGTAGAAAATGGTATTTAGAAACTATAAATTGGGCTGGGCACAGTGGCTCATGCCTGTAATCCCAGCACTTTGGGCCGAGACAGGTGGATTGCTTGAGGTCAGGAGTTCAAGACCAACCTGGCCAACATGGCGAAACCCCGTCTCTACTAAAAATAGAAAAATTAGCCAGGCGTGGTGGCATGTGCCTGTAATCCCAGCTACTTGGGAGGCTGAGGCAGGAGAATCACTTGAACCCGGGAGGTGGAGGTTGCAGTGAGCCGAGATCGCACCACTGCACTCCAGCCTGGGCCGACAGAGTCACATTCAGTCTCAAAAAAAAAAAAAAAAAAGAAACTATAAATTGTCACTAAGAATGCTTATTGCTACTGGGTTGTCATTGCTTCTTGGGATTGACAATGGACTGAGCTGGAAATATCTATTTTTTAAAAAGAGAAAAATAAATTGTGAGTTCATACTAATATTTCCAACTGAAATTCAATATTACAGGGTTTTAAGCTGGGCACGGTGGTGTGCACCTGTTGTCTCAGCTACTTGGGAGGCTGAGGTGGGAGAATCACTTGAGCCCAGGAATTCAAGTCCAGCCTGGGCTGATAGTGAGACTCTGTCTCTTAAAATAAAATAAAATAAATTATAGGGTCTTTACTCTGGTTCTTTACTTTATACCTCTTTTTTATGCTAAAAATCTTGATCCCTAATAATATTCACAAAATTACATTAACTTATTTTCTTTATCTATATGTGTGTGTTTCAAAACAATATACCAATAATGGCTGGGCACGGTAGCTCACGCCTGTAATCCCAGCACTATGGGAGGCCAAGGTGGGTGGATCACCTGAGGTCAGGAGTTCAAGATCAGCCTGGCCAACATGGTGAAACCCCATCTCTACTAAAAATACAAAAACTAGCTGGGCACAATGGTGCACACCTGTAATCCCAGCTCCTTGGGAGGCCGAGGCAGGAGAATTGCTTGAACCCAGGAGGTGGAGGTTGCAGTGAGCCGAGACTGCGCCACTGCACTCCAGCCTGGGCGACAGAGACAGACTCCATCTCAAAAAATAATAATAAAACAAAACAATATACCAATATTATCACGAGCAGTGACATTACCAAATGCAATTTAATATTTCCTTGTGGTTCTTTTTGCCCTGATACATTTTAACCTTAGCTGAAGGATAATTTAATGGGACAAATCATTTTTCTACCAGCCTGACACCATTGTTCCTTAATTAGGAGTAAAGGGAGCTAAGTGCAAAAGCTCAAGTCATATCAATTTTTAGACCATTTCCCCTTCCAACTAGCATCCTGAGACAAAAACATAAGGTCTGGATGAAGAAGTGTCCAGAGAATGGATATAAACACAGGAGAAACAAATCACCCTACTGAGTAACACGGGGTCAGTGAACTGAAAGAATAAGAGGCCAGGAAAGAAATCATGAGCATAATTCTCATTAAACAGGCACGGTAAGTCAGAGCTGACAGGCAGCTGCAAATTTTCTCAGCAGGAGCTATAGTGAAATGCTGCTTAGCAACACCCGAAGGCAGATGACAATGACGACCATACAAAGAGCTGGAGAATCAGATTTAAGCGTGACAATCATGCCATCTTACAACTGCCTATTGACCAACCAAGCTACAACTAATTCTGGTTAAGTGGTAAAATCTGGCAACTGTACTGCCTTTGCTTTATTACTTTTATTTCCTATCTTTTTTAAAGGTGGGAAAAATAATGTCTGAGCCAATACAATTCAGACACTGACTCGCATAGTGATACTCCTCTAAAAGCATTTTTTAAAACATCTTAAAACTTAAGAGAATGTTGTGGAGATAAGCTGTGAGTTACAGGACCCATAATGAAATTCAAGGTGATCTCATTATTATTAGTGATTTCTTCAAGTTGAGTGTATAATCATTTTCAAGTTTTGATACACCTTAGATCATCCATGGAGCTTGAGTAGGACGAAGATGCCCGGGCTCTAATGCAGACATGCTGAATCAGAATCTCTAAACGTGGGCTGGCTATCAATATATTGAAAAAGATCCCAGATAACTTGTTTTGCACCCAAAGTTGAAAACTACTATAACATAATATATAAACATTTAAGACAAAATTTTACTTGCATGAGAATCACCTCGGGAGCTTGTTAAACGTGTGGAGTCTCAGGACACTGGAACGTTTTGGATTCAGTGGCCTGGTGTGGGCTGTGTAGTTTCCATATTTAACCAGCATTCCAGGAAACACCTCATGATCCAGGTGTCATCAAATCACACTCTCAGCAACATTTTTAAACTTTATTTTTTGGAAAGAAAAAAAGGCTGCGGTCCAGAATGTGGCAACTACTGACCTGAGTGACGTTTGTGAATATCTGCTCAGACATTCTCTCGCACAGAACAGCCATCAGCTGCAGGACAAGCAGCTTCCGCTCTTGGCCTTCCACAAGAAGAGTCTGATGTTGCTCTAATTCCAAGAGGCTCTTGCTGGAGAAGGGCTCAGTTTTTAACTCTGTTTCATTTTCCGAGGCCACATGAGTCAACTCCTACAAGCATGGCAGGAAAGAAAAAGTGAAGATAAAGCCAGTACAACTAAGGCCTTCTCAAACATAAGCAGAAAACTCTGTTTGAACTGCATGTTTAAATAAATAGTCTGTGTTTGTTGCAACATTATTTATAATAGCCAAAACTTGGAGACAAGCTAAATGTCCAGCAATAAGAAAAAATTATGATGTATTTATTGTATCACAGCAGTTAAAATAAATGAATTAGATTTATATGGGTATCAATATAGATAGATCTCAAAAACACTACTGAGTGAAAAATCTAAGTTGCAGAATAATATGTACAGTATGATACCATGTATATAAAAATCTAAAATCTCATAATAAAACACACACACACAAAGAAATGGTTTGACAAGCTTTCTGCTTTGTGGGTATTTTTATGATTTCTACTAGTAGCCTTCCTTGAACTGAGACCTCAGATCACCTCACATTCTCAAACCCCTTTTGGAGACCATGAGATGCCTCCAGCACTACAGCTCTTTTCCTCTAAGATACTTAGAACTAACTTCTAAGAAATCATGTATTACTGTGGGTTTTGTAGGCTATTCACCTACCCTTTTTGGCTCACTGAAACCTCTGCCTCCTGGGCTCAAGTGATCCTCTCACCTTAGCCTCCCAAGTAGCTGGGACTACAGGCACAAGCCACCATGCCAGGCTGATTTTTTTTTTGTATTTTTGGTAGAGATGGGGTTTCGCCATGTTGCCCAGGCTGGTCTCAAATGCCTGAGCTCAGGTGATCCACCTGGCTCGGCCTCCCAAAGTGCTGGGATTACAGGCGTGAGCCACCTTTTTTTAAGTATACAATTAAGAGCACATCCCCTTGGAACGTGATTTAGAAAGAGTATTGCTGGGCACGGGGACGGGTGTGAACATGGGAGGTAAGAAAGCATCAAAAAGTGGTGTCCCCTATTTCAAGTTCTCGAAATGTTAGCCCTGATTCCCTCCTTGAATTCTCCCATACCCACAGAAACCTTAAACTCTCTTAGAGTTCTTTTAGAGTAGACACTTTACTTAGGGGAAGAAGTTGAGAAAGCAGAGCTGGAGGTCACTGGCTTATGATGTCATACAGTGCAACAAGGAGTAACATTATGGGGTACAAGTTACTCTCAGAGAACAGAAGAAAAGCAAGCAAAGCACAACCACTGGCACTAAGAAACAAACCCGGAAAAGGCTTCAAGTGCCTGCAAAATGAAATGAAGGAGGCAGAATTGCTAAATCTCCTTTGCAAATACCTGACAAAACAACAGTCAGAAAGGATAAGGGATTACTCTATAGCTGTAAAACCTGCTATTAACTTCAAAAGAGTTCTTACTGTCAACACAGAGCAAAGATTAACCCTTTCATGGATCGAGGGTTTTGCTTTGTTCATCTCTAAACTGTCAGTGCCGATTACTTGGAGAAGTAGTAGATAACATGAGTACTAGTGAAGAGAAGTTTCTTCCTTTTACCAATCCAAAGGCTACTAAAAAATAAATTCCTTTATGTCCTCTGACCATTTTCCTTAAATTAGGGCCTACATTTTAGGACCTAAAATTATAAATGCTTTGAAAATTCTAAGGGTTTCCTGGAACTCCCCTGGAACAACACTGACCAGGAACTACAGGTAGTTCTTACTTTCAAACAGAAGATGAAGAAGTCTCCTGCCAAACCGCATTCCTGGCAGTGGGACAGCAAGTCCCCGAGATGCTCCACCCGGCCCTGCTCAGAGGATACCTTCTGGTACAGGGCTTCATCTTCATCTTCATCACTGCAATGCAGGGTAAAATTTATCTTGGTAGTGTCACCAGAGATACACATAATTTTAAACCCCATAACAATCTTCTAAAGTAACATGTTATGTCCAAACAGTTAACCATTAAAAAGATCCCCCAAATTTATTTAACTTATTTTATTGTTTCTCCATTCTGAAAAAAGTATTGATTATCAGAAACTAGGCTGTTATGGGCCAGGCGCGGTGGCTCACGCCTGTAATCGCAGCACTTCGGGAGGCCAAGGCGGGAGGATAATGAGGTCAGGAGACAAAAACCATCCTGGCTAACACAATGAAGCCCTATCTCTACTAAAAATACAAAAAAAAAAAAAAAAAAAAATCAAGGTCTGGGTGAGGTGGCTCACACCTGTAATCCCAGCACTTTGGGAAGCCGAGGCGGGTGGATCACCTGAGGTCAGGAGTTTGAGACTAGCCTGGCCAACATGGTGAAACCCCGTCTCTACTAAAAAATACAAAAATTAGCTGGGCGTAGTGGCTCATGCCTATAATCCCAGCTACTTGGGAGGCTAAGGCAGGAGAATCGCTTGAACCCAGGAGGCGGAGGGTGCAGTGAGCCGAGATTGTGCCATTGCACTCCAGCCTGGGTAACAAGAGTGAAATTCTGTCTCAAAAAAAAAAAAAAAAAAGAAGAAGAAACTAGGCGGTTATGTCCTGCATGGTCATGAAGATGGATATTAGCTGGGCACAGTGGTGCACACCTGTAGTGCACTAGGAGGCTGAGGCAGGGAGACTGCTTGAGCCCAGGAGTTTGAGGTTGTAGTACATTATGGTCACAACTATGAATAGCCACTGAACTCAAGTAACATAGACAACATGGCAAGATCTCATTTCTACAAAAAAAAAAAAGATGGATGTTGGAGAATTACTATTACTTCTGCAAAAGCAAGGAGGAATTAAAGTATAAGTCATATGCAGATATTCTGGGTCCTGAGGAAAAACAAAGAAAGAGAAGGCTGCAAAGTAAGGCTAGATCACAGAAGGCCTTGGATGTCATTCAAAGGAACTTTGACTTTTTTCTGATGAGCCACTGAAGGGTTATGGGCAGCAGAAAAAGATGTGATCATCATGGGAGGACATGCAGTCTCAACTGAAAGGAACCAATTAGCCGAGATAAGAAAATGCATAAAGGTTCAGAAAAATGAGTAGGTTGAACATGATTACCAAGTTATAAAATCTGGCTAAATCAGTGCTATGGTTACTGCGAAAATTTCTATAATTATTTATTTATTTATTTATTTGAGATAGAATCTCGCTCCTGTTGCCCAGGCTGGAATGCAATGGCGCGATCTTGGCTCACTGCAACCTCCGCCTCCTGGGTTCAAGCGATTCTCCTGCCTCAGCCTCCTGAGTAGCTGGGATTACAGGCGCCCACCACCATGCCCAGCTAATTTTTTGTATTTTTAGTAGAGACAGGGTTTCACTATGTTGGCCAGGCTGGTCTCGAACTTCTGACCTCGTGATCTGCCCACCTCGGCCTCCCAAAGTGCTGGCATTACAGGTGAGCCACTGTGCTCGGCCATTTTTTGTTTTGTTCTTTTTTAATTTTTGAGACAGGGTCTCACTCATTGCCTAGGCTGGAGTGCAGTGGTGCGATCGTGGCTCACTGCAGCCTCAACCTCCCAGTCTGAGGCAATCCTCCCACTTCAGCCTCCTAAGTAGCTGGGACTACAGAGGGGCACCATCACAACCAACTAATTTTTGTATTTTTTTGTAGAAACCGGGTTTTGCCACATTGCCCAGGCTGGGCAAGAAATTTTTGTACTTTCCCATGAGGTACTATGGCTTTTAGTTTTTAATTATTCTGACAAGAGACAAAGATACTATGTATACATATATATACACCTGTGTGTGTACTTACTATTTTTTTAACTTTTTTTTTTTTTTGAGACAGAGTTTCGCTCGTCACCTAGGCTGGAGTGCAATGGCGCAATCTCGGCTCACTGCAACCTCCACCTCCTGGGTTCAAGTGATTCTCCTGCCTCAGCCTCCTGAGTAGCTGGGATTACAGGTGCCCGCCACCACGCCTGGCTAATTTTTGTATTTTTAGTAGAGACAGGGTTTCACCATGTTGGCCAGGCTGGTCTCAAACTCCTGACCTCGTGATCCACCCACCTCAGCCTCTTCCAAAGTGCTGTGATTACAGGCGTGAGCCACTGCGCCCAGCCCCAATTTTATTTTATTTTTTTTTGAGACACAGTTCCACTCTTGTTGCCCAGACTGGAGTGCAATGGCACAATCTCGGCCCACCGCAACCTCTGCCTCCCAGGTTCAAGCAATTCTCCTGCCTCAGCCTCCCAAGTAGCTGGGAATACAGGCATGCGCCACCATGCCACCACGCCCGGCTAATTTTGTATTTTTAGTAGAGACGGGGTTTCTCCATGTTGGTCAGGCTGGTCTCAAACTCTTGACCTCAGGTGATCCGCCCGTCTCGGCCTCCCAAAATGCTGGGATTACAGGCATGAGCCACTGCGCCTGGCCTTTTTTAAGAAATGGAGTCTCGCTATGTTGCCCAGGCTGGTCTTGAACTCCTGGCCTCAAGCAATCCTCACACCTTGGCCTTCCAAAGTGCTGGGATTACCAGTATGAACCACCATACCCAGCTCAAGATACTATATTATTATACCATATTATCATATAAACAAATACAAAGGCATTGAAGATGCACTAAAAAGCAAAACACTAAAATAATGTGAACAGAAAATAAGATACTAGTTGACTTTTGTTTTCCTCTTTATGTGTTTTTTGTATTGTACAAAGAATATGTGTTATTTCAGTGACCAATGACATAAAATTTTTTCAGACTAAGTTGAGAAAAAAAAGATAGATGTTTCTTCATCTCATTGAAAAGTACAATTACTAATTTGGCAGCCCATCTCATCAGGCAGTATGTCTCAATGTGCCAGTTCACTAAGAACATGGACTTCATATTCCTCTAATAGAATGAATAACCTACATATTTAGCTTAGGATATTTCCTGTATTATCCCAGAATCTTCCAGAGTCCTTCAGATCAGTCATGTTTTCTCCACAACATTCTATGTTAAAGGAAAAGCCAAAATGGATAAACGTCCCTTCTAAGCTTCTGTGAGCCATTTTAATTGTGAAAATGAAGTACTGTATTCAAATACTCCTAAAACAACACGACGTTAGCCTGGCATGGTGGCGCGCACCTGTAGTCCCAGCTACTTGGCAGGCTGAGACAAGAGAATTGCTTGAACCCAGGAGGCAGAGGTTGCAGTGAGCCAAGATCATGCCATTGCACTCCAGTCTGAGCGACAGAGCAACACTCAGCACCAAAAAACAAAACAAAACAAAACAAAAACACATGACAATTATCTTAAGAAGCACTACTTTAGTCACGCTTTAAAATTCAACAATAAAGAGTAAATTCCAAACAATTATATTTAATTCCAGAAAAGTAAAAACTCTGGATCTAAAGATATAAAATCCAAGCTGCTCTTATAGAGTTTCTTTAAATAAACTTCTTTTTTTTTTTTTGAGACAGAGTCTCACTCTGTCACCTAGGCTGAAGTGCAGTGGCGCAATCTTGGCTTACTGCAACCTTCATCTCCTGGGTTCGAGTGACAGTCCTGCCTCAGCCTCCTGAGTAGCTGTGACTACAGGCGCCAGCCACCACAACCGGCTAATTTTTATATTTTTAGTAGAGATGGGGTTTCACCATGTTGGCCAGGCTGGTCTTGAACTCCTGACCTCAAGTGATCTACCCACCTCGGCCTCCCAAAGTGCTGGGATTACAGGTGTGAGCCACCACGCCTGGTCCTTCTTTTTTTTTTTTTTTTTTTTGAGATGGTCTCGCCCTGTTGCCCAGGCTGGAGTGCAGTGGTACGATCCCAGCTCACTGTAACTTCCACCTCCTGATTCAAGCAATTCTTTTGCCTCAGCCTCACAAGTAGCTAGGCCTACAGGCATGCACTACCATGCCTGGCTAATTTTTGTATTTTTAATAGAGATGGGGTTTCACCATGTTGGCCAGGCTGGTCTCAAACTCCTAACCTCAGGTGATCCACCCGCCTCAGCCTCCTAAAGTGCTGGGATTACAGGTGTGAGCCACCGTGCCTGGCCAAAAACATCTTCTTGATAACTGTTGCTGGGCAGAATAGCAGCTTGCGTTTGTACTGATAATTCTGTTTGCAATCTATGTGTTTTTCTATTTTCCTCAAGTCCATCAAACTGAAGGGGTGTTTTACAACTTTACCAAGTTAACCATGAATATATAATTATATTTCAACACTTCAACAAACAGCAGCACTTTGAATGTGATGTGAAATCCAAACAGGATAGCAGTCACCCATGAATGTTACATGGACTATGACCAACAGGAATTTACGTTCTGAGGTAATAACATTAGATCATCCAGAAAGTGGAAATAATTTAAAATATGCAATTGTGAGATGCTGGAGAAATAAATGATCCATTCCACTAATATTTATTAAGCACTTTCTAATCAATCCCTATGAGAAACAAATTTCCATCATAAAATTACCATAAAAGATAGCTATTAGACAATTTCCCTCAGGAATAAGTCTGACTATAAACACACACATATACCATTTTGAGAGTCAGAAAGATAATTGGATTATTATGGTGTTAAGGGTGAACATGTGTCTGCCCTTTACTCTGATTAACTGGCAAAGATGGTGGAGTAAGTGGGCTTGTTGTGATGCAGAGCTGTGAGGCTCCAGTAAATTGCACCAACTATTAGCAGGCATCTTAGGAAAAAACCTGGAGGATTATTTAAGGCTCACGTTTCATTTAGAGAATATAAATAGCAGGCACCTGAGCCACTTGAGTTTCTGGTTTCTTTTCTATCAGCGCCCCTTAGTGGTTGAATCACTGAATGGCCTTTTGGGCGGAACTAAATCTGAAGAGAACAGTAACGGATGGGTGGACTCACCTAATGGCCTCTTTGATGGTAATCATAATGCCACCTTGAGTGGCAACTCTAAACTGACACAGAGAATGGAGAGAGGGCACAGCTTTGTCCAACCCTGCAAATCCTTTCAGGCTGGCAATTGCCTTCTTCCTTTCCAGCTTCCCCAGAATCCATAATAAGATTTCTTGGCAAAGTGACCTGGCAGAAAAAGCAGTTATGAATGAGCTTGTCATCTTACTCCATGCATCTAACAAGCTAACATAAAAAAAGAAAGAAAGGCTGTCAGGTTCCACTGCATTTTAAATGCTGGCACAATCTCCTAGTACTACTGAAATGCAGGAATGGAAAGTATGCTTCTTGTGAATTTCAGAATGCAAATATCCTGAAATTCAATGAGTGACTGACTAATCCTTGGCTCTGGCAGCAACCCTGATTTGCCACATGAGCCCCACGTGATTTTTTTTTTTTTTTTTTTTGGTAATTCCAAGTGTACTACTGCCTTTGCATCAGGCACTGTCAAAGAAAGTATACACGGATAAAAATCATCTACTCTCAGCAAGACCAACAGCTGGAGACCAAGAAACAGCATACCAACAAAATATTGCTGATTCCTCAACCCCTTTCATCTGTGCCAATCAACTAGAAGAGGAACTAAATCATCGTTCACATGTTCCTTGTCAGTCTCTGATGAGAACATGACAGTGCTGTGAGGACTTGAGTTTTAAAACAAAAACAAGAGGCCAGGTGCGGTGGCTCACGCCTGTAATCCCAGCATTTTGTGAGGCTGAGGTGGGTGGATCACCTGAGGTCAGGAGTTCGAGACCAGGCTGGCCACATGGTGAAACACTGTCTCTACTAAAACTACAAAAATTAGCCGGGCATGGTGGAAGGTGCCTATAAGCCCAGCTACCCAGGAGGCTGAGGCAGGAGAATCGCCTGAACTCAGGAGGCAGAGGTTGCAGTGAGCCGAGATCGCACCACTGCACCCCAGTCTGGGCAACAGAGCGAGACTCCGTCTCAAAAAAAACAAAAACAAGAGTTATTTTGTGGACTGTCCCTTGAAACCAAGTTCACAGATGTACAGCCTCCCTCTTCCAATGCATTCTCTCTTGTCGTTGCCATTGCAGCTGTGGGATACAAGGATGTGCTGACTCAAGCTGAAGAGCCAGGGGAACTATGTAAGCTTTGAATAGTACAAAAGATGGTGTTTTCCTTCACCACTTAGCAATGGTGATAATGATAGCTACCATTTATTGAGCTTACTATTTGCCGGGGACTGTACTAAACACATTAATGCATATTTAGTCTTCACAATAACTCTGTGAAGAAGGTACTATTATTGCATATTGGATTACATGTGAGGATCTCCAAACACCAAAAATCGTAATTCTATAGGACTTGAGATAAGATAACTCTTACCTGGAGGAAGAAACAACATAAATTACTGTGAAAATAGAGCTGATACAAAATGAATCCTACTTAAATTCTACGACAAAGGAGTATTTTCTGGATGACTAAGAAATCCCTTCTATCTAAACAACACACTGCATCACCAACACCAAATCCTAGGCTAAATTACAAAGTGCCACATTCAGATCTAGATTTCCCAAATGTGTTTTCTAACTCCCCACAAGGTCATTATGATCCATCCCCTATTTCCTTCTTCCTAGACATGTAATTGCAGTATTTCTCACTGATCGAAAAGTGGCATGTTTACACATGTAAACAGAGATTTTGTCTTTGAGATTTAGGACAGAGGCTGAGGAAAGTCATTCTAAAAACTGTATCCAATGCCCTGTGATCTGCAAAATTCTTGTTCTCTTCTAGATGAGCAAAATAGGAAGATCCCAGTGTTTTCCTGACTTTGAAAGGAAATGATAATTTCAAAGTGGCAAATATAAATTCAAAATAAGAACAAAAACAACATGCAAAAAAGACGTCACAATTTATAAACAAATAAGGGTCCCTTGATTGTTTACCTTATGTGAGACACACTCTGCTTAGTAAAACAGTAGAGAAGAAAAAGCACTCCCAGGACTGGAAGCAGGGAATCCATCAAAACTGTTAAAGGTTCATTCCCAACCACGTACACCTAGAAAAAAGGAAATGGTGAAGAATAATCCCATGACTGCCTGGCCAGAGCAACGGGAATCACACACCAAACACCTAGCAGGGCTCAGCGTCTTAAGCAATATCTCATCCGAATCACACCATTTTAGCTCCAAAGATGTGCTCAGATATGGCAATGAAACAATTTGAGTTTGGCAGACAGGCTGAAACAAGACAGTGAACTGGAGCAGCACCATTTCATGTGTGCAGTCCCTAGAACTGCCCAGAATAGGTCAACTACCCCGCTTTCTGACCTCTTCCTTTCCTACTTTTGGCTATGTCTGAGTTTCCTAATTTACCTATTGTGTAACCATATGATAACTGTCCTACTGCTGAAGGCCCTGCTATTAGGAACAAGTAATTACTACCAAAGGGAAAAACTTAAAACTGGATTTGGAAAATCAAACCAAACCCAAAACACTGCTTACTCCAGTTTCATCACTCTTAAGATGTGACCACCACATGGACATGTCCTATTCTCCCTAATTCTATAAATGTTCAAAGAAATTATACTGTAGGGCTGGGCACAGTGGCTCATGTCTGTAATCCCAGAATTTTTGGAGGTCATGGAGGGAGGATTGTTTAAGGCCAGGATTCAAGCCTAGCTGGGCAACATAGTAAGACCCCATCTCTACAAAAAAATTTAAAAATTAGCCAGGCTTGGTAGTGCACACCTACAGTCCTAACTACGTGGTAGGCTGAGGCAGGAGGATCGCTTGAGCCCAGGAATTCAAAGCTGCAATAAGCTATGATCATGCTACTGCCCTCCAGCCTGGGTGACAGAGTAAGACCCTGTCTCAAAAAAAAAGAAAAGTAATTGCACTGTTCACCTAGATCTGTACTGGCTCTACATGGTTAAGTGTGTGAGGATGTTGACTACTGCCTATGAAAAAAATTAAAAAAAAAAAAAAGTGTGTGAGGATGGTGAATTTTATTAATAATCGTAATGCTGCATGTTTTAGTTGTACCTTTCAATAAGGCTAGCACAAACGCATTCAATTCAACAAACTTTTACTGAACACTCACTGGGCTCAAAGCACTGTTTTAGGTACTGTAGTGAATATAGAAATCAGTAAGGGTCATAATCCTTCATATTGCTTGTGATATATGGGAAGAATAAAAAAAGTAAACCTATTATTATTATATTTGAGATATGGTCTCTCTCACCCAGGCTGGAATGCAGTGGTGCAATCACAGCTCACTGCAGCCTCAATCTCCAAGCTCGAGTGATATTCCCATCTCAGCCTCACAGGTAGCCAGGACCACAGGCACACACCAGCATGCATGGCTAATGTTTTGTATTTTCAGTAGAGATGGGGTTTTGCCATGTTGTTCAGGCTGGTCTCGAACTCCTGGGCCCAAGCAGTCCTCCTGTCTCGTCCTCCCTAAGTGCTGGAATTACAGGTATGAGCCACTGCACCCAGCCAAGTAAACCAATAATAATAATAATAATAATAATAATAATAATAAGGCAGATAATTGCAAGTATCTTAAGAAGTACAAAAATGTTATTCAAAACTCCAATTAAACACAATAGGATTTCAAAATGTAATTCTGTTATAAGAAGTTAATTAAAACCTGATAGTATGGACAGTGATAATGGTAAAAAGAGAAAGAAAATGAGCTGACAATGATTATGCTCATGGTGTATGTTCTGGGAATCATAATAGGTTTTTATCTTCCAAGTACTATGCTAGATTCTTTAAAGAGCTAGCTTGTTAAAATTATAACAATCTCACAAAGTCACTACTAGGAGCCCTATTTTGCGGGTGAAAGCGGCCCAGTGTGATGGCTCACACCTGTAATCCCAGCACTTAGGGAGGCCAAGGAGGGAGGATCACTTGAGCCCAGGAGTTTGAGAACAGCCTTGGCAACATGGTGAGACCCCATCACTATAAAAAATAAAATACAATACAACACAATAAAAGGAAGGGAAGGGAAGCTCAAAGAGGCCCTTATTTATAGAAAGAGTTTTGAAGTAGGAATCAACGTTGTTCATGAAACTAAAGATCATGGAGGCACTTTCATGAGCTGGAAAAATCTCTGTGCTTTTCCAGTGAATCCTGTCTCTTAAAAATCAGCCCTAATTTTTCACATCCCTTAAGCCTCCTGACTCCTCTCTGGAGCCTGTTAGCCAAGGAGCCAGCTTCCTGTGCATGATCTAATCTCCATAAGCCCAGCTAAATGAAGTGCTGTGTACAGCAGCGTTCAGAAGTCATGTATAGGCCTAATGATGATATCACCAATTACAGGAGGCAAAAGAAGAGATTCTTCCAGATAACGTAAAGACCTATTGTTCGGCTTTGGATCCTGTGTTCTCGGAGGTAATCCCTGTGGAGCCATCCTTCCTTACCAGGATTTTTTGTACAAAAAATAATAAGCCCCCAAACAAGAACAACAAAGAAAACAAAAAACAAATGGAGTTAAGTCTTCATTATTTACTGGCTTGATAGGGCCAAAGCACCCCAAACTTTAACAAGAACTCAACTGAGCACATTCCTCAGGGTTATATGTTGTTGCTGATAAATTCCTCTAATTTGGCCAGGGGCGGTGGCTCACACCTATAATCCCAGCACTTTGGGAGGCTGAGGCGGGTGGATCACCTGAGGTTAGGAGTTCGACACCAGCCTGACCAACATGGTGAAACCCCATTTCTACTAAAAATACAAAGTTAGCAGTGCATGGTGGCACATGCCTGTAATCCCAGCTACTTGGGAAGCTGAGGCAGGAGAATCGCTTGAACCCAGGAGGCGGAAGTTGCAGTGAGCCGAGATCATGCCACTGTACTCCAACCTGGGCAACAAGAGTAAAACACCGTCTCAAAAAAAAAAAAAAAATCCGCTAATTTTTTGTTTGTTTCTTCCTTATACTTTTCTATATCTTCTTATAATGAACAAGTACTACTTGTGCCTAAAATTTAGGAAATAATGTACAGCTATTTATACGTATATATTATTTTTATATAAAGATTCAACAAATGTTTATTGAGTGCCACTTTTGTGCTAGCACACTTGCAGCCCTGCAGATACGGTGCTGAACAAAGTATCTGCTTCAAGGAGCTAATATTCTAGTAGAGGAGGCAGGCAAGAAACAACAACTATATAATACCAGGTAGTGACGAGTGCTAGGAAGAAAAATAAAGCAGGTTAAATGGATAGTGATGAGGGGAAGAGCATGCAGAAAGAGAAAGAAAAATTAAGAGTAGCACTTATCAGCTGGGCACAGCGGTTCACGGCACCTGTAATCCCAGCACTTTGGGAGGCAGAGGCGGGTGGATCACGAGGTCAGGAGTTCGAGACCAGCCTGGCCAACATGGTGAAACCCGTCTCTACTAAAAATACAAAAGTTAGCTGGACGTAGTGGTGTGCACCTGTAATCCTGGCTGCTCGGGAGGCTGAGGCAGGAGAATCGCTTGAACCCAGGAGGTGGAGGTTGCAGTGAGCCGAGATCATGCCATTGCACTCCAGCCTGGGCAATAGAGCAAGACTCTATCTCAAAAAAATAAAAAAATAAAAAAGAATAACCCTTACCAATTTACCAACTAGTATCTACCAAGTTCACGGATAGAAACAGAGACATAGGACTTTTTTTTAAGTGAAAAGATTTAGAATTAAGGTTTTCTTCTGTTTCAATCTGATAAATAAATGCTTTCTACAGTATCTTAAAGAATGTCAATGGCCTCTCCTTGATCTATACACAATTGCCACCTCCCTTCCAACACTAATAGTAAATTTCTTCGGTACTGAGCTCAAATCTACCTCCCTTTAAACTTCCTTGATGGAAGTACATGTAACCTTTACAAGTTTTGGGCTGGGTGCAGTGGCTCATGCCTATAATCCCAGCACTTTGAGGCTGAGGTGGGAAGATCACTTGTGCCCAGGAGTTCAAGACCAGCCTGGGCAACATAGCATGAACCCATCTCTACAAAAAATAAAAATTAGCTGGGCATGGTGGTGCATGTCTGTACTTCCAGCTACACAGGAGGCTAAGGCAAGAGGATCTCTTGAGCCCAGGGGCTTGAGGCTGCAGTGAGCCATTGCACTCCAGCCCAAGCAACAGAACAAGATTCCGTCTCTAAAAAATTAATTAAAATAAAAAATAAAAGCTTTGGGCTGGGTGTGGTGGCTCATATCTGTAACCCCAGCACTTTGGGAGGCTCAGGAGGGAAGATCACTTGAGTCCAGGAGTTTGAGACCAGCCTGGCCAACATGACGAAACCCTGTCTCTACTAAAAATGCAAAAACTAGCCAGGTGTGGTGGGGTGGGCCTGTAATTCCAGCTACTCAAGAGGCTGAGGCATGAGAATCATTGCTTGAACCCAGGAGGTAGAAGTTGCAGTGAGCCAAGATCATGGCTACTGCACTCCAGCCTGGGTGACAGAGTGAGACACTCCAGCCTGGGTGACAGAGTGAGACACTCCAGCCTGGGTGACAGAGTGAGACACTGTCTCAAAAAATAAAATAAAATAAAATAAAATTAAAATTAAAAAGTTTTGGACTAGTCATCTAAAAACAATAATCAAAATCAGTTTCACATAACTATGTACAATTATGTGTCAATTAAAATTTTAAAATAATAAAAATACATAATTTTTAAAAATACAGTTTCTTTTATCTGCCTTAAGCACAGCTATGCATCCTAATGACCAGATTGATTTTGGAGATGAAAGATATGCAATGGTACTTATTAAATTGATCCAGCACAAGTTCTGCCTCCTCCATAAGCCTGCCATATATTTACTCTTCAACTGTTCATTCATTCACTCACTCATTCATTCAAATATTGAGCACCTAACCACTATGAAATGATTTTTCTTCTTTAAATTCCAATTGCACTTTAGAGCCTGTGACATATAATTGGTCCAGGAATATAGTACATAGTTATCTCCCAACCCCTGAACTAGCCTGGAAGGCAAAAGTCAAGCTCCCTTCTTCAGCACCTATCAGAGTAGATTATGAAGTAGTGTTACCTGAATTTTTGGTGAATAGGCAGTGAATACAGTAGTACACAATTTAAAGGAAGCCCACTGTTACTGCTTTTATTTTTTTATTTTATATTTTTATTTTTTGAGACAAAGTCTTGCTCTGTGGTCCAGGCTGGAGTGCAGTGGCATGATCTCGCCTCAGTGCAACCTACACCTTCCGGGTTCAAGCAATTCTCGTGCCTCAGCCTCCCGAGTAGCTGAGACTACTGGCACATCCCACCATGCCTGGCTAATTGTTACTGCTTTTATGAAGCAAACAATAACTACCATGTACTGCATTCCACTCAAGAGTGAGCCAGGTATTCAGCCAAACATTTAACATACAGAAAGTCTTCATAAGAGGAGTCCTGCAGGTGAAGCATTTTTGTTCCTATTCTAAAAATGCGGAAAACTGAGGCTCAAAGAAGCAGTCAGTCAGTTGAGCAAAGACACATTGTTAGCAAAGGGCAGAACCAGGATAAACCCAGATCTGTCTGAGACAAAATCCATTCACAATCCACATAGAGGGAAAGCAGATTAGTGGTTGCCAGGGACTCGGAGGTTAGAATGGGGACTGATTGCTTCATGGATATGGGAGTTCCACGTACAGTGATGAAAAAGTTCTGGAACTAGATAGTGGTGATGGTTGAGCAACATCGTGAATAAACTTAATGCCACTAAATTATACCATTTCAAATGGTTAAAATGGTAAATCTCGTATGTATTTACTACAATATTAAAAATCCCCAAACACATACCCCTGGCCTCTCAATACTTACCTCCTTCCCCTGTGCATAATGAGATTTTCATTGCTTCAGTTCCTAGCCTATACCAATTTTATCCCAGCTGTCCCCACCCTCAGAGTCAGTATGCCAGCATGTCAGGCTTTTAATAACCCTAGTCCTGCAAGCTCTGCAAGCTGGAGCTGAAGTGTCCGTGTGGCACCATGGACAGCGGCTTCTGTAACACCTCCCCTTCCTCCTACTTATACAGCTCCCTTCTATTAATACCAAGTTTTCCAGTAGATCTCCAGGGGTATACTCTGGCCAGCTGCTTCCAAGGACAGCCCCCTTCTTCCAATCTCTTGTCTAGTTCTGAACTCCTATGCAGGTTAAAGTTCAGTCTGCACCTGATATCCAACATTTACACTCCCTATTTACCCTATTTACACTCCCAAAGTAGAATCTGGTCACTTCCCTCTTATCGTCCCCTGATCATTGGCTTATATTTGGAGTTTGGTAACCTATTCAGGGAAATGAGAGGCTGGACTGATTCAGCCAATGCTGCATTTCGAACTCAGCCAGCACTTACAATAGCCAAACAATGCACTAAAAAGGAATAATCCTTCCCATGAAATCATACTACACATGGAAGAAATGGTTGGGGTAGTTCCTTCCAGCCTCCTCCACATTGGACTGGTGACAGTATGGACTGAGGAAGCAGCGAAGGCACAACAGACAAGCTGTTCCTGCCCCATGGAGGGCAGGGCCTGACCGCTCCACCTCTGTGCCCCAACACCTGGGTGTTGTGTGATTTCCTTGGACTGTGCTTATGTTTAGTCTCTTTCTAGTTGGGGCGGGGCGGGGGGCAGGTCTTCCCTGATCACGTGGAGGCAAAGTGGGATGGGAATTCAAGTTCTGAAACACAATACAATACTTCACGTGTTATTTTTCTTTTCCTTTTTTTTTTTTTTTTTGGTTGTTTTCTTTTTTTTTTTTGAGACACAGTTTCACTCTGTCGCCCAGGCAGGAATGCAGTGGCGTGATCTTGGCTCACTGCAACCTCCGCCTCTTGGGTTCAACCAATTCTCGTGACTCAGCCTCCCAAGTAGGTGGGATTACAGGTGCGTGCCACCACGCCCGGCTAATTTTTGTATTTTTAGTAGACACGGTTTCACCATGTTGGCCAGGCTGGTCTCAACTCCTGATCTCAAGTGGTCCGCCAGCCCCACCTCCTAAAGTGCTGGGATTACAGGCATGAGCCACTGTGCCTGGCCACTTCATGTATGATTTCTACCTACGATAAAGATGTTCCTAAGAAGCATATCACTGAAAGTTCCCTTTTTTAATGGTATAATGGTTGGGTATGTCTTACACAGAGTTATTTATGAATATTTCCGCTGACCAGTTGTGTGACTTAACACAAATCAGTGGACTTCTCTGTTTCCTTATCTGTGAAACAAGGTTGGATGAATGGTGCTGTAAGGCCTCTTTCGTATCTCATCTATGATTCTCTGACTTGACTGCAAGTTTGCTCATTTCCTTCATTCCCTTTTGGTACCTCAATCATTAAGACGTGAGACTAGTTGAAAAAAATTAACCACCACTCCAACAAAAAATGCAAAACAACTGAAGTTTCAATGTGACCAGATGTAACAAGTTTCTAACTCTTCCTCATATGCTTTCTGTTATGCTATCAGTCCTGAAGTTAGTCCTTTAAAGATGAAATCATGTTCAGTTGAAAGGTTTTCTGGTTACTCTAGGTATTTCCACAACTAGGGATCCCCAAACAAAATACCAAGATATGGGAAAGCTGAAGAAGTGAAGGGAGAGAACTTAAGGTAGCTTTTCAATTGCGTGGTGTGATAAAAGCCTCTCTGGGGTTAAGTGAAAGGATGCCTGGAAGAAAGGCTGAACCTGGCCCGGGTGCAGTGGCTCACATCTGTAATCCCAGCACTTTGGGAGGCCAAGGCGGGCAGATTGCCTGAGGTAAGGAGTTCAAGACCAGCCTGGCAACATGGTGAAACCCTGTCTCTACTAAAAATACAAAAAATTAGCTGGATGTGGTGGTGGGTGCCTATAATCCCAGTTACTCGGGAGGCTCAGGCAGGAGAATCCCTTGAACCCAGGAGGCGGAGGTTGCAGTGAGCCGAGATCATGCTACACCACTGCACTCCAGCCTGGGCAACAGACAGAGACTCCGTCTCAAAAAAAAAAAAAAAAGAAAGACTGAACCTCCACTTACCCGTGGCTTTTCAAATACAAACATGTAGCAAGAGCTGAGGGGCAAAGTCAGAGGCCAATGTGGATCAATGAAAACAGATTAGGCAAGGATACAGACTGGTACCAACAACCCCAGTGGCAGTCTGGGGATTTCCACATTTCTTCCTAATTGCACCTCGGCTTTCTTTCGCAGATCCAGCCAGCTATGATATGAGGCGTCTGTGGTTAAGCCTTACAATTCTTCATCTAAGCTTAGAGGGCTGCTCTGCAATAAGCGATAGGATGATCTTAGCTATGGCCCACACACTACTGTAACTCTTTGTCTACTTGACTAGGAACGCCTTGAAGGCAGCAGTTGGTTTTTAATCATTTCTGTATTTGTGAACCTGGCAAAGTGTCTGGCTTTCAGTAAATACCTGATAAATGTTTCTGTGACTGATTGAATCAAAGAATAAATGAACAAAGTAGGCTGCTATTTTCTCAAAAGCTCTATTTTTGTGGGGAAGTTACAATGCCCTATGCATTTCCTTTCTCTTTCCCTCCCTCCCTCCTCCCTGCCTTCCTTCCTTCCTCTCTCCCTCCCTCCTCCCTGCCTTCCTTCCTTCCTCTCTCCCTCCCTCCTTCCCTCCCTCTTTCCTTTCCCTCCCTCCCTCCCCCTTTCCTTTTCTTTCCCTTTCCCTCCCTCCTCCCCTCCGTCCTTCCCTTCCTTCTTTCCTTTCTTCCTTCCTTCCTTAAGCTGTAGCTACAGGTGATTCCATCAGTGCTAACTAACAGAGCAGAATCATAGAACTTCAGCCATGGAAGGGAGAGCAGACTGAGCAAAGCTGGACTGTACATTGGCTTGTACAGCATCTAACTTCAATATCTGGAGGATGGAATTTTTCTGGAAGGAATGGCTAGAAATTTAAAAGAGAAAGAAAAAAGTGGGTGGAATCAAAATGGTCAAAAACATTAAGAATAAACGTGTTTCTGTTTCAAAGCAAACAAAATAAAACAAAACAGAAAGCAGTTCTCACATGCTCCATTTCTTTCTTTCTTTTTTTTGAATTCTTGAGAGGGAGCCTTGCTCTGTCACCCAGGTTGGAAAGAAGTGGTGCAATCTTGGCTCACTGCAACCTCCGCCTCCCCGGTTCAGGTGATTCTCCTGCCTCATCCACCCGAGTAGCTGGGATTACAGATGCCCATTATGCCCAGCTAATTTCTTTTTTTTTTTTTTTTTGAGATGGAGTTTTGCTCTTGTCACCTAGGCTGGAGTGCAATGGTGCGATCTCGGCCTACTGCAACCTCCGCCTCCCAGGTACAAGCAATTCTCCTGCCTCAGCTTCCTGAGTAGGTGGGATTATAGGTATGAGCCACCACACCCGGCTAATTTTTGTATTTTTAGTAGAGATGGGGTTTCACCACGTTGGCCAGGCTGATCTTGAACTCCTGACCTCAAGCGATCCCCCCACCTCGGCCTCCCAAAGTCTTTTTTTTCTTTTTTTTTTGAGATGGAGTCTCACTCTGTTGCCCCGGTTGGAGTGCACTGGTGCAATCTCGGCTCCCTGCAACCTCCGCCTCCCAAGTTCAAGTAATTCTCCTGCCTCAGCCTCCTGAATAGCTGGGATTAGAGGCACCCACCACCACATCCAGCTAATTTTTTATTTTTTTGGTAGTAGAGATGGGGTTTCGCCATGTTGGCCAGGCTGTTTTTGAACTCCTGACCTCAGGTGATCGAACTGCCTTGGCCTCCCAAAGTGCTGGGATTATAGACATGAGCCACCACGCCTGGCCTAATTTTTGCATTTTTAGTAAAGACAGGGTTTCACCATATTGGCCAGGCTGGTCTTGAACTCCTGACCTCAAGCGATCCGCCCACCTTGGCCTCCCAAAGTGTGCTGGGATTATAGGCGTGAGCCACCACACCCGGCCACATGCCCCATTTCTCATTTCATAGACTTCCATGACATTGCTAAGCATGTCCCTTAGAGACTACTGCAGAGTAGCTGAAAGAGCACAGGGAAGTCAGTAGTCAGGAAACTTGGATATGAATTTTGTTTCTGTCACCTTTGTGACTGCCCCAAATTACACGTTAAATGAGTGAACATGGATAAGACATTTCAGTCGCTCTCAGTCTCCATTTTCTCATTTATAATGTAGGCATCAAGCTTTTGGCATAAGGACCAATTAAGATAATTCATGTTAAAAGATTTTGTGAAATATATACCCCATACAAATGTTAGATTTCTTCCTAAATGTTTTATATGTTTGATGCTATTGTGAATGGAAATATTTTCTTAATTTATGGGCTTCTCTTTTACAGGGATGTACATGTGTGGGAATACAAACATGAGGGGCCTATTCGGAATCAAGCTGACTGAATCCTAACACTGAAATTCAGTACAGGCTGGAACTTGATTTTACACCTCCTAAAGATTAAACTAGTCAAATACAGCCTTCTAAAACATTACAGTGATCTTTCTGATAGTAGTGTTCCAGAACTTCTAATGCACTTGCTGAGTGTAATTAAGACTTGTGAGAGGAAAAAAGAACAAGGCAAGTTACCTAATATAGCAAGTATTTTGCACTGTGCATGCTTTCAGAACATATTGCATAAGATCGTCTTTTTAAAAAACAAGTTTCCCTGAACCAAAAGAGAACTGACAGTTTTTTGAGCACTTATGTGCTACAATATGCCACGAACCCACCAAGTTACCTTATTTCATCCTCACAAATCAAGTGTTAAATAAGTTACCTAAAGTTGCATGGACAGTCAACTTTGGAGCCAGATTCCAACCTAGGTCTGTCTGGCTCAAAGGTGCTACACCATACCAGAGAGTCTGAACCAAAGCATTTAGAAAAGCTAACATTTGCAATTCCCACAGCCTTGAAGATACTTCTTTCGGTCTTTTGCTTGTAATTCAAGGTCACAGTTCAATTACACATGGATGTTTCCAGAAAGAATTATTGCCAGTGCAGGGAACCAAGGTTAGAAAGAGACTAACTTTTCACTATAAAGTTTTTTGTCCTTAAATTTGTACCATGTGCAAATATGATCTTTTTTAAACACAGAAAGGGAGAGTGAAAGGGAAGGAAAGATTGGTTCCTGGACTTGCTCTGCCACTCCCCAGCTGTATGATTTGGAACAAGTCACTTCACAAAATCTTTTGGATTTTATTTTCTTTACTACAAAATGAGTGGTTAATCTGTCAAAACTCATAGACTATACAACTCCAACAGTGAATCCCAATGTAAACTACGGACTTTGGATGATACTGAGGCATTAAGGTGGGCTCATCAATTGTAACAAATATACCAGGCTGTCTGGAGATAGATATATGGGAACTCCCTGTACTTTCCACTTAATTTTTCTGTGAACCTAAAACTGCTCTTAAAAAATAAAGTCTATTGGTGGGCGTGGTGGCTCACGCCTGTAATCCCAGCACTTTGGGAGGCTGAGGCGGGTGGATCACTTGAGGTCAGGAGTTCGAGAACAACCCAGCCAACATAGCGAAGACCTACTTCTGCTAAAAATACAAAAATTAGCCGGGCATGGTGGCACATGCCTGTAATCCCAGGTGTAATCCCAGCTACTCAGAGGCTGAGGCAGGAGAACCACTTGAACCTAGGAGGCAGAGGCTGCAATAAGCTGAGATTGCGCCACTGCACTCCAGCCTGGGCGACAGAGCGAAACTCCGGCTCAAAAAATAATAATAATAAATAAAGTCTATTTAAAAAGTGAGAGGTTACACTTATTTCTGAAGTTCCTTCCAGTTCTAAGATTCTATTATTCTAATTTACTCTGCAAATCTAATTAAAAATTCAGAAAGAGGAGTCAAATATCCAATCTGACAGAATAGCTGTAATTAGAAATTCATTAAGATTAGATGGAGAAAAGACTTGGATAATTAAAGGCAAAATTCCCTGAATCTGGAAACAGAGAGATAAAATGGAAATGAGAATGGAGGAAATAAACTACTTAAGTGCCTCCCAGTTTTTCCTACCCTAACATTTCTTCTGCTTTTAGGAAGAGTGTCAGGCAAGTAATGTGAAGTATACTAAAAGGAAACGTTTTCCCCATTTCAGAATCTAGCCAATCCTCTTACGAGCAAAAAATGTCCAAATAAAAAGGCATTATAACTCTCTTACATTGTCCTACCCAGAACCAGTCTCTGTGCAACCTAGGCCTCCCTTCACCTCTCTAGGCAAAGAATACACTATTAATCCTTCTCATACCAGGGAGGGCAAAGAATTTAAGCATTCTAGGGATTGGGCCCCAGGCATTCAGAGCAGAAGGAGAGAATGGAGAACCACTGGACTAAAAGTGTTTTGAGCCGTGTATCCCCTTTATGTCTCAGATAATTTTACCAGATAGAAGGTACATATATAGAAGTGAGAATCATTTATGCAGATGAAGTACACGTGGCTATGCTAGGTTTTCAATTCAATTCACCTAGCACCTATGAATGCACCTACATGTGGAGAACTTTCCTCCTGGCCCCCCAGAGCCATCAGAACCACCTGCTCTACTCCCTGCTGGAGTGAAGGACGCAAGAGTAAAAAGCCCTTCCCCTATACTTTTTCCCATCATAAAATTTTCATTCAGAGCATTGAGGGTTTACTCTTTTTTGTTGTTGTTGTTGTTTCTGTTTTTTAGACAGAGTCTCTCTCTGTTGCCCAGGCTGGAGTGCAGTGGCATGATCTCGGCTCACTGCAACCTCTGCCTCCCGGGTTCAAGCGATTCTCCTGCCTCAGCCTCCCAAGTAGGTAGGATTACAGGCACGAGCCACCACGCCCGGCTAATTTTTTTGTATTTTTAGTAGAAACAGGGTTTCACCATGCTGGCCAGGCTGGTCTCGACCTCCTGACCTCAAGTGATTTGCCCGCCTTGGCCTCCCAAAGCGCTGGGATTATAGGCATGAGCCACTGTGCCTGGCCCTAGAAGGAAATATTTCTAATATGCAATCCTTCCCTTTTTAAACAAAGTATATTGGACATACCAGCCCCAACAAACTTTGCTTTTCAAATTCTTATGCCCTTTTTGAGTAGTTTTTTGGTGTTCTTTCTTGTTCCTCTCTGCTGGCATTCTCTTGTCATTGTGCCTTATTTAGTCTAACTTCTATTTTTTAACTTTGAATTCTCCTATGGTCTGAAAAACCAGATAACCTGCAGTCTGATCAGGATAGTGTATAAAGGTGACACGGGCTGCTCTGCAGCTAGTGCACAGCCTCTGGGGTGGCCACTGGGTGGGTGGTGGCAATGGTGCACATGACAGGGGATGTCAAGGTGGAAATGCCAAGTGAGGCACCAAGATAAAATAGACCCACACTCCAAAGAAAGACAGCAGACTAAGATGGGAACAGGTTGGGGATTATAAAAACTGCTCTTCCAGAAAGAGGGGAGAGAAGGATCAAAAGTATGGAAGGGCCGAGCATGGTGGCTCATGCCTGTAATCCCAGCACTATGGGAGGCTGAGGCAGGTGGATCACCTGAGGTCAGGAGTTTGAGACCAGCCTAGACAACATAGTAAAACCCCATCTCTACTAAAAATACAAAAATTAGCTGGGTGTGGTGGCTGGCGCCTGTAATCCCAGCTTCTTGGGAGGCTGAGGCAAGAGAATCGCTTGAACCTTGGAGGCAGAGGTTGCAGTAAGCTGAGATCGCACAACTGCACTCCAGCCTGCGTGACAGAGTGAGACTCAATCTCAAAAAAAAAAGTATGGGCCAGGTGCAATGGCTCATGCCTATAATCCCAGCACTTTGGGAGGCTGAGGCAGGTGGATCACCTGAGGTCAGGAGTTCAAGACCAGCCTGGTCAACATGGTGAAACCCCGTCTCTACTAAAATATACAAAAAATTAACTGGGCGTGGTGCCAGGCACCTGTAATCCCAGCTACCGGGGAGGCTGAGGCAGGAGAATTGCTTGAACCCAAGAGGCGGGGGTTGCAGTGAGCTGAGATCATGCCATTGCACTCCAGCCTGGGCAACAAGAGCAAAACTCTGTCTCAAAAAAAAAAGTATGGAGAGACTGAGATGAGATCGGTGAGGAGGATTTCTCTGGAGTGAGCTGTTTGTTAAGCCAGGAGCCCATCCCTCAACTCATCAATAATGAAAAGACAATAAACCCAATTTAAAAATGGACAAAAAATTAGCCAGGTGTGGTGGTGCATGCCTGTAATCCGAGCTACATGGGAGGCTGAGGTAGTAGGATTGCTTGAACCTGGGAGGCAGAGGTTGTTGCAGCGAGCTGAGATTGTGCCACTGCACTCCAGCCTGGGAGACAGAGCAAGACTCTGTCTCAGAAAAAAAAAAAATGGACAAAGGGCCTTAATAGACATTTCTCCAAAGAAGACATGAAAATGGCCAATAAGCACATGAAAAGCTGTTCAATATCATTAGCCATTAGGAAACATAAATCAAAATGACAATGAGATACTACTTTACTCCCACTAGGAGGACTATAATAAAAAAGACAAGACAGGTAAAAAATTTTGGCCAGATGTAGAGAAATTAGAGCCCTCATTGCTGGTGGGAACGTAAAATGGTGTAGCTGCTTCGGAAAAGTTTGGCAGGTCCTCAAAAAGTTAAACATACAGTTACAATATAATCCAGCATTCCACTCCAAGGTATACAGGCAAAAGAAACGATAACATAGGTTCACACAAAAACTAATAGCATACACCAATGTTTATAGCAGCATTATTCATAAGAGCCAAATGGTGAAAATGACCCAAATATCCATCAACAGATGAACAGATAAGTAAAATGTGGTATATCCATATAATGGCATACTTTTTGGCAATAAGAAGGACTGAAGTACTGCTTCATGCTGCAATACAAATGAACCTTAAAAACATCATGCTCCAGTGCAGTGGTATTTACAACTAATTAATCACAACCAGTTACAGATTTCTTTGACCCCTTTCCGCTCCGACTGCTTCACTTGACTAGACTTGAAAGAAGCCAATCACAAAAGACCATAAATTCTATGATTCCATTGATATGAAATGTCCAGAATAGGCAAATCTATAGAGACAGAAAATAGATGAGTGGTTGCCTAAGGCTATGAGCAGAGTTGGGAGAATGGAGAATGACAGCTAATGGATACGAGTTTCTTTTAAGGGGAACAAAAATATTCTAAAATTAGACTGACAATGGTTGCAAAACCCTATGAACATACTAAAAAACACTGAGCTGTACACTTGAAATGAGTGGACTGTATGTTACGTGAATTTTTGTCTTAATAAATCTGTTAACAAGAATAAAAAGAGAGAGAGAAAAAAAGAGCTGGAAATGTTCCCAAATGCTTCTCTAAAATTAAACACTCTTTTGTTATCCTCCACGTTACCTAGTGAGCAGCTGGATCAATTTACCCATCCCCGATATTTTCCTTATTTCCTGCCTTTGAGCTGTACTCTATAATTTAGTATTAGCAGAAAGTTAATAGACACAACACATCCTTTGTTGTTAAATTTTACCCAGTGTTTACCATTTTCCTCCAACATACACATTTCCTGTTTTCCCACTGCAGCTGGCTGCCAAAACCTTGCAGAGAGAATAATTACCCTTCCACCCCTCTTAGTTTCACAACAGTGCCAATCCTTGGTGCATAATCAAGTGTCTACAGAAAACTAATGGTTTGCTTGCCTCTCCAGGGGGCTTTAAATTCGCCAAACTGTTGACCAAACTATAAAGGTTTCCTCCCTCTTTTTTGGGGACCAAGAATAGGAGAAATGGCAGGATTCATTATTTCCAGATCTCTCTCTGTTTTTTAGAGGATAACTCCCTTGCTAGAAAGAAATTATCTGTTTGCTTTTTTTTTTCTCCCTCTAAGTTTACTGACTTCCAAGGCATACCATAAAGGGTTTGCACCAAAATTTAGTCACAATTAGTCTTACCCCTATCCTGACAGTACTTTCAAGTCTTTCCAACATTCCAAACCCAACCACTTGGCAGTTTTTCATCATGCTATTTCTTAGATGGGACATGGTCTTTCTGAAAGTTAGTAGGCCACTGTTCGCTAATTTAGAACATCTGCTTTCTAGACTGCTCTAATAATTTCTTATCTCTCCATAATCTGAAAAGTCTACTAATATTCAGAACAGGATAGAAGACCCCTCTTTTCAGAAGTCTATCCATGAGACATTAAAAAATAAAAACAGCATTATATTCACATAGTCACCATGTCATCTTTCAATCTCTGAGCAATCTGATTCCATATTTGTGTGCCAGGTCAACCCTCAAAGGGTAGACTCCATTTTCAAAAATAGTGAAATTAAATACAAGGGTAGTAAACATTTCACTTTACAAATAAAGTGAGTGAGGCCGGGCACGGTGGCTTATGCCTGTAATCCCAGCACTCTGGAAGGACAAGGCAGGGGGATTGCTTGAGGTCAGGAGTTTGAGACCAGCTTGGCAAACATGGTGAAACCCTGTCTCTACAAAAAATACAAAAATTAGCTCGGCGTGGTGGTGGGTGCCTGTAATTTCAGCTACTGGGGAGGCTGAAGCAGGAGAATCGCTTGAACCTGGGAGGTGTAAGTTGTAGTCAGCCAAGGTCATCTCACTGCACTCCACCCTGGGTAACAGAGGGAGACTCTGTCTCAAAAAAAAAGAAAGAAAGTGAATGCTATGGAGAATGAGTTTGCATTTTCTATCTATGAATCTACTAGTACCATGCAGAACGCTTAAAGCAAAACAAAAGCATCTGCCTTCTTATCTGAAAGAATGTGATTCACTTTATACCCTCATATACTGCCGATGGGAATGTAAAATGGTGCGGTCACTTTGGACAACAGTCCAGAAGTGCCTCAAACAGTAAAACATAGAGTTACTACATGATCCAGCAATTCTATTCCTAGGTATATACCAAAGAGAAATGAAAACACAAATATACACAATAATGTTTACATGAATGTCCATAGCAGCATTATTAATAACAGCCAAAATGTTATTATGGCTATTATGGAAACAACCTAAATGTCCATTTACTGATGAATAGATAAACAAAATGAGGCATGTTAATACAAGAGAATACCATTTGGCAATGAAAAGAAATGAAGTATGGCTCCATGTTATAATATCATGCAAAGTGAAAAAAGCCAATCACAAAAAAAACACATATTGTACAATTCCATTTATATGAAAGGTACACAATAGGCAAATCTTGAGAGAGAGAAATTTTTGTATTCTTAGTAGAGACAGGGTTTTGCCATGTTGGCCAGGCTGGTCTTGAACTCCTTACCTCAGGTAATCCACTCATCTTGGCCTCCCAAAGTCCTGGGATGACAGGCATGCCTGTACACTTTATTTTTATTTTTTATCTTTTCTTTTTTTGAGGCAGAGTCTTGCTCTGTTGCCCAGGCTGGAATGCAGTGATGTGATCTCAGCTCACTGCAGCCTCCATCTCCTAGGTTCAAGTGATACTTCTGCCCCAGCCTCCAGAGTAACTGGGATTACAGGCACGTGCCACCACATCCAGCTAATCTTTGTATTTTTATTTATTTATTTATTTTGAGACAGAGTCTCGCTCTGTTTTCCAAGCTGGAGTACAGTGGCACAATCTCGGCTCACTGCAACCTCCGCCTCCCGGGTTCAAGTGATTCTCCTGCCTCAGCCTCCTGAGTAGCTCGGACTACAGGCGCGTACCACAACGTCCGGCTAATTTTTTGTATTTTTAGTAGAGACAGGGTTTCACCATGTTAGTCAGGATGGTCTTGATCTACTGACCTCATGATCCGCCCGCCTTGGCCTCCCAAAGTGTTGGGATTACAGGCATGAGCCATCGTGCCAAGTATTTTTTTTTTTAATAAAACTGGTTTATTGAAGTATACCTTAAAAACCATAAAATCATTTATTTTAAATATACACTTCAGTGAATTTTAGTAAATTTACAGATTTGCAAAACCATCACAATACAATTTTAGAACCTTTCCGTCATCAAAAGATCCCTTGTGTCATTTGTAATTGCTCCCTGTCCTACCTACTAAATTCACATACAGGTTTTTCTATGAACACGTTTTCTTTTTTTTTTTTTGAGACGGAGTCTCGCTCTGTCACCCAGGCTGGAGTGCAGTGGTGCGATCTCGGCTCACTGCAAGCTCTGCCTTCCAGGTTCACGCCATTCTCCTGTTTCAGCCTCCCGAGTAGCTGGGACTACAGGTGCCTGCCACCACGCCCGGCTAATTTTTTTATATTTTTAGTAGAGACGGGGTTTCACCATGTTAGCCAGGATGGTCTCAATCTCCTGACCTCGTGATCTGCCCGCCTCGGCCTCCCATAGTGCTGGGATTACAGGTGTGAGCCACCGTGCCCGGCCTATATGAACAAGTTTTCATTTCTCTTGGGTATATACCTAGTAGTGGAATTGCTGGGCCCATATGATAACTCCAGGTTTAACTTTTTGAGGAAATGTCAAACTATTTTCCAAAGCAGCTGTACCTTTTTATATGAAATACAGTTTTGAAAGCTGTTTTCTAATGTAAAAGTGTTCAGCAGTAAATTATTATAAATTTATTAAAATAAATTGTATTTATTATTTTTATTTTTTATAGAGCTCGGGTCTCACTATATTCACCAGGTTGGTCTTGAACTCCTGGCCTCAAGTAATCCTCCTGCCTTGGCCTCCCAAAGTGCTAGAATTATAGGCATAAGCCACCACACTGGGCCTAAAATAAACTTTAAAGAATATTTATCCTACTTCCATCTAGCCATAACACAATGAATTTCATTTGCTTTCCAAAAGCATATACCACATATATTTATAAGGCTGTGATAATAAAGAACATAACATTTAGATTCTTAGTTTTCATTCACTTTTTTTCTATGAATAGAAAAGCAAATTTTCATTCTTGTTATATATTTATGTAGTCATTTGCAGGAATCATTTATTCAGACTTAATTTGTTATGACAGTAATTACTATCAAAAGTTATAAAGTAGATTCAATTATCATACACTTTTAGGAAGACTATAGTATTGAAAAAGCCCCTGTCAATTTCTTTTTTTGTTTGTTTGTTTGGAGACAGAGTCTCGCTCTATCCCCCAGGCTGGAGTGCAGTGGCATGATATCGGCACACTGCAACCTCCACCTCCTGGGTTCAAGCAATTCTCCTGTCTCAGCCTCCTAAGTAGCTGGGATTACAGGTGTGTGCCACCAGGCCCGGCTAATTTTTGTATTTTTAGTAGAGATAGGGTTTCGCCATATTGGCCAGGCTGGTCTTGAACTCCGGGCCTCAGGTGATCCACTCTCCTCGGCCTCTCAAAGTGCTGGGATGACAGGCGTGAGCCACCATGCCCGGCTCCATGTCAACTTCTTCAATAGACATGCTTTCATCAGCGGCATTTGCCAGTTAGAGAAACTAAACTATTTCAACATTTAGAATAAATGATGTAATTAACAGGGTTTCAAAAATATATCAGTTTTTTCACTTAAAAAGGTCAGCTTGCCAGGCGCAGTGGCTCGCGCCTGTAATCCCAGCTCTTAGGGAGGCAGAGGCAAGAGGATAGCTTGAGCCCAGGAGTTCGAGACCTACCTGGGCAATATAGTGAGACCTCATTCTCCACAAAAAGGAAAAGCAACAACAACAAAAGACAAAAAACGTCAGCTTACAGTTTCTGGTTTTCAAAGTGAAAACCAGACAGCTTGGAGCTTTAGATTAGTCATTCCAACGGTTCAAGTGCTAATTAAAAGGTAAAATTATTTTAAAAGGCTGGGAGCAGCGGCTCACACCTGTAATCCCAGCACTTTGGGAGGCTAAGGAAGGAGGATCGCTTGAGGCCAGGAGTTCAAGACCAGACTGGGCAACGTGGTGAGACCCCACCATCTCTACAAAAAAAGAAAAAATTTAAAAAAAATTTTAAATAAGAAGTAAATAAAAACATTAGTGACTCAGATTACCAACCTTAAACACATCCTCAATGCATCTACTAAGTTCTTCTTCTGTCACCAAAATAGTTCCTGGTACCATGTCACTCTCTGAAAGCTCTAGAAAATAAACACACAAAATTACCCATATTTAGTGCCTCACTGAATAGGACATACTAAAGCTAAGGAAGGAAGCTTTACTAGAAAGATGGCTCAGTAAGTAACACCTAAGATCAGAAAATGGTTATCATTGAACAATACACAATTCATACACATTTCATGGAATATATGATGCCACTGATTATAAACATGCATTGTTATTTTATGTATCACTAAGAAAAAACACCAACGTTGCCAATTACCTATAGCACATTATCACTTAGAATTTTCATTTTAGGCCAGGTGTGGTGGCTCACAACTGTAATCCCAGTATTTTGGGAGGCCAAGGCAGGCGGATCACAAAGTCACGAGTTTGAAATCAACCTGGCCAATATGGTGAAACCCCATCTCTACTAAAAATATAAGAAGTTAGCCGGGTGTGGTGGGGCAGGCCTGTAGTCCCAGCTACTCACGAGGCTGAGGCAGGAGAATCGCTTGAACCCGGGAGGCGGAGGTTGCAGTGAGCCGAGATTGTGCCACTGCACTCAAGCATGGGCAACAGAGTGAGACTCTGTCTCAAAAAAAAATTTTTTTTCATTTTAAACTTAATTGAATAAAAATTGGGGATTGGATGAAATGAAAATGGCAGAGTTGGCCAGGTGTGGTGGCTCACGCCTGTAATCCCAGCACTTTAGGAGGCCGAGGCAGGCGGATCACAAGGTCAGGAGACTGAGACCATCCTGGCTAACACAGTGAAACCCCATCTCTACTAAAAATACAAAAAATTAGCTGGGCGTGGTGACGGGCACCTGTAATCCCAGCTACTCAGGAGGCTGAGGCAGGAGAATGGCATGAACCTGGGAGGCAGAGCTTGCAGTGAGCCGAGATCATGCCACTGCACTCCAGCCTGGGTGACAGAGTGAGACTCTGTCTAAAAAAAAAAAAAAAAGAAAGAAAATGGCAGAGTTAATAGTTGTATCTAGGTGACAGGTACATAGGAGTTCATTATATAATCTCTATAATATGTGTTTAAAAATTTCCCTTCAAAAAGTTTTAAAATAGTTATATTTTATTTTTATTTATTTGAGACAGGGTCTTGCTCTGTAACCCAGGCTCTGGAGTGGAACTGTGTGATCATGGCTCACTGCAACCTCAACCTCCTGGGTCAAGTGATCCTCCCACCTCAGCTTCCCGAGCAGCTGGGAATACAGGCGTGCACCACCACGCCCAGCTAATTTTTAAAATTTTTTCTAAAGACAGGGTCTCATTATGTTACCCAGCCTGGTTGCAAACTCCTGGGCTCAAGTGATCCTCCCACCTCACCAATCCCAGCACTTTGGGAGGCTGAAGCAGGAAGATCGCTTGAGCCCAGGAGTTCCAGACCAGCCTGGACAATACAGAAATAAAAATTTAAAAAAAAGTTTTTAAAGTTTTATAATAAGTCTTTCTATTTATTTAGACATAGTTTTATCATATATTATTATTATTATTTTGAGCAAGGGTTGCACTCTGTTGCCCAGGCTAAAGTGCAGAGGTGTGATTATGGCTCACTGCAGCCTCAACCTCCCAGGCTCAAGCGATCCTCCCACATCAGCCTCCCAACTAGCTGGGGCTACAGGTGCTTGCCACCATGCCTGGCTAATTTTTATACTGTTTTTTGGTTAAGACGGGGTTTTGCCATGTTGCCCCAGTGGTCTCGAACTCCTGGGCTCAAGCAATCTGCCCGCCTAAGCCTCCCAAAGTGCTGAGATTACAAGCATGAGCCACCACGCCCAGCCATGATTCTTGATTGAATTCTGGATTAAAAAAAAAATAGCTCTAAAACAAATTATTGAAACAATTAGAGAAGTTTGAATGGAATTTGTATATTATATCAAAGCATATTGTATAAATGTTAAATTTCCTGAGTGTGGTAATCGCCTTGTGGTTATGTAGGAGACTGACATTTTTCTTTGGGGATGCATACTGTAGTATTTAGGGGTGAAGTGTTGTGATGTCTGCAACTAAGTCTCAAATGCTTCAGAAAAGACATGTTTATATGTATAGAAAGAGAGAAAGATAAAATAAATGTGGCCAAAATGTAAAGTTATTCGGTCTAGGTGATCTGTATATGGGTAGTTCAATATACTCTTCTTGAAACTTGTAAGTGAATTTGTCAAAATAAAAAGTTGGGGGGAGGGGAAGGAAAACTAAAGAGACTGATATAACACAGATTTAAATCATTTCAACGTGAAATACTGAAGAAGGTCCTTTAGAGGCACACACAGCCACCACACTTCCTCCTTTACCTGCTGTATTCAAACATCGATGAAGAGGAGCTAACACTGGCTGGAGCAAATACTTTGCTGCCAAATGTGGGCGTTCTCTTGACAAAGTTATAAAGGTAGTGGTGGCAACTCTCTGAAATTGTCGTGCTGTCAATTTATCTTGAAAGTGAAATAAATCCAGAACCTACAAAAAAACTACAAGAAGTAAATACCAGTTTTTTGCAAGGAATATGACAGTAACTAAAAACAAAAAGCATGAATTTCTTTAAGACAAAAAATAAATTCACCTCAATAACACTGATTCAACAGAATTCTTTTAATTTAACATACCCAGTATCAAAGGGTAAGAGAGCTGAACAGGCAGTGTTTTTATTTTTAATTAAAAAAATTTTTTGGCCGGGTGTGGTGGCTCACGCCTGTAATCCCAACACTTTGGGAGGCCGAGGCGGGAGGATCACAAGGTCAGGAGATCGAGACCATCCTGGCTAACACAGTGAAACCCTGTCTCTACTAAAAATACAAAAATCTTAGCCGAGTGTGGTGGCGGGCGCCTGTAGTCCCAGCTACTCAGGAGGCTGAGGCAGGAGAATGGTGTGAACCTGGGAAGCAGAGCTTGCAGTGAGCGGAGATCGCGCCACTGCACTCCAGCCTGGGCGACAGAGCGAGACTCCATCTCAAAAAAAAAAATTTTTTTTGCCCACCTCTCATACTTGCAGTGTTTTTATTAAATAATTTTATCAAATTTATAAAATACAGGCTCATTTTAGGCATACGCATAGGGAATATTAAGAAAACTCCCTCCACATTTTTCTTTTTCCTTTTTTTTTTTTTTTTGAGATGGAGTCTCACCCTGCCGCCCAGGCTGGAATACGGTGGTGCAATCTCGGCTCACTGCAACCTCCGCCTCCCAGGTTCAAGCAATTCTCCTGCCCCAGCCTCCCAAGTAGCTGGGATTACAGGCACATGCCACTACCCCCAGCTAATTTTTGTATTTTTAGTAGAGACGGGGTTTCACTATGTTGATCAGGCTGGTCTCAAACTCTTGACCTCGTGATCCGCCCGCCTCAGCCTCCCAAAGTGCTGGGATTACAGGCGTGAGCCACCGTGCCCAGCCCCACATTTTTCATGTATCAGATTTGCAAAGATCAAAAAAGTTTGTAACACATTGTGTGGGTAAAAATGTGGGAAAATAGGTACATAAAGCATATCGATCAAAAATTTAAATGCATAAAACCTTTGAACCAATAATTTCAATTCTAGGAATTTTTCCTATGGTAATACTGGTAGTTATGTACAAAGACTTATGGATATTAACTGTAGCATAATTTGTAATAGAAAAAGAATGGAAACAACTCAAATGTGCATCAATAACAGGCTGGTTAAATAAATTACAGTACATTAATATGATGAAATACCATGTACCCATGAAAATGAATGAAATGATCTCCAAGGTACACTGTGTTTTTTGTTGTTTTTCTTTTCAGATGGAGTCTCGCTCTGTCACCCGGGCTGGAGTGCATTGGTGCAAACTCAGCTCACTGCAACGTCTGCCTCCCAGGTTCAAGAGATTCTCTATCCTCAGCTTCCTGAGTAGCTAGGACTACAGGTGTGCACCACCACGCTTGGCCAATTTTTGTATTTTCAGTAGAGTTGGGGTTTCTCCATGTTGGCCAGGCTGGTCTCGAACTCCTGACCTCAAGTAATCTGCCCACCTCAGCCTCCCAAACTGCTGGGATTACAGGAGTGAGCCACTGTGCCTGGCCAAAGTACACTATCAATGAAAAAAAGCAAAATGAAAAGAGGGCATGCTGCATGCTATCATTTAGATAAAAATTAGCACTGGCCTGGCATGGTGGCTCACGCCTATAATCCCAGCACTTCGGGAGGCCGAGGCAGGCGGATCACCTGAGGTCAGGAGTTCGAGACCAGCCTGACCAACGTGGAGAAACCCCATCTCTACCAAAAATACAAAATTAGCCGGGTGTGGTGGCGCATGCCTGTAATCCCAGCTACTCGGGAGGCTGAGGCAGGAGAATCGCTTGAACCCGGGAGGTGGAGGTTGTGGTGAGCCAAGATCGCACCATTGTACTCCAGCCTGGGCAACAAGAGCAAAACTCTGTCTCAAAAAAAAAAAAAATTAGCATTAATTGTACCATCATGTGTATATGTTAATGTATGTGTGTATGCACATACATGTTAATATATACATACATTAACATATGCACATATGATGGTATATGCATAATACACAGAATATCTCTGGAAAGAAATTCATAGCAGTGACTACCTCTGAGGGACTGGAGAACAGGAATGGTAGGGAGACTTAGTTTTCGGTTTACTCTTTTATGCTTTTTAAATTGTTTGCCATGTTAATTTACCTTGTTTATTTAATATCTGCCTTTAAAAACTAACTAAAAACACATGGAGAGAAAAGATAACGAACAAGATGAAACTTGAGTTTCGTATTCTAGCTCTGAGAGCAAGCTGGGCAAATCATTTAGTAGTGGTGAGGCATTCTTTTTTTTTTTTTTTGAGACGGAGTTTCACTCTTGTTGCCCAGGCTGGAGTGTAATGGCTCAATCTCGGCTCACGGCAACCTCCGCCTCCCGGGTTCAATCCGTTCTCCTGCCTCAGCCTCCCAAGTAGCTGGGATTACAGGCATGCGCCACCACACCCAGCTAATTTTGTATTTTTTTTAGTAGAGACGGGGTTTCTCCATGTTGGTCAGGCTAATCTCGAACTCCCGACCTCAGGTGATCCGCCTGCCTCGGCCTCCCAAAGTGCTGAGATTACAAGCGTGAGCCACTGCGCCTGGCCTCGTCATTCTTAAACTGAACAATTAGGTCAGTCTCTTCCACCGGTTTTTATTCATTTATTAAGAAGGCTCCTCACTAAACAATAAACTTAAATATTATACTGCTTTTATCTCAATACTAGAGGAACATTAAAAGTCCTCTTTCTGTAAATAAGCAGATAATCCTCAAATGATCAATAGAAACAAAAAGATTTACCTGGGGGCAGATGTCCCTGTAGTAATTCTCTGGTGAAAGAGACTGCTGGGGACAAGAGGCCAAAATCTTTGCGATCAGGTCACACTTCTTCCAGTCAGCAGCCGTCACCTCAGCATCACTTCCACCAGCTGCTCCCGCTGGCACAATGGAGAGAGATGTTAGCAGCTCACAGCAATTCCCCACAGAAGGTCCCATGTAACAAATTTGTCTTAAAATTTAAGGTAAAATGCATTTATCTTTTCTATTGAAAATAGTTTATTTTTTTCTATAAGATAATCTACCCTTCTATACTTTCCTTTTTATGTTTTTTATTTCTTATTTATTTATTATTATTATTTTTTGAGACGGAGTCTTGTTCTGTCACCCAGGCTGGAATGTAGTGGCATGATCTCAGCTCACTGCAACCTCTTCCTGCCAGGTTCAAGCGATTCTCTTGCCTCAACCTCCCGAGTAGCTGGGATTACAGGAATACACCACCATGCCCAGGTAATTCCTTTCTATTTTTAGTAGAGACAGGGTTTTGCCATGTTGGCCAGGCTGGTCTCGAACTTCTGACCTCAGGTGATCTGCCCGCCTCAGCCTCCAAAGTGCTGTGATTACAGGCATGAGCCACCGCGCCTGGCCTATACGTTCCTTTTGATGCTAGTTTCTGGGAAATTCAGAGAAAAACTAGCACTTAGTCACTATAATGATATTATTCATATAACTGGAATACTAGCTTCACCATGTTTATTACTATTATTATTCTGTCTCCTTGTATGTATCATTTCATTTAAACTGTCTTAAGCCACAGCCGTAGAGTGACAGGGACCAGAATTACTTTACCGTCTTAAGCAATTATAAAATTGGACAAAATATATAAACAATGGTTTCCAGACAGTGGACAACAGGCAGCCCAGGACACTGATCCCTGAGAGAACGGAAGCAAACAAACTGAGCTTGACGACTGCCCTCGTTCACTGACTGGAGAGAGTTTTCAGGCGATAACAATAGCAGCCCAAATGAAGCCTGGCATCTTGTTCAGTGGAAGAAACATAGTTCAGAGTTCAGGGAGGCCAAAGCAGCTGGAATTTTCAGGGCAAAATACCAGAAGGGAGGAAGTTACATGTAGAGAGAGTTCCAAAGATCTGCAAAAGGGTCCTCTCTCAGGTCTTTGGTAGAGTATGATACACGTATGTGTGAGGAAAATACCAAAGCCTGGGGCAATAACCACCAGAAAGGAGTAGGGGGGAACAACCCCCACGGTTCATAAAGGCTGGGAAGAGTTGTGTTCCCACCAGCCAGCCTGGGAGGATCTCCTAATACACAGGGCAACAACTAGAATTCTCAGAAGTCTATTATCTTAGTACAATCTGTATTGTTACACTTAGTACAACACACTTAGTATAATACAAAAAGGGGTTAAATTACCTTAAAGGTTGCTGTAGAACCACACTAACAGAGCTGAAAAGCCAGGATCAAAGGGACTAAACTAATTCCAAGTAACTTAACTGCATTCCAGAACAAAGTCCAACTAAGGAATATAAAAATCTGGCACTCAGCAATGTAGAATAAAAATGTTCAGCATCCAGTCAAAAATTACCAAGCATATCCACATGAGGAATTATTATTCAGTCATAAAAAGGAATAATTTTTATGGAGGACTGATTCATTCATATTATAATATGACTAAACCTCGGCTGGGCACGGTGGCTGACACCTGTAATCCCAGCACTTTGGGAAGCCAAGGCAGGTGGATCACCTGAGGTCAGGCGTTTGAGACCAGCCTGGCCTACATGGTGAAACCCCGTCTCTACTAAAAATACAAAAATTAGCCAGATGTGGTGGTGGGCGCCTGTAATCCCAGCTACTTGGGAGGTTGAGGCAGGACAATCGCTTGAACCTGGCAGAAGAAGGTTGCAGTAAGCTGAGATCATGCCATTGCACTCCAGCCTGGGTGACAAGAGCAAAACTCTGTCTCAAAAACAAACAAACAAACAAAAAACATGAATAAATCTCAAAAACATTATGCCAAGTAAAGGAAGCCAGACACAAAGACCATGTATTGTATGAAATGCCAATACAGGTAAATCCAAAGAGACCAGGAGGTGAAGTAGTACTTACCAGAATCTGAGAGGAGGGGAGAATGAGGAGTGGTGATTGCTAGTGAGTATGAGGGCTTCTTTGGGGGGACATGGGGGGAGGGTTGAGGAAAATGTTCTGGAAATAGATATTGGTGATGACTGCACAGCTCTGTGAATATACTAAACACCCCAAACTGTACTCTTTAAAAAAAAAAAGTGACTTCTGGCCGGGTGCGGTGGCTCACTCCTGTAATCCCAGCACTTTGGGAGGCCGAGGCAGGTGGATCACCTGAGGTCAGGAGTTTGAGACCAGCCGGGCCAACATGGTGAAACCCCATCTCTACTAAAAATTTAAAAAAATATATTAGCTGGGTGTGGTGGCACAAACCTGTAGTCCCAGCTACTCGGGAAGCTGAGGCAAGAGAATCTCTTGAACATGGGAGGCGCAAGCTGTAGTGAGCCGAGATCGCGCCACTGCATTCCAGCCTGGGAAGTTGCAGTGAGCTGAGATCGCGCCACCGTTCTATGGTATGTGAATAACATCTAAAAAAAAAAAAAAAATTACCAGGCATGCAAAGAAGGAAAACAATATGGCTTATAATTAGAATAAAAAAATCAACAGAACCGGCTGTGGGCGGTGGCTCATGTCTGTAATCCCAGCACTTTGGGAGTCCAAGGCGGGCGGATCACCTGAGGTCAGGAGTTCAAGACCAGCCTGGCCAACATGGTGAAACGCTGTCTCTACTAAAAATACAAAAATTAGCTGGGCATGAGGACGCACACCTGTAGTCCCAGCTACTTGGGAGGCTGAGGCAGGAGAATCTCTTGAACCTGGGAGGCAGAGGTTGCAGTGAGCAAAGATCGTGCCATTGCACTCCAGCCTGGGTGACAGAGCAAGACTCTGCCTCAAAAAAAAAAGAAAAAAAAATCAGTAGAACAGACCCCAAAAAAACAGAGATAACAGAATTAGAAGACAAGACCATTAAGACAACTTCTTTTTTTTTTTGAGACAAGAGTCTCACCCTATCGCCCAGGCTGAAGTGCAGTGGCGAGATCTCGGCTCACTGAAACCTCCACCTCCCAGGTTCAAGCGATTCTTCTGCCTCAGCCTCCTGAGTAGCTGGGACTACAGGCACGCACCACTAATTTTTTGTATTTTTAGTAGAGGCAGGCTTTCACCATGTTGGCCAGGCTGGTCTCAAACTCCTGACCTCGTGATCCGCCCACGTTGGCCTCCTAAAGTGCTGGAATTTCAGGCTTGAGCCACTGCGCCTGGCCCATTAAGACAACTATTAAAAATTTGCCCTTGGCCAGGCACAGTGGTTCACGCCTGTAAACTCAGCACTTTGGGAGGCCAAGGTGGGTGGATCACTTGAGACCAGGAGTCCAAGACCTGCCTGGGCAATATGTCGAAACCCTGTCCCTACTAAAAATACAAAAATTAGTTGGGTGTGGTGGCGCATGCCTGTAATCCCAGCTGCTCAGAAGGCTGAGGCACCAGAATTGCTTGAACCTGGGAGGCAGAAGTTGCAGTGAACCAAGATCATGCCACTGCACTCCAGCCTGGGAGACAGAGCAAGACCCTGTCTCTGGGGAAAAAAAAATTTTAAAGACAGAGAAAAATAAAAAAGACATAGAGAAAAGAAGACACACACAAAAAGAGCATTAGTAATTGGCAGGACAACAGTAAACATAATATTTGGTGTCATTCAAATCTCAGAAAGAGAGATCTGAGGGGAGTACAGAAAAAAATATTTGAAGATAATGTCTGAGCAATTTCCAAATATGGCAAACACTATAAACCCACAGCTCCAAAAAGCAGAAAAAAAACCATAAAGAAACCAACACCACACCAAGGTACATCATAATCAAATTTCTAAAAACCAGCCATAAGAGAAAAATCTTAAAAGCAGTCAGAGGGAAAAATGGTATATCATTTATAGAGGAACAAAGATAAGAATGATAGCAGACTTTTCATCAGAAATGACACAAGCCAGAAGACAACAGAATATCTTTAAAGTACTAAAAGAAAAAATAAATGTCAACCTAGAATTCTATGCCCAATAAAAAATATCTTTCAAAAAGGAAGATGAACTAGACTTTTTCAGACAAACAAAAGCTAGAAAATTAATTGCCAGGCCGGGTGCGGTGGCTCACACCTGTAATCCCAGCACTTTGGGAGGCCGAGGCAGGTGGATCACCTGAGGTCAGGAGTTCAAGACCAGCCTGGCCAACGCAGTGAAACCCTGTCTCTACTAAAAATACAAAAAAAAAAAAAAATTAGCCGGGCGTGGTGGCTGGCACCTGTAATCCCAGCTACTTGGGAGGCTGCAGCAGGATAATCGCTTGAACCCAGGAGGCAGAGGTTGCAGTGAGCCGAGATCGTGGGCAACAAGAGCGAAATTCCGTCTCAAAAAAAAAAAAAGAAATTCATTGCCAGTAGACCTACACTAAAAGAAATGGCAACTAAAGTTCAGGCAGAAGGAAGTTTGCACTGAAATTTTGATCTACATAAAGAAATAAAGACCACCAGAAATGGCAAATATGCAGGTCAATATAAACCTGCCTCAAACCATTTTGGGAAAGAAACAAGGTATGAATAGATAACAACAAATATATACATGCACAAGTTGGGGGAACTCATAGGAAAAAGAGGGTTCTGATTTTCTTATAGTAGCTCTCAAATCTGCATGCCCTTAAGTGAGGTCTAACCCTTCTTGGAAAAGGAAGATGCAAAGACCTGTTTGTAAGGGACAACTTCTTATGGGTAACTGATCATTTGTTATTTCATTGGCCCTAGAAGCCACTGTGGGGAGAACTGAGGGGAGGCAATATTATAGCCACTCTAGACCAAATCTACCAACGTCTGCCAACCACACTGACCTCACTTTTGTCTGATGGGACCAAGGTACATTATGCCAGAAATGAAGTCAAGATTTATTCTTCTAGCTCTCTTCCTTCTTCCCCACATATCCAGCCCTTCGTTAAGTTTTGGCAACTCTCCTCCTTAAATATCTCTCAAACCCATTCATTTCTCTCCATTTCCATGACCACTGCATTAATCCAAGCCTCCGTGATTCCTCAGATGTCTGCCTTTTAACTGATCTCCCTGCTTCTGCTCTTACCCAATCCATTCTTCACAATACCTCCAGATAGATATTTCTAAACTGCAGATTTGATCATGTTCTCTCTTTCTTAAAACTGTTAATCGTTTCGCATCTCCCTCAGAATAAAGTTCAACATCCTGAACTCAGCCTATCAGGCCTCCCTGAGGTGGCCCCCAGCCACCATCCCCACTCACTGCGCACCACTCTACCTGCACTCTGCCCTCACTACTCTACCCACGTGGAGATTTCCTCAGAAGCACTATGCTCATTTCTACTTCAGTTCCTCATACATGCTACTCTCTCTGCCTATAACTATCTTCCCTCTCTCTTCAGCTAGTTAATTCCAACTCAGCCTTCAGGGCTCAGTTTAAATGCCATTTCCATAAAAAAAGCCACTAAGTTTGTGGTAAGTTGTTGCAGTAACAATAGGAAACTAACAGGCAGGGGATAAGGGAGATAAGAGACTGAACACACAAAAAAGGCAAAGTGTTCACCAGGATAAAAGTGAAGGGGATCCTTGGATGGCAGCTGAGTAGAAGGTAACCAGGATTGAGTAAAGCAAGTCAGAAGACCCAGAGAAAGATGTTTCCAAGAAGATAAAACTGATAGAATATCTGGTGGGTTTTTGTTTGTTTGTTTGTTTGACACAGGATATCGCTCTCCCACCCAGGCTGGAGTGCAGTGGTGTGATCATGGCTCACTAAAGCCACAAATTCCAGGGCTCCAGCAATCCTCCTGCCTCAGCCACCTCAGTAGCTGGAACCATAGGTGCGCACCACCACACCCAGCTAATTTTTGTATTTTTGGTAGAGATGGGGTTTCCCCATGTTGCCCAGGCTGGTCTCCTGAGCTCAAACTATCCACCTGCCTTGGCCTCCCAAAGTGTTGGGATTATAGGCATGAGCCACCATGCCCAGCCTATTTGATGTTTTTCAGTGTATTAAAAGGAGATTTAAACAAAAGAGGGACAGCTTGAGAAAAGATTAGTGATAAGCACATAGAAAACTAATCAGATGTACAAAAAAAAGATTAACTCCAGGAAGTACAAAAGATTATGTAAAAAAAGAAAGTAATCATAATATACAATATAGATCAGCTGTAAATAATAATCACAGAGTTACACTAATATAAACACTGAATATTGATCTAACCAAAACTGAGATATAAATATATTACGGAGATGTGAAAATAAAAATGTACTTGGGGGAATGATGGCAGTGTTATGAAAGAGAACAAGATCCTCTTCCACACATGGTGAGAGGTAGATACATGATGCCTGAAACTGAAAAAATTATGAATTCCCATATATTAGTTAGAAATATAGAAGTAAATGGCCAGGATCATGCCTGTAATCCCAGCACTTTGGGAGGCCGAGGTGGGTGGATCACGAGGTCAGAAGATCAAGACCATCCTGACTAACACAGTGAAACCCCATCTGTACTAAAAATACAAAAAATTAGCTGGGCGTGGTGGCAGGCGCCTTTAGTCCCAGCTACTCAGGAGGCTGAGGCAGAAGAATGGAGTGAACCCGGGAGGTGGAGGTTGCAATGAGCCAAGATCACGCCACTGCGCTCTAGCCTGGGTGAAAGAGCGAGACTCTGTCTCAAAAAAAAAAAAAAAAAAAAAAATAGAAATATAGAGGTAAATACCAGAAAAAACTCACTGAAAGAGTTCAAAGCAGTTGCTTCTAGAAATGGGAAATGGATTGGAATGATGCCGAGGACTGCTATTTTTCACTATAAGTCTCAGAGAACTATTTGACTTTAAATGATGTACATGTCTAATTTTCTCTAAAAAATAAAAAACATAAATTAAAAACTACTACCATGCTTAGCATTAACTTTTTTCCTATTAATGAGAACTTAGATAATATAATTAGGGAAATGACTCTAAAACTTCATCCCAAAGTTTGCATCTCAAAGGTATTTCTGGCTTCAAGAAAATTATTTTACATTTAACTTTTTTTTTTTTTTTTTGAGACAAGGTCTTGCTTTTTTTGTCCAGGCTGGAATGCAGTGCCATGATCATGGCTCACTATAGCCTCGAACTCCTGGGCTCAAGTGATCCTCCTGCCTTAGCCTCCCAAGTAGCTGGGACCATAGGCGGGCACCACCATACCTGGCTATTTTTTTTTTTTTTTTTGTAGAAACAGAGTCTTGCTATGTGGCCCAGGCTGGTCTTGAACTCCTGGCCTCAGACAGTCCTTCTGCCTCAGCCTCCCAAAGTGCTGGGATTACAGGTGTGAGCCACCACACCTGGCTTTATTATTATTATTATGATTATTGAGACAAAGTCTCATTCTGTCACCTAGGCTGGGGTGCAGTGGCACGATCTTGGCTCACTGCAACCTCCACCTCCAAAGTTCAAATGATTCTCCTGCCTCAGCCTCCCAAGTAGCTGGGGTTAGGCGCCCGCCGCCATGCCAGGCTAATTTTTGTATTTTAGTAGAGACGGGGATTCACCATGTTGGCCAGGCTGGTCTTGAACTCCTGACTTTAAGTGATCCACCTGCTTTGGCCTCCCAAAGTGCTGGGATTACAGGCGTGAGCCACCGCGCCCGGCCCACACCTAGCTTTATTTAACATTTACTTTAGGGTTTTTACTTCAATTTTCTGTGTAATGTTTTCCCCAGATAGTATAAATTATTTGAAATGGCTTACAATATTGTTCAATAAAATAGGCAGTGTATCACAAGTGTTTTAGGAAAAGAGCAAGAGAATTAGTTTCTTTGGAAAAGAAGCTCATTAACGGCCTCTAAGTTTAACCTGTTCAATCCCTGCAAGGATGGAGTTTAGTTTCAGTCAGGTTTTAAAGGTAAATACTAAAGACCAATAATTCACCTCAGACTCTGACTCAAAGGAAAACAGATACCAAAGTCACAGCAACATTTTATTTCTTACCACCTGCTCCTTCCAAAATGCCCCGGACTACTGCCTGAACACCATTAGGTCTCATTAACCTTTCAGAGAGCAGCTGTCCACATAGACGCCGAAGCCAAGCTGGGGCCCGACACCTCATCTGTGTCTTCACATCTGTGCAGGACTGAGAAAAAGAAGAAGGTGTGAATTCTGAATGTCACTGAAATAGATATGATGGCCGGGCGTAGTGGCTCATGCCTGTAAAAAAAAAAAAAAAAAAAAAAAAAGGAGAAATAGCTATGATATGCAGACTTATTTATTTATTTAGAGATGGAGTTTCACTCTTCACCCAGGCAGGAGTGCAGTGGCAAAATCTCGGCTCACTGCAACCTCCACCTCCCGGGTTCAAGCGATTCTCCTGCTTCAGCCTCCTGAGTCACTGAGATTACAGGCACGTGCCACTATGCCTGGGTACTTTTTGTATTTTTAGTAGAGATGGGGTTTCACCATGTTAGCCAGGCCGGTCTCGAACTCCTGACCTCAGGTGATCCACCCACCTCAGCGTCCCAAAGTTCTGGGATTACAGGCGTGAGCCACCGTGCCCAGCTAGACATTACTTTTTTTTTTTTTTTTGAGACGGAGTCTTGCTCTGTCGCCCAGGCCGGACTGCGGACTGCAGTGGCGCAATCTCGGCTCACTGCAAGCTCCGCTTCCCGGGTTCACGCCATTCTCCTGCCTCAGCCTCCCGAGTAGCTGGGACTACAGGCGCCCGCCACCGCGCCCGGCTAATTTTTTGTATTTTTAGTAGAGATGGGGTTTCACCTTGTTAGCCAGGATGGTCTCGATCTCCTGACCTCATGATCCACCCGCCTCGGCCTCCCAAAGTGCTGGGATTACAGGCGTGAGCCACCGCGCCCGGCCGACATTATTTTTTAAAAGTCCTGAGTCATACTGACAATTAACAGTGTGCTATACAGACTTCAAAAGAGCAACATTTTTTCCTTAAAAAAAAAAAAAACTTTACAAAACCTTCTTCTGCATTACTTTTAAGAAAGTAAAAAACAGTGAAAGTGAAAAATCAATGAAATTTCAAACTCAGAAACAGACAAACGCATCAGCAATTAAAATGTAGATCTTCGGAACACAAAGTTAATGCAAACAATCTCTGAATGTAGCTCTGACAAACAAATCCAGCTTCCAAGGAAGATTCTTATGAACGTTATTTGCCACTAAGAGGGTAGTTCACAACAGGGAGGGAGCATTCCAGCCCTTGCCTCTGTGGCATTAGCAACTCTGATTCCTGTGACACAGTTCAAAGAAAGAGTTGGATTTCTTTTTTTTTTTTGAGACGGAGTCTTGCTCTGTTGCCCAGGCTGGAGAGCAGTGGCACGATCTCGGCTCGCTGCAACCTCCGCCTCCTGGGTTCACGCCATTCTCCTGCCTCAGCCTCCTGAGTAGCTGGGACTACAGGCACCTGCCACCATGCCAGGCTATTTTTTTTTTTTTTTTGTATTTTTAGTAGAGATGGGGTTTCACTGTGTTAGCCAGGATGGTCTCGATCTCCTGACCTTGTGATCCACCCACCTCAGCCTCCCAAAGTGCGCCACCGCGCCCGGCCGGATTTCTTTTGTATTTCTTTCCTGCCCCAGTATGATCTGCAAGAAAGATAGTGGATTTCTTCAAGGACCCCTTTCTGGGAGTTCTGTGGAGCCACTGTGAATAAATAGACTTGGTGTCCCTTATTGCTGAGGGTGGAGTAAACTCACTTATTAGCTGGTTTTGGCATACACCTCTCAGCTCTTCTATCTCAGTTCCTCTTCTATCTTTTGAGAGTGAGTGCATATTTTGTTCTGCTTTTTCTTGTTGGGTACTTTTCAGAGGCCTATCCCCTGCAGAAGGTGCTGCAGTTTGAATGTTCTAGCCCTTATTTTGGGCTAGAACACTGATCATGTTGCTGTCAACCATTGCATTTTTTTTTTTTTTTTTTGAGACGGAGTCTCGCTCAGTAGCCCAGGCTGGAGTGCAGTGGCGCGATCTGGGCTCACTGCAACCTCCGCCTCCCAGGTTCAAGCAATTCTTTGCCTCAACCTCCAGAGTAGCTGGGATTACAGGCTCACACCACCACGCCCGGCTAATTTTTTGTATTTTTAGTAGAGACAGGGTTTCACCATCTTGGCCAGGCTGGTCTTGAACTCCTGACCTCGTGATCCACCCGCCTCGGCCTCCCAAAGTGCTGGGATTACAGGGGTGAGCCACCACGCCCGGCACCACTGCACTTAAGTATGTAAGCCTCAAAATTAGTAACAGAAATATTTCATCCTAACTCTCCTGTCCTCTCTCTTTTATTGAATTATTACCATTTACTGAGGGATTATGGTGTGCCAGGCACATCATAAGCAACTCCCATATAATCTCAAAAGGGACTTACAAGGAAGGCATTGTAATTATCCCTATCTTATGGGTAAGAAACCTGAAGAATGGAAAGGTTTACAAATTCAAACACCTGCACACGGGGGTTGAATGCCAGAGAGGCCTGATGGAAGGCTTACAGTAAGATTCTAAGGATGAGATGAAAATTACTCAATTAGGAGATATCTCTGTAGCCAGCTTCAGCTGGTCCTTGCTCCTGACCTACAGCTAATTCCTTTGGCTTCTCGCTCTTTTTCTTTTGTTTTTTTTTTAAAGACAAGATCTCACTCTGTTGCCCAGGCTGAAGTGCAGTGGCCCGATCACAGCTCACTGCAGTCTCAACTTTCTGGGCCTGAGGAATCCTCCCACCTCAGCTTCCAGAGTAGCTGGAACTACAGGTGCATGCTACCACACTTGGCTAGTTTTTTATTTTTTATCTTTTCTAGGGACAGGGGTCTTGCTATGTTGCCCACGTTGGCCTCAAACTCCTGACCTCAAGTGATCCTCCTGCCTCAGCCTGCCAAAGTGCTGGGTTTACAGGTGTGAGCCACAGTGCCTGGCTGGCTCCTCACTCTTTACACACCTAGATTCATAACGAAAATGTAGGTACTAAAAGCAAACAGACAATTCCATCTATATCATCAAATTAAATCATTTCAGATAAACTTTTTTTTTTTTTGAGACGGAGTTTTGCTCTTGTTGCCCAGGCTGGAGTGCAATGGCGTGATCTCATCTCGCTGCAACCTCTGCCTCTTGTGTTCAAGCGATTCTCCTGACTCAGCCTCCCGAGTAGCTGGGATTACAGGCATGCGTCACCATGCCCGGCTAATTTTGTATTTTTCGTAGAGACAGGGTTTCTCCATGTTGGTCAAGCTGGTCTCGAACTCCTGGCCTGAGGTGATCCACCCACCTTGGCCTCCCAAAGTGCTGGGATTACAGGCGTGAGCCACCACGCCCGGCCTCAGATAAACATTATTTTTAAGAAAACAAAGAAACTATCTTATCCCTAGCAGAATATATACTACTACATGTTTGAAACAAAGGAACTAAGAATAGAACCAATAATATATCTAGTTTTAATTTCTTGACTTCAAATACATTATCCATTCAAAGAATTAGTGTCCAGATAGTTGTGCTAAAAGAATGTTTTGTCAAACAGCAAATTTTAGTTAAAAAAAGAGAAGATCTAGTTTCAGAATGAATAAAATATATCTCACATAAAATTGCCATAAGTCTTTTTTTTGAGACTGAGTTTCACTCTTGTTGCCCAGACTGGAGTGCAATGGCATGATCTCGGCTCACTGCAACCTCCGCCTCCCAGGTTCAAGCAATTCTCCTGCCTCAGCCTCCCAAGTAGCTGGGATTGCAGGCATGCACCACCACACCCAGCTAATTGTTTTTTTGTATTGTTAGTAGAGACAGGGTTTCTCCATGTTGAGGCTGGTCTCGAACTCACGACCTCAGGTGATCCGCCCACCTCGGCCTCCCAAAGTGCTGGGATTACAGGCGTGAGCCACCGTGCCCAGCCAAAATTGCCATAAGTCTTAAAAAAAGTGATCATAATATTCTTGGGAAAAGTGTCCATCATTTCATTAGAGAAAAGGTCTTTTAAATTATCCTAAGGGTCAGCGTCATCTAGTTTTATAAATATCATTTTATGATCTAAAAGATGAAAAAAGGCTCAACTAGATCATTAAACAGGGAACTAAAGTTATTTAATTTTCCAGAAGAAGACAGCAAACCACACATTATCATTAATGAGTCACCCCCAAGAGTCCCTAGGCCTGAGTACCTGGGGTGGTCCTCCCTGGAGGATAAGCAGTTCCCGGACTGCTAAGGGCTGATAGACTTGATCCAGCATGTCTCTCAAGGCCCCCCTGGATAGGGTTCTCTCCTCTTCAGTTAGAACCTAAAAGAAATATGCACTTGGCTTTAGTGGAATTCAAACCAGGCAGACAATAGAAGGTAAAGTTTTACAACACTGTACAGAGATACTTGTGAGAGGAGCGGAAAGAAGGCTTCTATCCTCTCTTGATTTCCTTCCACATGGGGGAAGCTGTACTATTAAAACATTCCTGGTCCTCTCTCCATCTCGCTCACTCCACTTCTGGGCAGGTTATGAGACTGATCTTACGGCTGAGGATGGAGTAAACTCACTTACTGGCTGGTTTTGGCAAGCATCTCTCAGCTCATTCCTCTTCTGTCTTTTGACAGTGACTGCACATTTTCTTCTGCTCTTTCTTGCTGGGTATTTTTCAGAGGCATATCCCCTGCAGAAGGTGCTGCAGTTTTCCAGTGCGCCTTAAAATGGGTGAGTAGTGACAGTGTCTAATTCTGAAGAGCACTGTTTTGTCTCCTGCCAGGCGTGGTGGCTCACGCCTGTAATCCCAGCACTTTGGGAGGCCGAGGGGGGCGGATCTCCTGAGGTCAGGAGTTCGAGACCAGCCTGGCCAACATGGCAAAACCCTGCCTCTACTAAAAATACAAAAATTAGTCAGGCGTGGTGGTGTGTGCCTGTAATCCCAGCTACTAAGGAAGCTGAACCCGGGAGGCGGAGGTTACAGTGAGTCAAGATTGCACCACTGCACTCCAGCTTGGGCAACAGAGCAAGCCTCCATCTCAAAAATAATAAATACATAAGTAAGTAAGCAAGCTGGATATGGTGGCACATGCCTGTAATCCCAGCTACTCGGGAGGCTGAGGCAGGAGAATCTTTTGAACCCAGGAGGCGGAGGTTGCAGTGAGCCAAGATTGTGCCACTGAACTCCAGCCTAGGTGACAGAGCAAGGCTCCGTCTCAAAAAATAATAATAATAAAAATAAAAAAAAAATTAAAAAAAAATAGATGTCTCCATCTATAAGCTATATCCTCCAACTTTGCCTTTATGAGCAATAGAGGTAACATTGTTTATCTCTCTTACTCTTCTTAACTCTCTTTTAATTCATTTGGAACTTGGGCAGCAAAGAGGGGGTACAATTTTGGGGTACCCTTGAGCCATAACAGTACAGTTCTCCTTGGTGATTACTGCTCAGGGTCAAACAGTCAGGGTCCTGCCCATTACCGTTTCACATACTGAGGTATGGGTGCTACTTAGAACACAGCTATTGGTGGGACTTTGTCCAGCTTCATAATGTACACCCAGCATGTTTTCCCTCTGTCAACTCCTTCTCTTGCCGTCCTAGTTGGTTCTTTCTCTGTGTTTCCCTTTTCATTTCTCTCTCCTGCCTGAGATCCCTGGGCACAGTTTAGCCTCAGTAACAGTAATAAGACCTGTCAACCTGGGTCACACTACCTCAGGGAAGTGCAGGCAGGAGGTGCTGCTAGAAGTGTCAATACGCATAACCCTGCCGGAAGGAGGACGCACTCTGCTCCTATCACATAAAGGCCCCAGGGAGCTCAGAATTTCATGCCAACACTTGGATGATAGTGGCTTTTAGGCAAATGTTTATGAATGTAGGCAGGAGAGAGAAGAGAAAAGGAACAACGACAACGATGACACAGGCGGGTGACAGAGAAACGAGAACATTGTGAAACCTGGCTGTGGAGGCTGCGGAATCACTGCGCCTGGGGGCCGCACTGACCCTTGAGACATTTACATCTTAACGGCTTCTGCTGGCCAGTGCCTATGCTGATGCCAGTGGTCCTCTCATGGCGGGGGTAGTGCTTCCTGCTGCGTCATCCCTGTAAGTCTTATCTCCCCAGTCAGCATGTGAGTTATTTGAAGAAAAGGACCATGTCTTATGTGTCTATGATCTCCACAGCAACTTCTGTAGTCTGGATGCTCAACTGCTTACTGGACTGAGTGACAGCAAAAATGGGCATATACCCCTAACACCTAATAATAACAATGAACATTGACAGAGTTCTGCAGTGTACCAGGTGCTCTATATGTGTTATTTCATTTAACCCTCCCAAGCATTTAATGAGGGAGCCATGATACTAATATCAGTAGGAATTATCACTACTAGAGATTGGGCCAGATACTTGACACACATTATCCTTAATCCTCACAACCACCTTCCGAGGCAGGTATTATGATACACATTTTATAGAAGAAGAAACAGAGGCTCAAAGAAAAACAGCCTGCTATAGCTGTTTCCCAAAATGACAAGGGACAGGTGAAATGGACTCTACAGGTGTGCAAAGGACGAGAACCCAATAAATGAAACTTGCGCCCACCCCCAAAAGATTCATTTATCCATTGGATATGCTTTGGCATATCCAGTTCTGAAGAACTAAGAGTTGCCTTTTATAACAACTATCCACAAATATATACACACATTCATACACACACAATCTCTCCCTCTCTCTTTCTCAATGTATATTTACCTCTTCTGCAGGTGTTAGCAGTTTTCTTTTGGTTGGGCAGAATCCCAGTTGGCACAGACCTGCTGCGATATCCCCAAAGTGGTGGCAGAAGATCAAGCTCCCCAGAGATGTGTGCTGAGCAACATTCAGAAGGGCCTTGCAGCTGGTGTACAGTCTTCGAGTTGCATCGGGGGCAGCATCAAAACACACCACGTCTTGAACGACGGCACCAAATTCAGTTCTATATCTCAAAGGGACTCCAACACCAGGCATGAGATAGGGGCAGATACCCAAGGTAACTACAAACTGCAAAACGAACTGGACAGTCTTCTGTTGTGAGATACTAAGTGCATCGGGGCTCAGGGCAGGAGCAACTTCCGGAGTCCTAGGGTTGGGTTTACCTGGATTGAAATTAGCTGCAAGGCGGATCATGGTTTCCTTCAAGCACAAAAGCAACAACAAGGTTTGAGAGGTAAAACTCCAAGTGACATCCACAGAGTTTTGTGGCCATTCTGCCTTATCAGCAATTTCATCTCTTAGGAGTTTCAGATTCTTCCACTGAGGATCCTTCAGAAACTTGTCCTCCAAAGCAGACAGGTTAGATTTTAAAGTAGCCAACAAGACATCATGTTTTGTGACCTGTAGTGAACTTGAGCCCGAGCCTTTTGAAGAAGAAAAAAAGGAGAGTTTATACACATAGAAAACAAGCTGCACTTCCCCCTGTGGAATGCCCTGCCTACTCCAGTTCATCCTCGCAGGCCGGGCGCCACTGTCACTGGCTCTGGAAAGCCTCCCCCAGGGGTACCAACCCAGCCTATGAAGAATTTAAGACCACATTTTCTGCCTTCCCACAGCACTTTGCATGTAATTGGAGTAGTGTACTAACGTTACAGTTCATCTAGTTTGTTTCTATTCCCCACATGTTTTTAGGGCAGAGACCAGGTCTTAATCATCTTACTGGGCTTAAATTGTAGCCAGAACAGAAATATAAAAGCTGAACATTTACCATAGAACATGCACTCAGTCCAGCTGTTCTAGGTGCTGGGGATAAAGCACTGAACAGAACAAAGGCTCTGGCCAGGTGCGGCAGCTCATGCCTGTAATCCCAGCACTTTGGGAGGCCAAAGTGGGATGGTTGCATGAGCCTAGGAGTTCAAGACCAGCCTGGGCGACACAGTGAGACCCCATTTCTAAAACAACTAAAAGAATCAGCTGGCTATGGTGGTGAGTGCCTGTAGTCCCAGCTACTCAGGAGGCTGAGGTGGGAGGATCGCTGGAGCCCAGGAAGTCGAGGCTGCAGTGAGCTGAGACTGCGCCACCGCACTCTAGCCTGGGTGACAGAGCAAGACCCAGTCTCAAAAACAAAAAACAATAACAACAAAAAAACAGAACAAAGGCTCTTCCTCATGGAACTTACATTCTAGTGAGGAAGATCACAAAATATGGACACAGGGCTCAAACATTAATTTAACCACATCGTTTCCCCCCAGAATATGTATTTTCAACAGATATCTATTTCCTATCAAGTATGTTCTCTGACTACAATGGCATTAAGACAGAAAGTATTAACAACAAAACATCCAAAAAGCCTTAAATGTTTGGAAATTAAACAATGTACTTCTAAAATAATCTACGGTCAAAAAAGAAATTACAAGATTTCCAACTGAATGCTAACGAAAAACATCAATATTTGTTGGATATAACTAAAGCAATGCTTATAGAGACATTTATAGCTGTAAAGCTTATATCAGAAAAGTAAAAAGGACCAGGCACAGTGGCTGACATCTGTAGTCTCAGTACTTTGGGAGGCCAAGGCAGGAGGATCGCTTGAGCCCAGGAGTTTGAGATCAGCCTGGGCAATGTAGGGAGAGCCCGTCTCTAAAAACATTAAAAAAAAAATAGCCAAGTGTGGTGGTGCACACCTGTGGTCTCAGCTACTCAGGGGGCTGAGGTAGAGGGACTGCTTAAGCCTGGGACATAGAGGCTGCAGTGAAAGAAAAGAAAGAAGGTTTAAAGCACAACTGAGAAATTAATGAACATTATGCCAAAAACCAAACAATATACGTGAAATGAAAATATTCCTTGAAAAGTACAACTTATCAAAACTGTCACAAGACAAAAATAAAAACCCTAAATAACCCTATATGTATTAGATAGTTAAATTTGTTACCTAAAAATCTTCCGCTGGGCGCGGTGGCTCACGCCTATAATCCCAGCACTTTGGGAGGCTGAGGTGGGAGGAACACTTGAGGTCAGGAGTTGGAGACCAGCCTGGCCAACATGGTGAAACCCCATCTCTACCAAAAATACAAAAATTAATCGGGCATGGTGGCAGGTGCCTGTAATTCCAGCCACTCAGGAGGCTGAGGCAGGAGAATTGCTTGAACCCAGGAGGCAGAGGTTGCAGTGAGCAAAGATCGTGCCACTGCACTCCAGCCTGGGTGACAGAGTGAGACTCTGTTTCAAAAAAAAAAAAAAAATCTTCCGAGAGATAAAATTTCAGGCCTAGATGGTTTCACTGATGAATCATTTAAGGAAGAAATAACATCAAGGTTACCCAAACTCTTTCAGAAAATAAAGAAGGAATATTGTTCAATTTATTTTGAGAGGTCATTAGAATACTCATCCCAAAACCTGACCCTGATAAAATCACAAAAAAGAAAATTACTGATCAATATCCCTCATTAATCTAAACTTAATAATCCTTACTTAAAAACCTAAACTTATAAAATAGTACACATGGCAAACAAGCATATGAAAAGATGCCCAATATCATATGTCATTAGGGAAATGCAAATTAAAACAACAGCCAGATACCATTATATACCTATTAGAATGGCCAAAATCCAGGACACTGACAACATTAAATGCTGACAAGGATGTGGAGCAACAGGAACTCTCATTCATTGCTGGTGGGAATGCAAAATAGTATAGCCACTTTGGAAGACAGTTTGGCAGTTTCTTACAAAGTTAAACATACGATCCAGCAATTGTGCTCCTGGGTATTTATCCAAATGAGTTGAAAACTTATGTCCACACAAAAAAACTGCATATGTATGTTTACAGTAGCTTTATTTATAATTACCAAAAAACTGGGAGCAACCAAGATGATCTTCAAAAGGTGAAAGGATTTTTTTTTAGAAAGAAAAAAAAAAAGAATGGATAAACTGTGCTACACTCAGACAACAGAATATTAATCAGTGATAAAAAGAAATAAGCTATCAAGCCACAAAAGACATGGAGGACCCTTAAATGCATAATTCTAAGTGAAAGAAGCCAGTCTGAAGAGCTGTATTCTGTATAATTCCAACTACATGACATTCTGGAGGAGGCAAAACTATAGAGACAGTAAAAAGATCAGGAGTAGCCAAGAGATCAGGGATGGGGCAGGAAAGAATATGTGGAGCATGGTTTTTGTTTTTGTTTTTGTTTTTTATTTGAGACAGTCTCGCTCTGTCGCCCAGGCTGGAGTGCAGCGGTGCGATCTTGGCTCACTGCAAACTCCGCCTCCTGGGTTCAGGCCATTCTCCGGCCTCAGCCTCCTGAGTAGCTGGGACTACAGGGGCCCGCCACCATGCCTGGCTAATTTTTTGTATTTTTAGTAGAGATGGGGTTTCACCGTGTTAGCCAGGACGGTCTCGATCTCCTGACCTCGTGATCCGCCCACCTTAGCCTCCCAAAGTGCTGGGATTACAGGCATGAGCCACCGCGCCTGGCCAAGGAAGCATGGTTTTTTAGGGAGGTGAAACTATACTGTATGAGACTATAATGATGGATATATGATATTATGCATTTGTCAAAACTCATAAAATTATATAACACAAACAGTGAACCCTAATATAAACTATTACTTCAGTTAATAACAATGTATCAACATTGGTTTATCAGTTGTAACAAATGTAGTACACTAATGCAAGATGTTAATGGGGAAACTAGGTTTGGGGTAGGGAAGGGAGTATATGGGAACTCTGTACTTTCTGCTCAAATATTCTATAAACCAAAAGCTGTTCTAAAAAACGGAATCTATTAATAACTTTTAAAAATGCTTAAATATTAGCAAATCAAATGCAGTGATATAGAAAAGAATAATACTTCATTACCAAGTGTGGTTTATGCCAGGAATACATAGTTGGCTTAACACTTGACACTCAATCAGTGTGATTCATCTTATTAACAGTATAAGGAGAAAACCCACGTGATCATTTCAACAAACGCAGAAAAAGCATTTGACAAAATTCAACACTCGTTCATGACACAAATTAAGAATAAAAGGGAACTTCTACGATCTGATAAAGGGTATCCACGGACAAACCTACAGTTACCATCATACTTAGTGGTGAAGTAAAATAAACACAGGATGTCTATTCTCACTTCTATTCAACATATTACTGAAAATCTTTGTCATTGAAATAGGTCAAAAGCAGCAATAAAAGACATACAAGAGCAGAAAGGAAGAAGCAAAATTGTTTATATTCACAGATGGAATCATTGTTTATGTAAAAAGCCCTAAGGACTCTATAAAACAACTACTAGAACTAATAAATTAATTTAGCAAGTTCACAGAATACAAGCAATAAAACAAAAATTAAAAAACAAAAAAAGACATTTTATTTTATATTTGCAGCAAAAATGAGAAAATGAAATTTAATTTTTTTTTTTTTTTTGAGACTGAGTCTTGCTCTGTCAAGGCTAGAGTGCGGTGGCACAATCTCAACTCACGGCAACCTCCACCTCCCAGGTTCAAGAGATTCTCCTGCCTCAGCCTCCTGAATAGCTGGGATTACAGGCACCCGTAATAATGCTTGGCTAATTTTTTTGTATTTTTAGTAGAGATCGGGTTCCACCATGTTGGCCAGGCTGGTCTCAAACTCCTGACCAGGTGATCCACCTGCCTCAGCCTCCCAAAGTGCTGGGATTACAGGCATGCACCACCACGCCCGGCTGAAATTTAAAACTTTTTTTTTTTGAGACAGTTTTGTTTTGTCTCCCAGGCTGAAGTGCAGTGGTGCAATCTTGGCTCACTGCAAGCTTTGCCTCCTGGGTTCAAGCAATTCTCGTGCCTCAGCCTCCCCAGTAGCTGGGACTACAGGCGCATGCCACCACACCCGGGTGATCTCTTGTATTTTAGTAGAGATGGGGTTTCACCATGTTGCCCAGGCTGGTCTCAAACTCCTGAGCTCAGGTGATCTGTCTGCCTTGGCCTCCCAAAGTGCTGGCATTACAGGTGTGAGCCACCACGCCTGGCCTAAAACTTTAATTTAGGATAAATTTAACACAAAATATACAAACTCTCTACACTGAAAACTTGCTGAGAAATTTTTTATGTTTTATTTTTTTTTGAGACGGAGCTTCATTCTTGTCACCCAGGCTGGAGTGCAATGGCGGATCTCAGCTCACTGCAACCTCCACTTCCCAGGTTCAAGCGATTCTCCTGCCTCAGCCTCCCAGGTAGCTGGGTAGTTGCAGTAAGCTGAGATCACGCCATTGGACTCCAACCTGGGTGACAGAGCAAGACTCTGTCTTGGAAAAAAAAAAAGAAAAAAGATGGCAATTGTCCACAAATTGATCTATAAAGTCAACGCAATTACAATAAGAATCTCAACAGACCTTTTTGCAGAAATTGACAAACTGATTAAAAAATTTATATAGAAACCTATAAGACCCAGAACAGTCAAGAACAATGTTAGAGAACTTATACTACCCAACTTACTATAGAACTACAGAAATTAAAGACAATGTGGTACTGGCATAAGGACTGTTAGGTAGATTGGTAAAACAGAATTGGGAACCCAGAAACAGTCCCACACTTATATGGCTATTTGATCTTCAATAAAGATATGAAATCAATACAACTGGGAAAGAAAATTCCTTTACCAAATGAGGTTGGAACAACTGGATATCCACATGGGGAAAAAAAAAAAAAAAAACTTTGACCTTTAATTCACACCACACACCAAAATTAACCCAAAACAGATCATAAATACAAAATCTAAACTATAAAACTTCTGGAAGAAAACACAGAAGAAAGTCTTTTATGATCCTAGAGTAGACAACAATTTCTTGTTTTTTGTTTTATTTTGGTTTGTTTCTTTTCTTTTTTTGCAACAGGGTCTTGCTCTGTCACCCAGGCTGGAGTGCAGTGGCCTGATTCCAGCTCACTGCAGCCTTAATCTCCCAGGTTCAAGTGATCCTCCTGTCTCAGCTCCCTAGTAGCTAGGATTACAATTGTGTGCCACCATGCTTGACTAATTATTTATAGAGATGAGGTCTCACTATGTTGCCCAGGCTGGTCTTGAACTCCTATGCTTAAGCAATTCTTCCGCCTCTGCCTCTTAAAGTGCTGGGATTATAGGTGTGAGCCACTGTGCCCAGACAGAATTCTTAAAACATAAAAAGCATGAGCCAAAAGGAAAAAAACTGGACTTCATCAAAATTTAAAACTTATTTTCAAAATATACAGTTCTAAAAATGAAAAGGCAAGCCACAGATAGGGAGAAAATGTTTGCAGTACATATATATGACAAACGCATTGATCCTGAATATATGAAAACAGTTTATAGCTCAATAAAACAAACTATTTTTTAAAAAAATGGACAATTATTCAGATACTTCAAAAAAGAAGTTATTCAAATGACCAACTGCATATGAAAAGATGCTCAATATCATTAATTATTAGGGAAATGAAAATTAAAACCACAATGAGATACCACTACATACACTGGAATGGTTAAAATTTACAAAGATTGACACTACCAAATGACGTGAAGCAACTGGAACTCTCATACACTGTTGGCAGAAGTATGACATGATCAAAGCTCAGTTGGTCTGGCAGTTTCTTAGAAAACCAAACATATACCTACCCTATAATCCAGCAATTCCACTCTAACATACTTGTCCAAGAAAAATTAATACACAATATACATTTTCATAACAAAGACTTGTACAAGAATGTTCATAGCAGCACTATTCATAATACCCCAAAACTGGAAACAGCCCACATAGCCAAAAAGATGTTTCTTGTTTATATTAAATTCTAGAATAGGCAAAACTAATCTACGGGTTAAAAAACCTAGAACCAGTTATCTCTAGGGGAGCAGGAGTGGGAAATGATTGTGAAAGGGCAGAAGGGAACTTTCTGGGATAATAGTAATGATGCATATCTGTTTTTTCTTTAGGTTTCTTTTTTTTTTCCTTTTCTCACCTGGAAGTAACAATGTGTATCTTGACAGGGGTTTCAATGACAAAAGTATATGCTTTTTTTTTTTTTTTAGACAGAGTCTCGCTCTGTCACCCAGGCTAGAGTGCAGTGGTGTGATCTCAGATCACTGCAAACCCTGTCTCCTGGGTTCAAGTGATTCTCATGCCTCAGCCAAGTACATGCATTTTTAAAACTCACTGAATGATGTATGTATTATTTGTGCATTTCATTGTATATAAATTTTACCTAAAACAAATGAACTACAAAAAACCCAAATAAATATTAAACTCTAGTTAATGTTACAATGCTGAAGTGTTTATGGCTAAAATGTACTGATATCTGCAACTTACTTTGAACGCATCAAAAAAAGAGAAAACATGAGTTGATGCATGGATAAATGGATAGAAATGTGATCAAGCAAATATAATAAAATGTGAATTGTGGAATCTAAATGATGTGTATAAGGGTGTTCGCCATATAATTCTTTCAACTTTTCTTTTTTTCTTTTTCTTTTTGAGACGGGGGTCTCGCTCTGTCACCCAGGCTGGGGTGCAGTGATGCAATCACAATTCACTGTACCTTTGATTCTTGGGCTCAAGCAGTCCTCCCATCTCAGCCTCTCCAGTAGCTGGGACCACAGTTGCATACCACCCCACCTGACTAATTTTTTCATCTTTTGTAGAGATGTGGGGGTCTCACTATGTTGCCCAGGCTGGTCTTGACCTCCTGGGCTCAAGCAATCCTCCCGCCTCAGCCTCCCCAAAGTGTTGGGATTACAGGCATGAGCTACTGCACCTGGCCACGAGCTTTTCTATTTGTTTAGAAAACCATAATAAAATTTTGAAAATATATATGGACATCAGCCAGGTCAAATAAACTAAATTTTTTTTTTGAAAATATAAATACAAGCAACAGACCTCAAAACTAAAGCTAATATACCTTGTAAGAAACAAATTAGAAGGAATCAAAATGTAATTGATAATAACTATGTCCAATACTGCATGATTTATAATAGTGTAAAATTAGAAATGCATGTCCCATAACAGGTGTTTGTTGAGTAAATTATGGTCTAATTCTATCTAACATACTATATGTATGTGAAGTACTTATTTTGTTTATTGTTTATTGTCTTTCTACCAACTAGAATCAAAGCACCTAGAAAACAGGGGTATTGATTTGTTTTGTTCACTGCTGTATTCTCTTTGCCTGGAACAAAGCCTGACAAGTAAAAGCTGTTTAATAAATTGTTGTTGAATGAATAAACAATGGAATATTTTGTAGCCATTAAATGCTGAACATTATTTAATGACATGTTCATAATATATTCGAATGTGAACAAAGAGTATAAAACATTACATGAGCAAAAGATACAGACAGTTTATAGGAAAAGAAATGCAAATGGCCCTTAAACATGAACATATGATCAATCTTGCTCATAATAAGAGAAAAGTAAATTAAAGTTATACTGAAATATCACTTTCCATCTATCGAACTGGCTAAAATCCAAAAGTTTTATAACACATTCTGTAGCAAGTCTGTGAGGAAACACACACTCTCATACATTGTTGGTAGGAACTAAAATGGTACATCCCCAAGGACAGAAATTTGGCAATATCTAGCAAAATTACATAGGCATTTCCCTTTGGCCCAGCAATCCCACTTTTAGGAATCTATCCTATAGATACACAGGCAAACAATGCAAAATTACGTATTTACAAGACTATTCATTGCAGTACTTCTTAAATTAGCAAAAGACTTGAAAACAACCCAAATGTCCACTAGTAGAGAACTGGTTGAATAAACTATGCAGCTATAAAAGAGAAAACGGAAGATTTATACGTACCATCATGTACCGATTGCTAAGACACTAAATTTAAAAAGTAAGATGCAGGCCGGGCGTGGTGGCTCATGCCTGTAATCCCAGCACTTTGGGAGGCCGAGGTGGGCGGATCACAAGGTCAGGAGTTCGAGGCCAGCCTGACCAACATGGTGAAACCCTGTCTCTACTAAAAATAAAAAAATTAGCCAGGTGTGGTGGCAGGCACCTGTAATCCCAGTTACTCGGGAGGCTGAGGCAGGAGAATCGCTTGAACCTGGGAGACGGAGGTTGCAGTGAGCCGAGATTGCGCCACTGCACTCCAGCCTGGGAGACAGAGCGAGACTCCATCTCAAAAATAAAAATAAAATTAAAATTAAAAGACGCAGAAAAAAATATATATAGTATGCTACCTTTTGTGTAAAAATGGGAATGAATAGGAAATCACAGATTATTTGCATGTCTTTTCAAAAAAGAAGCAATTTAAGAATAAATTTAAAGCTAATTAAAATAAGTCATCTACAGAGAGAGGGAGAGAGCAGAGGAGGAAACATGGATAACTGTATCTAATTTTATTAGTTTTAGAGCACAACAGATGTTTTTCATAGTTAAAAAAATTAAATCAAAAAGAAAATGCAAAACAATTCCTAAAAATGAAAAACAAACAAATGAACCAATGAACCAAATTCTGCGCTCTATGTCAAAGGTCACCAAACTATGATCTGCAGTCCAAATCTGGCCCACCAACTGTTTTCATGAATAAGGTTTTACTGGAACACAGTTATGCCCATTTACATATAGTCTATGGCTGCTTTTGAGATACAGTGACAGAGTTGAGTAGTTACAACAGAGACCATATGGGCCGCAAAGCTCAAAATATTTACTATCTGGTCCTTCAGAGAAAAAGTTTACTAACTCCTACTCTATATTAAGTTAGCAGCATAACCACACAGAAAATTATTTTAAGAGACTTGAAATAAAGAATTTTGTATATCCTGAGAACAAAAACCAAACAAAAACCCCTTAAACAGTGGGTTTGTAGTGGTAATGTTGGATTTGTTCTTTGAAAAGATTATAGACCTGGATGAGTATGTATTGTGTGATTACACATTTTATATAATGTGTGATTATATATTTATATATGTATGGGTATGTATACATGCACATATATAATACATTAATTTCATTAGGAACCAATATTCTCAGATAAAAGAAATACAAATATAAAAATATAAAATATAGGATAAAAGAACAGCTAGAGGCTGGACGCAGTGGCTCACACCTGTAATCCCAGCACTTTGGGAGGCTGACGTGGGTGGATCACGAGGTCAGGAGTTCGAGACCAGACTGGTCAACATAGTGAAACCCCATCTCTACCAAAAATACAAAAATTAGCCGGGCTTGGTGGCACATGCCTGTAGTCCCAGCTACTTGGGAGGCTGAGGCAGGATAATCGCTTGAACCTGGGAGGCGGAGGCTGTGGTGAGCGGAGATTGAGCCACTGCACTCCAGCCTGGACAACAGAGCAAGATTCCGTCTCAAAAAAAAAAAAAAAAAAAAGAACCGCTAGAAAGACAAATATGTAATCAAGCAATTACAGTAAAATTGTAACTATAGAATGAAGGTCATGGTATTTTCACTGTAAAAGTTCTTCAACTTTTCTGTCAGCTTCATAATTTCAAATTTTCATAATGAAATGTTAGAAAAAATTTATAAAATAAAAAAATCCATTCTATTTCATTTCAATTGGAAATACTGGTAAGAACTCAAGATTTATTTTCATTTTCTAAAAATCCACATATTTCCTGGCTCTAATCCTTCAAAAAGTCTGAAAGCAATGACAATTTCTTTTTCCTTTTCATTTTTTTTTTTGAGACAGGGTCTCACTCTGTCACCCAGGCTGGAGTGCAGTGGTATAATCATAGTCCATTGCACCCTCAAACTCCGGGGCTCAGCTGACCCTCCTATCTTAGCCTCCAAAGCATCGGGGACCACAGGCATGTGCCATCATGCCCAGCTAATTTCTGTATTTTGTTTTTTTTAATTTCTGTATTTTTTGTAGAGACAGTGTTTTACTATGTAGCCCAGGGTAGTCTTGAACTCCTGGGCTCAAGCAATCTGCCCACTTCAGCCTCCCAAAATGCTGCGATTACAGGTATGAGCCACCACATCCAGCCAATGATAATTTCTTTTTTTTTGGGACAGGGTCTCACTTTGTCGCCCAGGCTGGAGTGTAGTTGCACAGTCTCGGCTCACTGCCACCTCCGCCTCAGGGGCTCAAGCAGTTCTCCTGCCTCAGCCTCCAAGTAGCTAGGATTACAGGAGCCCACCATAGCACTCGGCTAATTTTTGTATTTTTAGTAGAGACAGGGTTTCGCCATGTTGGTCAAGCTGGTCTCGAACTCCTGATCTCAAGTGATCCACCCACCTCGGCCTCCCAAAGTGCTGGGATTATAGGCGTTAGCCACTGCACTCGGCCCATAATTTCAATAGCAATGAATATCCTGTGTCCGCATTGCGGTTGCTAAATACCACTTCTCCTTAGAGAGAGTTGTTTTCAAAAATGGGGCAGGAAATACCTCAGATGAGCCTGGGATATCTTCTGCTTGAGAGCAAGGAGTCGATCAAAGACTATCATGGTCATGTCAAAAACCCCAAGAGCCAGTCGGAAATGGTTCCCAGAGGCCAAAAATGGGAAATTTGATTAAGAACAAGGAATACAATAATTGAAACATCAAATACATAAAATCTATGATTCATAATACAACAAAAAAGATCACTTCATTGGTTACCTTTGGAGGTTGCTAAGACACTAATTTATTATTCTGAAAATTGGTCAATAAAGGAACAGAATGATTCTAACTATATTAAAATATATTCGTGTTTATATGCACAGAAAAGGGTCTCAAAGTTTTAATACCTTGAGGTTTTAATAGTGGTGATCTCTGGGTGATAGGGTTAGAGGTAGGATTTTTCTTTTTACCTAATTATAGTTTCAATTGTTTTTTTACAATAAATATGTATTGTCTCTGCACTAGAAGTTATTTTAGGGTTATAAAACAGTATGTGGCATATGAGATCATTTTTGTAAAAAGGAAAAATAATACGCTCTGAATTGCTAATAGTGGTACCCTCTGGGTAGTGAAATTAAGGTAATTTTAATTTTCTTCTTTTTGGTTTCTCTATATTTAAAAAATCTTTGCTATAATATTTTTTATAGAAGTAAAAACATTACTTCTATTTTTAAAAAAGAATAAAAGGAAAGCTGTCACAGTGACATCCCTGTAGTCCCAGCTAGCTGGGAGGCTGAGGTAGAAGCATCACCCGAGCCCAGAAGTTTGAGGCTGCAGTGTACTATGATCACTTCTGTGAATAGTCACTGTACTCCCGGCTGGGCAACACAGGGAGACCCTGTCTCTATTTAAAAGAGAGAGAGAGAAACAGAGAGAGAGAGAGAAACAATAACATCCTTCAAAAATAATGAGAACAGAAGTGTAAGAAATTTGCAATAGTTTTTTTTTTTTTTTTTTTTGTGATGGAGTCTCACTCTGTCACCCAGGCTGGAGTGCAGTGGTACGATCTCAGCTTACTGCAACCTCTGCCTCCTGGGTTCAAGCGATTCTCCTGCCTCAGCCTCCCGAGTAGCTGGGACTACCGGCGCATGCCACCACGCCCAGCTAATTTTTGTATTTTTAGTAGAGACGGGGTTTCGCCATGTTGGCCAGGCTGGTCTCGAACTCCTGACCTCGGGAGATCCACCCGCCATGGCCTCCCAAAGTGCTAGGATTACAGGTGTGAGCTACCGCGCTCAGCCTGCAATATTCTTCTAGGACTTTCCAGGACAAGTGTTCTGACCCACTGGCATGAATATCTGGTTCCTTTGGCTAATGTATACCTCAAACGGAAATGAGTGTTATTTCCCTCTTGTTGCCACTAACCGTTAAGATCACTAACCAACCTCTAAATGACTTCCTGTGGCATAAGATCTTCGAACCCAAACATGGAACACAAAGAAAGTGATTTAAAACAAAAGCTCTTACTGAAGTTTTTCCAGAGCCCCTTTAATGAAGTAGTCTTCTCTGCCCTCTACTGGTGATGAAAATAACATCTACTTGGAAATAAATTGGAGGCATTTCCATAAAGTAGCAGTTCCTAGTATGCTATGGGGACCTGGCTTGCCGGGGGTTCCCAAGACCCTCTCAGGGGGTCTGCAAGGTCAAAACCATTTCATAATAATACTAGGTCATGATGTGCCTTTTAGATTCTCAAGAATGTACTATGAGGCTTATTGATATGAGTTCTGATTTCATATTGCAACAAATCTTTAATATATTACCTCTTTGGCCGGGCGCGGTGGCTCACGCCTGTAATCCCAGCACTTTGGGAGGCTGAGGTGGGCAGATCACTTGAAGTCAGGAGTTCGAGACCAGCCTGACCAACGTAGAGAAACCCCATCTCTACTAAAAATACAAAATTAGCAGGGCGTGGTGGCGCATGTCTGTAATCCCAGCTACTCCGAAGGCTGAGGCAGGAGAATCGCTTGAATCCGGGAGGCGGAGGTGGCAATGAGCCGAGATCACGCCACTGCATTCCATCCTGGGCAACAAGAGCGAAACTCCGCCACAAAAAAAAAAAAAAGGTATTACCTCTTGTTGAGTTTCTCGATACTTTTTTCCCCACACAATACATGCAGAGATTATCTTGTTGAGCTTTAGAATTGTATAAAAGACCGGACGTGGTGGCTCACATCTGTAATCCCAGCACTTCGGGAGGCCGAGGCGGGAGGATTACGAAGTCATGAGTTCCAGACCAGCCTGGCCAATATGGTGAAAACCTGTCTCTACTAAAAAAAAAAAAAAAAAAAGAAAATTAGCCAGGCACAGTGGCATGTGCCTGTTGTCCCAATTACTCGGGAGGCTGGGGCAGGAGAATTGCTTGAACCTGGGAGGCGGAGGTTGCAGTGAGCCGAGATCGCACCACTGCACTCCAGCTTGGGCGACAGAGCAAGACTCCGTCTAAAAAAAAAAAAGAAAGAATCGTATAAAAGAATGTACATAATTATTTGAAAAGGTGATTGAACTCTCCTCCCTTTTCCAGTTACATATCTATGTGAGTCTAGGTTTTCTTCATGTACTTCAGTCAAAACAACCTATCATGACAGACTGGAGAAGCAGATATGAAAATCCAGCTGACTTCTTGAGGTTGGGCATGGTGGCTCGCGCCTGTAATCCTAATCCTAGTACTCTGGGAGGTCAAGGCAGGCAGATCACCTGAGGTCAGGAGTTCGAGACTCGCCTGGCCAACATGGTGAAACGCCGTCTCTATTAAAAGTACAAAAAATTAGCCGGGCATGTGGCGCATGCCTGTAATCCCAGCTACTCGGGAGGCTGAGGTAGAAGAATCACTTGAACCTGGGAGGTGGAGGTTGCAGTGAGCTGAGATTGCGCCACTGCACTCCAGCCTGGGCAACAAGAGCGAAATTCCATCTCAAAAAATAATAAAAGTACAAAAATTAGCCAGGCATGGTGGTGGGTGCCTATAGTCCCAGCTACAAGGGAGGCTGAGGCATGAGAATTGCTCGAACCCGGGAGGTGGGGGTTCCGGTGTGTCAAGATCATGCCACTGCACTCCAGCCTGGGTGATGGAGTGAAACTCTGTCTCAAAAAAAAAACAAAAAACAAAAAACAAAATAGGGTCTTACTCTGTCACCCAAGGCCGGAGCACACTAGTGTAATCATGGTTCACCACAGCCTAGACTTGGACCTCTCAGGCTCAAGCAATCCTCCCATCTCAGCCTCCCCAGTAGCTGGGACCACAGGTGTGTAGTACCATGCCTGGCCAATTTTTTAGTTTTTTGTAGACACAGAGTATCACTATGTTGCCCAGTCTGGTCTCAAACTCCTGGGATCCTGCCTCAGCCTCCCAAAGTGCTGGGATTACAGGTATGGCCCACCTCGCCCAGCCACTACAGATATTTTTAAATTCCCTAAGCAGCTAATATGATAAAATAGTAGACAGATTCATATAATATATAAGACTACATGTACAAAATAATATAATTTCACGAACTAATTCCTCTTCAAATAGGAATGCTTGAATTTCTGTAAATTAAATGAGTACATATATGTGTACTCCACCACATACTCATAGAGATTAGAGAGTCTTCTATAAATGAAGCATAATATACATGTTTCATAACAGATGATTACTTTCAGGATTTTTGCTTATTTAAACGTGTTCTCAGTCATACAATAGAGAGTTGCAGGCCAGGTGTAGTGGCTCAGGCCTGTAATCCCAGCACTTTGGGAGGCCAAGGCAGGCAGATCACTTGAGGTCAGGAGTTCGAGACCAGCCTGGCCAACATGGCAAAACTCCGTCTCTACTAAAAAGACAAAAATTAGCTGGGCATGGTGGTGTGCACCTGTAATCCCAGCTACTCGGGAGGCTGAAGCAGGAGAATCGCTTGAACCTGGGAGGCAGAGGTTGCAGTGAGCCGAGATTGTGCCACTGCACTCCAGCCTGGGCAACAGAGTGAGACCTCATCTCAAAAAAAAAAAAAAAAAAGAGTTGCCGTTAGAAGACAAGTGACCTCTCGATTAGCAACTTAAAATTCTATTTTGCAGTCTGACTCTTAATTGAGACAATGTAGCATATTTACCATACTTTTAGTGGAAATAACCTAAATTCAAATTCTGCCACTTACTAGTCTGACATTGGGCAATTTCCAATGTACCTGAACCTTGGTCCTTCATCCGTAAAAATTGAATACAAGTAGTACCGATCCCAGGGGATCGTAATGAGGATTAAATGATGTGTATGTCAACAGCCTACTATGGGGACTGATACTTAGTAGGCACTCATTTACTAATATTAGTAACTTGTGTTCACTTCCCGCTGGTGTGGTGTAATGTTTGCAGAAGTTTTTGCAGTTTTAAGTATAAAATCTGAGACTGGGAGGTGATCCCCTTTGGCCTTTCATGTGCCCTTGCTAATTCTACAGATCCCTTCCCATCCCTTCCCCCAAATATACACCCCAGTGATAAGCAGAGCTCTATCTTCCACGTCCTTTCCAAAAGCTCCAGATAACATCAGAGCCCCTATACTGAACAATTTGTCTGATTCTGAGAAGGGGGTTCAGTAGATCTCGGGCCTAGGTCCGTGTTCTGCCCCTAATTTGACCACGTGATCTTGGACAGGTTACTTAATTTCTTCAGTGAGCCTTGGGTGTCCTCAGTCGCAAAAGGAGTAGCAGCTTCAACCACTCCCAATATCCCTTCAGATTTTAGACTGGGAAGAAACTGTCCACGCACCACAAAGATTAAAAGCGCCTGGTAACCCCTAAATACTCTCCCCAAACCCATTTCAAACGTCACTGCTTCCGATGTCTGGACTTCTTGGCATTTCGTACAAATCTCAAGGGTCCATGCTGGCCCCTGCGCCCTCACGCGGCTAGGACCTCACATTTCTACGTCGCGGGCGCCCTACCCTCTCTGGAGCTGGGTCCATATCCCCCTCCCAAGAGCGCTGCAGTAAGCACTGAATGAAATAACGGCCCCGCCTGACAGAGCCCAGCACAAGGCAAATGCTCAAGAGATGTTGGCTAATATCAGCAGTCAACGGATCCCGCGCCCTCCTTGAGCCTCAGTTTCCTCAAGAACGTAATGAGGACGGGCATAGACAATGCTCAAAGCCCCCAGCAGCGGGCGGAGGGTCCCGAGGCGGGCCTAAGGGGCGCACGCTGCGGAAGGCAGGGCAGCCCCGGAAGCCGGGCGGCCCTGAGAGTCCCGGGTCCAGCCCGGCGCGGAGATGCGTCCTCTCACCTCCCGGGCTCAGCAGCAGCTTCAATGCCTCCAAAATCCGATCCAGACCGCATGTCTCCTGAGCCCCGCTGCCCACGGCCTGTCGGGCCGCCATGACTGGAGTGTAACACCACGCTCGCGACCCGCTCAGGCGCCTCGGCAGGGCGCCGCCGCCGCCATGTTAAGTGTGGCAGAAGGCTCTGGGCACACTATGGGGCGGGGCCAAATCGATCGGGAACGCCCCCTTCACATTTTTTTTCCGTCCCGGCTTAGTCCGGGGGGTAAGAGGGAACCCAAAAATGGCTAATCTGCCCACGCGCACAATTTCAGAAGCTCAATATGATTAACCGCTATGTAAAGAAGGAAGAGAGAAGTAATGTATCATTAAAGCTATATTTCAATATGAAAATACTCAGGTACTCAACACTGGCAGACATAATGAAGCAGACAGATGCTTCCATCTGCTTACAGTGAAGTATGGATAAGAAAAACAATATTCAGGCTGGGCGCGGTGGCTCACACCTGTAATCGCAGCACTCTGGGAGGCCGAGGCGGGCAGATCACAAGGTCAGGAGTTTGAGACCAACCTGTCCGATATGGTGAAACCCCGTCTCTACTAAACATACAAAAATTAGCCAGGCGTGGTGGCGGGCGCCTGTAGTCCCAGCTACCCGGGAGGCTGAGGCAGGAGAATCGCTCGAAGCTGGGAGGTCGAGGTTGCAGTGAGCCGAGATCACACCACTGCACTCCAGCCTGGGCGACAGAGCGAGACTCCATCTCAAAACAAACAAACAAACAAAACCTAAGTACAGACGTACACACGCATATATATCCATCGTGAATGTAAAGCTACAAATGTTGTTATGGGTAATATGATTTTTTTTTTCAGTGAACTTAGTAAAGTTCCCAGTAAAAGTTCGATCTGTGTTCTGTTTTCATGGTTGATGCATTCCTCGAAAATTCAGGGTCTATCAAAACCATGCCCTCCGCCAAACTGTTTTTATATGTAAAACAGAATGGATTTGAGATTCAGATTATCGGAAACAGGTTTTCACCTACATAAATCCTGGTGGGACGTTGAAAAACCATGTTGTCTGAAAGTCATGCCGCAGACACAGGACAATGTTTTTGAGGGCAGGACCTTTATTTTTATTTTATTTTTTGAGATGGGGTCTCGCTCTGTCGCCTAGGCTGGAGTTCAGTGGCGTGATCTCGGCTCACTGCAACCTCTGCCTCCCAGGCTGAAACAATTATCTGGCCTCAGCCCCCCGAGTAGCTGGGATTACTGGAGTGCCCCAGCATGCCCGGCTAATTTTTGTATTTTTTGTGGAGACAAGGTTTCGCCCTCTTGGCTAGGCTGGTCTTGAGCTCCTCACCTCAAGTGACCTGCCCACCTGGGCCTCCCAAAGTGCTGGGATTACAGGCGTGAGCCACTGCGCCCGGCCCAAAGGACAAACTTCTTAATGGTCCGGTCCTTGGGCGAGAATAAGCTGCGCATAGCTATTACCCTTTTTGGCATGACTCTTGTTTCTTCTTTTCTTTGTCATTTTGGAATGCAGGGCCTGAGAGGGAAAAACGCTAAAAATTTTTTTTTAGAGATGGAGTCTCTATGTTGCCCAGACTTGTCTCAAACTCCTGGCCTCAAGTGATCCTCCTGCCTCAGCCTTCCGAATAAAATCTTGTGTGTGTGTGTGAGACAGAATCTCACTGTCACCCGGGCTGAAGTGCAGTGGTGTGATCTTGGCTCACTCCAACTTCTGCCTCCCCTGCTCAAGTGATCCTCCCGCCTCAGCCTCCCAAGTAGCTGGGACTACAGATGCATGCCACCACACCCGGCTAATTTTTGTAGAGATGGCGTTTCACCATGTCACCCAGGCTGGTCTCAAACTCCTGGGCTCAAGCAATTTGCCCATTTCGACCTTCCAAAATACTGAAATTGCAGGCGTGAGCCACCGGTTCTGGCCTTAAAAATATTTTTGAATGGGAAATAAATCACCTACAAAATTGCCACTGTGCTCTTTTTATTTTGTGTATTCCTTTCCAGGTTTTGTCATTAGACAATGTTTTCTCCATTGTGTATGGGCACAGGTTCATTTGGGAAATAAAAAATTTTAAGAGTATTTTGAGATGTTAAACATTTAGTGAGACGGGGGTAAAGCACTGTGTGGGGAAGGCTTGAGGGGTTTGGTGCAAAAGTACAGGTAGAGGCCCTCACGCCGCCAGCCTAAATGTTTCAGTGTTAGAAATCAAGCGAAGAGACTGGTAACTAAAATATTTTCTATCCTCCTACCTTGAAAATTCTATCAAGTTTGAATTCAAAATTCTCAGACTGTCTCAGAGCTCCACAATGGAGACCTCTGGTCTGACCCATTTTTCTTCTCACCAGCATCTCCATCCTGCACCATGAAGGCTGGGCACTTAGATGTGTGGGCACCCACAGCCCTGCACATTCAGGTTCTGTCCACACCCCACACCCCATCCCTTCCACAGAGCAGCTACCATTTGGCCCCTCTGGGTCTAGAACTGCAGATGGGGGCCGGGCGCGGTGGCTCACACCTGTAATCCCAGCACTTTGGGAGGCAGAGGCGGGTAGATCACAAGGTCAAGAGATTGAGACCATCCTGGCCGACATGGCGAAACCCCATCTCTACTAAAAATACAAAAATTCACTGGGCATAGTGATGTATGCCTATAGTCCCAGCTACTCGGGAGGCTGAGGCAGGAGAACCTCTTGAACCTGGGAGGCGGAGGTTGCAGTGAACCGAGGTCGCGTCACTACACTCCAGCCTGGTGACAAAGGGAGACTTTGTCTCAAAAAAATAAAAAACAAAACAAAACTTCAGACGGGGAGCACAGTGCACCATCCAGAGGGCAGACCCAGGGAAGAGTCCTGCAAAGCCCTAGAAGAAGGCCTGGGATGGTTGGGCAGGGAATTCCAGGGCCTCAGAATCCAGAGTGTGGGCCGGGTGTGGTGGTTTATTCCTGTAATCCCAGCACTTTGGGAGGCTGAGGTGGGAGGATTTCTTTTGCCCAGGAGTTTGACACCAGGCTGGGCAACATAGGGAGACCCTGTCTCTATAAAATAAATACAAAAATTAGCCAGTCAGGAGTTCGAGACCAGCCTGACCAACATGGTGAAACCCCATCTCTACTAAAGATACAAAAATTAGCCAGGCGTGGTGGTGCACACCTGTAATCCTAGCTGCTCAGGAGGCTGAGGCAGGAGAATCGCTTGAACCCAGGAGTGAGCCAAGATCGCGCCACAGCACTCCAGCCTGGGCGACAGAGTGAGACTCTGTCTCAAAAAACAAACAAACAAAGAACATGGAGTGTGGTCTTGGAGGAGGGTGAGGATTTGGAGATTTGGATGGGCAAGTCCCCCAGGCCTGGCAGATTTCTTGCCCAGGGTGGGGGGCATGGTGGAGGTGGCCAGATGGAGCTTCTCAAGCATGGGCCCAGGGCCAGGAGACCACCAGGCCTAAGTCTAAGGGCAGTACTGGTGTGGGATTTACAAAAGATCATTACAGGATATTCAGAGCTGAGAATCCTTTATCCCAAAGTATTACAAGACCTAGACATCTCTTCTGTTTTTATCTCTCAGGCTCTGTGGGCTGAGCCAACACAAATTGTCATGCATAATTTCAAAAGCAATGTCATAAGATCCCATAAAAATTCTTGCAGCAAAGTAATATATCCCATGTGGAACACTGGGTGTATTTTAATATGTGTGATAGGATGTTGGAGGAGTGCCTGAGTCCACGAGGCTGTAGCGTAAATTGGCCCTCGTCTAAAGAAGAAGAAACACGCTCAGGCTTCTCCCAGCCTCAAATTATTCAGATGTGCTTTAAGTACCCTGTTTCTGTAGAATTTTGTATTTAAGCTTATGGAATTTTAGTTTATAGGACTTGAATTCTGGTAGCCCCTTCCTTGGTTTGCTCTTGGCAGCTTTATTAAAACACAGAAGTACGGCTGGGCGTGGTGGCTCACACCTGTTATCCCAGCACTTTGGAAGGCGGAGGTGGGCAGATCACCTGAGGTCAGGAGTTCAAGACCAGCATAACTTACAAGGTTAAATCTTGTCTCTACTAAAAATACAAAAATTAGCCTGGTGTGGTGGGGCACACCTGTAATTCCAGCTACTCAGGAGGCTGAGGCAGGAGAATTGTGTGACCCCAGGAGGCGGAGGTTGCAGTGAACTGAGATCGTGCCACTGCACTCTAAATGCTTTGTACATATCAACTCATTTAGTGCTCAAAACACTATAAAGCAAATACAATTACCCTCTTTTTTTTGAGACAGAGTCTCTCTCTGTCGCCCAGGCTGGAGTGCAGTGATGCGATCTTGGCTCACTGCAACCTCCTCCGCCTCCCGGGTTCAAGCGATTCTCCTGCTTCAGCCTCCCAAGTAGCCGGGACTACAGGCCGCGCCAACACGCCCAGCTAATTTTTGTATTTTTAGTATAGACAAGGTTTCACTAAGTCGGCCAGGCTGGTCTCGAACTCCTGACCTCAGGTGATCTGCCCACCTCGGCCTCCCAAAGTGCTGGGATTACAGGTATGAGCCACCGCACCTGGCCCAATTACCCTCATTTTAGAGATGAAGACACTGAGGCATAGAAAGGTCAGGTCACTTATCTAAGCTCATAGCTGGAAAGGACAGAATCAGGATTTGAACTCAGACAGCACAACTCTAGTGTCTTGGCATCTAATGAACCAGCAAAAGAACAGAGGAGGTGTTCCCCAGGTCTCCTGTGCTTCCAGACCCTTGCTGGGGGCAACTGCCTTCACCATGGACTTTTTCAGAGGTTAAAATTTCCAGCCTGGGCAACATGGTGAAACTCCATCTCTGTAAAAAATATAAAACTTAGCTGGACATGGTGGCACATGCCTGTTGTCCCAGCTTCTTGGGAGGCAGGGTGGGAGGATTGCTTGAACCCGTGAGGTCGAGGCTGCAGTCCAGCTTGGGTGACAGAGGGAGACCGTGTTCCAAAAAAACCAAAATTACCTTGCTGGTACAGACCTTCGCACATAGTAAGTACTCTGTAAACAATTTAATTTTTGTTTTGTTTTGGAGATGGAGTCTCGCTCTGTAACCAGGCTGGAGTGCAGTGGCATGATCTCTGCTCACTGCAACCTCAGCCTCCAGGGTTCAAGCGATTCTCCCCCCTCAGCCTCCTGAGTAGCTAGGATTACAGGTGCCCGCCTCACGTTCTGTAATTCCAGCACTTTGGGAGGCCAAGGAGGGTGGATCACTTGAGGTCAGAAGTTCAAGACCAGCCTGGGCAACATGGTGAAACCCCATCTCTACAAAAATTCAAAAAAATTAGCTGGGCATGGTGGCACATACCTGTAATCCCAGCTACCTGGGAGGCTGAGGCAGGAGAATCACTTGAACCCGGGAGGCGGAGGTTGCAGTAAGCCGAGGTGGCACCACTGCATTCCAGCCTGGGCGACAGAGCAAGACCCCATCTCAAAATAAATTAAAAAAATTAAAAAATATTATAAAATACATAGAAAAAAACAAAACAAGTGAACAAGTGCTGGGGAGGATGTGAAGAAATCAGGTATCTGATAAGGGATTAATTTCCAGAATACATGTTTTTAAAACTCAACAGCAAACAACCCAATTCAAAAACGGATAAAAGGATCCATATATATGTATAAAATACATATTTTTATATATTTATATATTTTATATTATATATATTTATTTTTGAGACAGAGTCTCGCTCTGTTGCCCAGGCTTGAGTGCAGTGGCACAATCTCTGCTCACTGCAAGCTCTGCCTTCCGGGTTCACGCCATTCTCCTGCCTCAGCCTCCTGAGTTGCTGGGACTACAGGCACCCGCCACCACGCTCCGCTAATTTTTGTATTTTAGTAGAGACGGGGTTTCACCGTGTTAGCCAGGATGGTCTCCATCTCCTGACCTCGTGACCCACCCGCCTCGGCCTCCCAAAGTGCTGGATTACAGGCGTGAGCCACCAAGCCCGGCCCCAAAATATCTTTTTTTCACTGCAGGCCAGGCGCGGCAGCTCATGCCTGTAATCCCAGCAATTTGGGAGGCCAAGGTGGGTGGATCACTTGAGGTCAGGAGTTGGAGACCAGCCTGGGCAACATGGTGAAACCCTGTCTGTACTAAAAATACAAAAATTAGCCGGGCATAGCGGTGAGCACCTGTAATCCCAGCTACTCGGGAGGCTGAGGCAGGAGAATTGCTTGAACCTGGGAAGTGGAGGTTGCAATGAGCCAAGATCGTGCCACTGCACTTTAGCCTGGGTAACAGAGCAGAACCTTGTCTCAAAAAATAAAATAAAATAAAAAATAAGGCCGGGTGCGGTGGATCACCCCTGCAATCCCAGCACTTTGGGAGGCCGAGGCAGGCGGATCACGAGGTCAGGAGATGGAGACCATCCTGGCTAACACGGTGAAACCCGTCTCTACTAAAAATACCATAAACAAACAAACAAACAAACAAACAAACAAACAAATAAGCCGGGCGCCTGTAGTCCCAGCTACTCGGGAGGCTGAGGCAGGAGAATGGCGTGAACCCAGGAGGCGGAGCTTGCAGGGAGCGGAGATCGCGCCACTGCATTCCAGCCTGGGCGACAGAGCAAGACTCCGTCTCAAAAAAAAAAAAAAAAAAAAAAAGCCAGATGCAAAAGGATGATTAAAGGAGTCTACATACATGGAAAGTAGAATAGTGATTAGGAGGGGATGGGTAGAGGCAGGAATGGAGAGTTATTGCCCACTAGATACAAAATTTATTTGGAATGATGAAAAAGTTCTAACACCAGAGCTGATGGTTATACAATATTTTGAATGTACTTAATACCACTGAATTGTACACTTAAAAACAGTTGAAAATAAATGGGTACAGAGTTTGTCTGGGATGATGAAAAAGTTCTGAAGATAGTGGTGATGGTTGCAACACAATTTGAATATACTTAATGTCATTGAACTGTATACTTAAAAATGGCTACAATGAGGCCAACGTGGTGGCTCACTCCTGTAATCCCAGTACTTTGGGAGGCCAAGGAGGGCAGATCACTTGAGCCCAGGAGTTCAAGACCAGCCTGTGCATCATAGCAAGATCCCTGTCTCTACAAAACAATTTTTAAAATTAGCTGGGCGTAGTGGTGCAACACCTGTAGTCCCAGCTACTAGGGAGGCTGAGAGAGGAGGATCATTTGTGACTGGGAGATTGAGGCTGCAGCGAGCCGTGATTGTGCCACTGCACTCCAGCCCGGGTGACAGAGTGAGACCCTGTCTGAAAACTTAACAAAAGGGCTAAAATCATAAATTTTATGTTGTATTTTACAATAAAAAATTACCCAAAGAAAAAAGTCATACCCCTTCAACAGAGAAAAGTTTTAGGCTTACACCAGGGTTTCTTAACAGTGGCTGACATTTTGTGCTGGATAATTCTTTGTTGTGAGGAACTGTCCCGTGCAGGGATGTTTAGCAGCACCCCTGGCCTTGATGTGGTGACAAGACCACCTCCCCAGGTACTCCAGAAATTGCAAAATGTCACATGGAGGAGGGGGCTACATTCTTCCCCAGCAGAGAACCACTGGCCTGTACTCACTTGCTGACCCCGAGAACATCGTTTGAAACTTTGCTCTGTCCCGTCCTTCAGCTTGGCCCACACAGTCTCCCGTGGACATGGGAATTTTATTGGTTTCATCACATGCCACATGGATGGATACTGTTCAAATAAAGTTACCATGTGAATGTAGTTTCTCCCATGTTCATCCAGTAGAATGATAGAAACTTCTGGAGAAGTCACTTCAGCATGAAGTTTTTTAAAAATTTTTTTATTTTTTTGAGATGGAGTCTCCTCTGTCACCTAGGCTGAAGTGCAGTGGCGCAACCTCGGCTCACTGCAACCTCTGCCTCCTGAGTTCAAGTGATTCTCATGTCTCAGCCTCTCGAGTAGCTGGGACTACAGGCGCGCGCCACCACGCCCAGCTAATTTTTGTGTTTTTGTGGAGACAGGGTTTCACTACGTTGCCCAGGCTGGTCTCAAACTCCTGAGCTCAAGTGATCTACCTGCCTCGGCCTCCCGAAGTGCTGAGATTACAGGCATGAGCCACCGCGCCCGGCCTCTTTCTCCACGTTTTGACTGAGGCCATCTCCATGCATCTTTTCTCTTGACTGGAAATGTGGTGGAATCAAATAAAACAAATTTGACAATGGTTTAACAAAATTGTTTAATAAAATTTATAAAAATGCATCTTTGAGAATACTTTTCTCAGCTTGAATTGTTTTCCTTTTCCACCCCCAAAGAAAATACACAATTATCAGCACCCACACATGTATACACTCAAAACTACAGTGACATTCTCTACACAGAACTATATTCGATATAGCTTGAACTGCCGAAAAATCAAGACAATTCCAAAAAGTGATTGCAGGGTTGATTTTTTTCTCCAAAACACTTGAGAAACAGTAAAGCTATTTCAACAAAAGTCTTTTCTTTGATTGTCAAAAGTTGAAATTCACATTTAAATAAAAAGAGATCCAAATCAAGATCCTCACTACCCCCTACCCCTCAACTAACCCCCTTTAGGGCCACATTTTCTTCTTGCTCCTAAGAAAAAAATTTGGAATTTTGAATATTCTCGGTTTTCTGTGCACACCTGGAATTGGGCAAATGTGTTCAGCTCAGCCAGCATTTTCTGTAGACATCATCAAAAGCAGGCACTTGGGGATTCTGGGCTTTGAGTACAAACCACGGATCTTGTGTCAGAAACACATGTTGAGACTCCTCCATTCCTTCCAGAATTTTCAGAGATGAGGTAGACCCACCTCAATCATCCTCAGCATCAGTTTGCTAAATTGCCAGGCTCAATGACAAGCTCTCCTGCCATCTCCAAGCCCACTTTTCATAGTTCCGCTCTGTCTTTGGCTGCAGCACTTTAGGCACTATTCTAAGTCCTGGAGTATATCACTCTTGCTTCAGAGCTAAATAAACATTAATGAACACACTTACTCAGAACAAGTCACTGGATAGCTGCCCATTGCAAGTTACATACTCAGGAGATGAAAGAGGGAAGCCATTAAAGGTCTTCAGAGTAGACAATACCTAGTCAAGATGTGGCCAGACAAAGACACAAACTTCTTACCCTAAAAGAGCCCAATAATTTCTGCATCAGAGAACTCCTATCTTGGGCAAAGCAACTGAATTCAGGAGTGAGAGTTGATATTAAAACATGGAGGCTGGGCACAGCAGCTCATGCCCACAATCCCAGCACTTTGGGGGGCCAAGGCAGAAGGATTGCTTGAGGCCAGGAGTTTAAGACCAGCTTGGGCAACATAGCAAGACCCCATCTGTACAAAAAAATAAAAAGGAGGCTGGTGGGAGAACTGCTTGAGCCCCAGAGTTTGAGGTTACAGTGAGCTATGATCACATCACTGCATCCCAGGCCTGGGCGATGGAGCGAAACTGTCTCTTAAAAAATGGCAGGGAGTTGGGGAGCTGGGCAGGTGCAGTGGCTCATGTCTGTAATCCCAATACTCTGGGAGGCCAAGATGGGAGGATCACTTGAGCCCAGGAGTTTGAGACCAGCCTGGGTAACACAGGGAGACCCCGTCTCAAATATTTAAAAAATTAGTCATGCGTAGTGGTGCATGCCTGTGGTCCCAGCTACTTGGGAGGCTGAGGTGCAAGGATAGCTTGAGCCTGGGAGGACAAGGCTGCAGTGAGCTGTGATTGCACCACTGCACTCCAGCCTGGCCGATAGAATGAGACCCTGTCTTAAAAAAAAAAAAAAGGCAGAGGGACACACCAGTGTAGTAATGAGCAGAAGCACACAAATTTTTTTTAAAAAATTATATACACAAAACAACAGAACTAGAGTAGCTGACTTCTCCCCTTCTTTTTAAAAGTGAGACAAAATTCCTTAAGAAAATCTGCAAGGTGCTGGGTGAACCTTCTGATGCTAAAGTTGTTCTTCTGGAATATTAAAATTTGGGTATCTTTTGGACATCACCACCATGTAAAGAGTGATGGGAAAAAAAAAAAAGCTTTAAGAAATAAGTCGAAACTTTTCTAACACAAACTTATTAGAGCTATAAAGTGGAGAGAGTATAAAGCTATACTAACTGCATCACTAACCAGTCTCTTTTTTTTCCCCAGAAACTCATCTCAAGGGAAGGGAGCTGAAAAACCACCAGCAACGTGATTTCTGCATTTCCCAGCACATGGGTCTGGGGCCCGCCTCTCTCGAGTCCCCTAGTCGTCCTCGCCGCCTCCGTACATGTCAGCCAGCTTCTTGAAGCGATTGCCCCATTCGTTCAAGTAGTCATAGTCCTGGTCTTTGTCTGACTCTGAGGAGTTCAGGGAGCTCAGACTAGCAGCTTCGGAACCGCTTCCTTCATAGTCAAACACGAGCAGAGAATCATAAGGCGGGGCTGTGGGGTCAGTATCAGCCGCTTTCAGATTCTAAAGAAGAAGGGACAAAAGCATCTTTTAGTGAAAGGAAGGGCACACCTGTCATCTGGGGCAAGAAGTCTAGCAATATGTAAGGTACGACAATGCACCCAGACTTGTGGCACACCACGGAGCAGTGAACACCAACAACGTACATTTATACACACTGTCATGGAAGGATGCAGAAGCACAGGATATGTTGTTGATGGAAAGAGAAAGTGAAATGGTGAGTTATATGTAGGCAGGAGAGATGCAAGCACCAACCAGTCAGGATGGAGTCCCCATAGATCAGAGTGGGGCTGCCACACCACCAGCTGGGATGGGCAGAGCTGGAAGCTTTGCATACTGGTGCATGCAGGCTGCATTTCCACCCAGAAAGGCCTGGAAGGATAAATGCCAAATGCTTAACAGTTAAATCTGGGGAGTGGGGGTGTGGGAACTAAGGAAGGACTTGTATTTTTTTTCTTTTTCTTTTTTTTTAGAGACAGGGTTTCACTCTTGTCACACAGGCTGGAGTGCAATGGTGTGATTTTGGCTCACTGCAACATCTGCCTCCCAGGTTCAAGCGATTCTCCTGCCTCAGCCTCCCAAGTAGCTGGGTCTACAGGCATGCGCCACCATGCCCGGCTAATTTTTGTATTTTTAGTAAAAACGGGGTTTCACCATGTTGGCCAGGCTGGTCTCTAACTCCTGATCTCAGGTGATCCACCTGCCTCGGCCTCCCAAAGTGCTGGGATTACAGGCGTGAGCCACTGCACCCGGCCTTTTCTTTATATATTTTCATTTTATGAAATAAATAAAGTATATTTATTTATTTTGAGATGGAGTCTCAGAGTCTTGCTCTGTCACCAAGGCTAGAGTGCAATGGCATGATCTCGGCTCACTGCATCCTCCACCTCCTGGGTTCAAGCGATTCTCTGGCCTCAGCCTCCTGAGTAGCTGGGATTACAGGTGTGTACCCCCACACCATAATTTATATTTTTAAAATAGCAAGCATACTTAAAAAAAAAAAAACTTTTAGGTTTGGGAGTACATGTGAAGGTTTGTTATATAGGTAACAAATCGTAAACTCATGTCATGGGGATTTGTTGTACAGATTATTTCATCACCCAGGTATTTAGCCCAGTACCCAGTAGTTATCTTTTCTGCTCCTCTCTCTCTCCTCCCTTAAGCGAACCCCAGTGTCTGTTGTTCTCTTCTTTGTGTCCATGAGTTCTCATCATTCAGCTCCCACATATGAGTGAGAACACGTGGTATTTGGTTTTCTGTTCCTGCATTAGTTTGCTAAGGATAATGGCCTCCAGCTCCACCCATGATCTTGCTTCCTCAAAAGACATGATCTTGTTCTTTTTTAGCATACTATTTTTATAGTTTAAATAAAAACTGCAAATACAAGTGATGACTTGCAAATGAGTATGAATGGAGGAAAGGCCTGAATCCAGATGTATCTAAAAGGGGTCTGTAGTCAGGAGCGGTGGCTCACACCCATAATCCCAGTACTTTGGGAGGCCGAGGCAGGGAGATCACCCGAGGTCAGGAGTTTGAGACCAGACTAGCCAATATGATGAAACCCCATCTGTACTAAAAATAGAAAAAGTAGCTGGGCGTGGTAGTGGTGCCTGTAATCCCAGCTACTTGGGAGGCTGAGGCAGGAGAATCGCTTGAATCTAGGAGGCAGAGGTTGCAGTGAGCCAAGATTACGCCACTGCACTCCAGCCTGGGCGACAAGAGTGAAACTGTCTCAAAAAATGAAAATAAAAATAAAAATAAATAAATAAATAAAAGGCATGGTTAAACTGGTTTCTTTCTGTTTCTTGTTTTTTCCAGTGGCTAAAATGAATGTGGCTTGATCACTTCTAACACTGCAGTGCCTCACAGTCCTCAGTGACAGCTCCCATAGAAAGCTAAAGCAGTCCGGGCGTGGTGGCTCACGCCTGTAATCCCAACACTTTGGGAGGCCAAGGCAGGCAGATCACCTGAGGTCAGGAGATCGAGACCATCTGGTTAACATGGTGAAACCCTGTCTCTACTAAAAATAAAATTAAAAAAAAAAAAAAAAGCCAGGCTTGATGGCAGGTGCCTGTAGGCACAGCTACTCGGGAGGCTGAGCCAGGAGAATGGTGTGAACCTGGGAGGTAGAGCTTGCAGTGAGCTGAGATTGCACCACTGCACTCCAGCCTGGGCGACAGAGCAAGACTCTGTCTCAAAAAAAAAAAAAAAAAAAAAAAAAAAGAAAGCTAAAGCAAACACAGACCTCACCATGAAGACTCACCGAGGGCCACTGGACCATCAGACAAGCCCAGAAAATCATTCCAGTAACCAAGCAAGTTACTAGAGAACATAACTTAAGGAAACAGATCCTGCTGGACCATTTCTTTACTGGGTTCTTTCTCATCTTATCCTAAGCTAATTAATTTAATGCCTTGTTATTCTCCCTTGCAGACAGGCACAACCTTCTGATAGTTCTGGCCAATAACTGGTTGGACAACTCCCTTGTTGAATAAGAAGACAGTTTGCTAGAAGAAAGACTTTTGCCCTCTGCTTTGTTCTTCATACTTTTTCCTGACTGGAATACAGACTTAAGATCTGGAAGTGTGGCAGCCATCTTGTGATCATGAGACAACAAGCCTGAGAAGAAGGGTCTACGTGCTAAGATGATGGAGCAGAAACATGGAACAGCCTGATGCACTGGCCTAGACTGCTCACCCCAACTTTCTATTTGTATAAGATAAATCTACTCCCATCTGTTTCAGCATCTTGTATTTAGAGCTGAATGCATTTCTGACATATACAATACAGATTCTATTTTTCTAATCCTCAGGTAGGCTTGTCATGTACATTTATCATTATATCCCAACCAGCAGTGGGAGGCAAGGGAAGTAAATTCCATTAGTGAAACTAAAATGAAATTTACTTAGAATCTTCCTAGTTTCATTTCTAGATCTACTAAATCCTTTCAGGCAATTGTTGGTTTTGCCACATGGACTTTGCAATTTGAAGCACGATTAGATCCAAAATTCAGATGAGACACAGATTAAGAAAAACAGGCTGCCAGGTGCGGTGGCTCACACCTGTAATCCCAGCACTTTGGGAGGCCAAGGCAGGTGGATCACCTGAGTCAGGAGTTAGAGACCAGCCTGACCAACATGGAGAAACCCTGCCTCTATTAAAAATACAAAATTAGCTGAGTGTGGTGGTGCATGCCTGTAATCCCAGCTACTTGGGAGGCTGAGGCAGGAGAATCGCTTGAACCCGGGCAGAGGTTGTGGTGAGCAAAGATTGCGCCATTGCACTCCAGCCTGGGCAACAAGAGTGAAACTTCGTCTCAAAAAAAAAAAAAAAGAAAAAGAAAAAAAAAGAAAAAGGAAAACAGGGCTCCAGGGCTCAGGCAAGCTGAAAACATAGTAAAGGAAAGAATCTAAAGACTCTTTTTCTCATTTTTGACACAACTCCTCCTGAGCTTAGAGATGAGCCATGCTTTGGCTTTCCACGTGGATTACTTACTTCATCAATAAAATTTCCAATTTCATCGGGATTGGCAGGGCGGGGAAGATACCGGGGGACACTCATGAGGGTTGGTGCAACGTCGTTACGAGTCACTTCAGGCCGAGCGTCCAGGCCCCTGTGCAGCTGGCTCAAGTCAAAGTCCTTTGGAGAAAAAAGGTTGAAGTACAATGAAGAGTAGGAAAGAAATAGTCATACACACAGGGCTATGTTCAGTTTATAGATTATGGTTGGATGATGCCTTCACTGCCAACTGTATGATCTTTACCAGTTTAATGCAAAATGACAGTTTTCAAGCTAAAAGTCTCCCAAATAGCACTGGAAAAAAACATGGCCCAAAGGATTGTGAGTAGCATGTGTGGATCCAGATATAGGCTGTGTGCCTTACTAATTTTCATAGGACATGATGATTAGATCACTGTTTGGCAAATATTCACTCCCTCCCAACCCCAGCTTGTGAGAAAAGTATACATCCATCGATCTGGGGCTTTGTTGTGTGACTTGCTTAGCCAATGGGACAGTAACATATGACACAGGCAAAGGTCTGAAAGGCACCAGCTTCTGGTACAAAGATGAGACTTGCATGGAACAGACCTGGACACAATTCACAGGTTAGAGCCATTCAGCTAAACTCTGCCTAAATCTGCTGAGCCCCAGCCATCCTACAGATTCTCATGAGCTTAGATGAGACCAGCAGTTGCTCCAGCTACCCCACGGTACATGAGAAAGATACGCATGTTGTGTGCCGCTGAGATTCCACGATTGGTTGCTCTATTGCTCACTGATACAATATACGTGGTATCCCCAAACTAGACTTACAAGTCCCTGAAATCTAGAACAATATTTTTCTCTGTACACCCACCTCCCTATGTTGTATGGAGCTCAGTAAATTGTGCCTCACTCTGTGGCCTCAGTCAAAAACAGGACTCTGTAATAGACCCCCATGGATCCCTTTCTATAATAAGTAGGCTCTCCAAGACACTGAACAGTTCCCTGGACAACTCCAGGGTAAGATGTTAAGATCATCTCCAAAATCAGGAAATACAGAGGGACTGAAGGTATAACCATGACAGAAAAGGAGTTTGGTCTAGCTAAAAACTCAAAAGAAACAAAGCAGACCAGTTGTTCTATGTCAAAGAGAATCTGGCTGAAGTTCACGTCCAGAGAATGGCAATGAGGAAGGCAGGCTCTGAGACAGACCATTTAGCCCTGTCGCTTCCTAGCTGTGTGACCTTAGCCAAGTTACTGAGCTTCTCTGTGCCTCAGCTCGCTCACTGAGGTGCAGAACAGTATGCGATCAATAAATGTTAGCTGTGTTGGTGATGATGTGATGATGATGATGGTCAATGACAATGTCTACTTTCTTGGGTAAGGCCTTAAAAAGATAATATCCAAAGTGATTCAGAGCTGTTTCAAATGCCTACCTCTTACTAATCATTGCTTCTTCCGAATAAAGAGATCACCACTGAGCTACCAAGGTTTTCAAAACCCACCTGGTCCTCTTCTCCGCCTCCTTCTTCATCATAGTAATAAACGTTGTCCCGGGTGTCATCCTCTGGGGGCAGTAAGGGCTCTTTGACCACCGCTCTCCTCCGAAGAAACAGCAAGAGCAGCAGAATCAGAACTGGGATGGTGGGGGAGACAGAGCAAGTGTTGAGAGCCAAAGATAAAGAAGGCCAGAAGCAGCAGCTATCACAGAGCACCCCTCATACCAGACAGGGGGCAGTTAGACAGCCACTAGCTGCCTTCAATACACTTGAAGATGTCAATCCACGTGACACTCACATCCCTGAAGTCGGTATGTACAGTACAACATAGTAGACAGTGATATGTGAACTCAAGCATGGTCCTTAACTTTCAGATGGGTTTTAAACTCAATCACTGTCATTTTCCCAAATCTGGGGGAAAGTGTTCCAGGCAGAGGAAACAGTAAGGACAGAGGTCCTGAGGCAGGAGGAGCATGTTTGGTGTGATGGAGGGAAGGTGAGGAGGCCAGCATGGCTGTAGCAGGGTGCATGAGGGGAAGAGACATGGAGAAGAGCTCAGAGGGGCAAGCAGGGCGGGAGGGACATATGGGCCACTGTGAGGACTTTGGCTTTGATTCTGAGTTGGAGCCATTGAAGGTTTGTGAGCAGGGCTCCTAGGTTAGCCCAAATGTGATTGATACATAACCAGCTATGGGGAGTGGGACAGAGACTATAAAATTGCCTGGTATGTTCTTATTTTCTCTTAAGATAGAATCATGTAAGCAAGCTTTAAAATCTATTTAACTTCCAAGGCTTAACACAAGGGTTACATTTGATCTTGGGATTATTTCTAGGATATACACAATTAACATTTAACTTTAAAAAAAAAATCTCTAAAGCAGCCAGAAAGAAACCACTTAACTTAGAAAATACATATATTATTCACTGTGAATGAAAAAAAAAAAGATTCCATGTGTTTTCTATCCATGGGTGCCCAAGTACCTATATACTGTACCCTATGAAGCATAATCTTTATTTATTTATTTATTTATTATTATTTTGAGACAGAGTCTCACTCTGTTGCCCAGGCTGGAGTGTAGTGGCGCAATCTCAGCTCACTGAAACCACCACATCCTGGGTTCAAGTGATTCTCCTGCCTCAGCCTCCCAAGTAGGTAGGACTACAAGCACCTGCCACCATGCCCAGCTAATTTTTGTATTTTTAGTAGAGACAGGGTTTCACTATGTTGCCCAGGCTGGTCTCAAACTCCTGACCTCAAGTGATCCACCCACCTGGGCCTCCCAAAGTGCTGAGATTACAGGCGTGAGCCACCACGCCCGGCCGAAGCATAATCTTTAAACAGGAGGTTGCATAAACTTGGGGAAAAGATTTCTCAGATGTACCTCAACTACCTATTTCTAAAACCAGAAAAATGCCAGAAACCTTATCCAGATAAACAGCATAACTCCCTTGTCCATGATTCATCAACAAGAACACTGAATTGGCTGCACAGGGAGACAGCACTGAACAAGACTATAGGAGCTACACAGTCCCCATCCATGCAAAGCAAGAGGCAGTTTACCGTTTCCAAAATGACCCCTCTTATCAGCTGTGCCAGAAGCCCAGTATCCGCAGGCTCTGAGAAAAAGCCTGGCACAGAGTAAGCAATCAAACATTGGCGGAAAACATGAAAAGCTTCAGATCTCCTGGTGTCTCTCTAGTAATTTTTTTTAATAGAGATGGGATCTTGCTATGTTGCCTAGGCTGATCTTGAAACCTAGGTTCAAGCAATCCTGCCACCTCAGCCTCCCAAAGTGTTGAGATTATAGATGTGAGCCACCGTGCCCAGCCTCTAGCACATTTGTGCCCTTAAGAAACAAGAAATTGGCCGGAGGAGTGGCTCACACCTGTAATCCCAGCACTTTGGGAGGCCAAGGTGGGAGGATCACTTGAGCTCAAGAGTTTGAGACCAATGTGAGTAACATAGTGAGAACCCATCTCTAATAAAGAAAGAAAAAATAATCATAGAAGTTAAAAATACAAGAAATTGAAATTGAACATCTGAACTCTGGCATTGCCTCTGTTTTAAATGTTGCTCTACATGGGAATCCCCACCCCCAGTGTCTAAAAAAATACATACCCATAGCAAATTTAGGTAATCCTATTTAAAAAAAAAATATTTCAAGTATAACTACAATCTTTAAGATTCCCTGGCTGGGCACAGTGGCTCATGCCTATAATCCCAACACTTTGGAAGGCCAAGGTGGGAGGACTGGTTGAGACCAGGAGTTTGAGACCAGCCTGGGCAACATAAGGAAACACTGTTTCTACAAAAAAATATTAAAAAATTAGCTGGGTGTGGTGGCTCATGCCTGTGGTCCCAGCCACCCAGGGGTCTGAGGTGGGAGGATTGCCTGAGCCCCGGAAGTCAAGGCTGCAGTGACCTGAGATCTGAGATCACTCCACTGCACTCCAGCCGGGCCCACAGAATGAGAACTTGCCTAAAAAAAAAAAAAAAAAAAAAAAAAGATTCCCTTTAGAATGAATGTACTGGTCAGTAACCACTATACCAAAAGCAGACCAGGCCACTGAAATGTAATTTGACTAGGAAGTGGGCAGGCAGGGCTTGTGTTACCCTGCCCAAGGCAATGATGAATTAACCTAATCTCATGGCACAATAAAGCCATGTAAAGCCTGGCAGGATGAAAGTCCAGAAGGCTTGCTCAATTCTCAACAGCACTATCCTTTTCTTCAACTTTGGGAGGACACCAGGAGGGGGCAGAAGCAAATGGGATGCCCAGCAGACATTTCTGGAAGGTTGAAAGGCACCCTCTCCTGGAGTCCACTGAGGCAGCAGCAGCAGGATCAATGGCACCCATGCTCAATCTAAATTGAAAACCCTAGATTTGGTCCCACTGCTCCCTCCAAAATTCTTTTTCCATTCCCACCAGCTTGGCCTGGTCTCTGCTCTTCTAGGAGTCTCCTCAAGCCTCTGCTGTGCTTTGCTAGGAGGGGAACCTTCCTAAATACCCATCTGCCTGTTGGAATTCTACCAGCCCCTGTGGCCTAACCACTTACATCTTCCACAAAACTGTCCTTGAGACTCAATTAACAGCCTTTTCTGACTACCCTGACTACAAAGGCATTCATGAGCTGGACCACCCCTTGCAGTCACTAATTATATATGATCTTTAAACATTTCTTTTAAAAAATTTTTTTTAATAAAAAAATGTATTTTTTATTTTTATTTTGTAGAGACAGTCTTGCTTTGTTGCCCAGGCTGGTGTCAAACTCCTGGCTTCAAGCAATCCTCCCACCCTGGTCTCCCAAAGAGTGAGCCACCATACCAGGTCAAAGGTTTCTAATTGACTTGCTCTCATTTGCTGTGATAATCATTTGCTTGCTCTTCCATCATTCACATGTTTAAAGCCCTACCAGAGTTCTGATGTAGTGCACTCCTCCATATGGATACTTTGTCTTTTGATGCACATAGTCTGTTTTCATCGCTAATTTATTCCTTTAATAGATTCAGTACTTTCTCCCTGTGTGTAAATGATAAAAGTATTTACCTTGACCATAACAGCTCCTGTGTCACCCCTAGGGCTCACTCCAGGTGGGCTCCAATGGAAACAGGTTTAAGGACTATGGCAGAAACTGCCAATTTTCCTCAGCATCCTTTTTCTCCTTTATCCTTTTAGTCATTGACACTCACTGCTCACCCTACACTCCACCCCTACTCCATGTCAATTTTCAATTGTAAGTAGAAGCTTCCAGGTTCCCTTGCAGCTAGATGTGGCTGTGTTTGGGCCAATGGTATATAAGTGGAGGTGATATATGCAACTTCCAGTCGTTTGGCCTCCACTTCCTCTGTTATCCCCTTCCCCAATCTAGGATGGAATGTAGAGGTGGTGGTGGTGAGCTGGCTAGCTTAGACCACGCTGATGAGGGCAGCCCCCAAGGTCTTGCTACTCTGCCTATGGTCTAAGGAACTGCAACATCAGTACCGCCTGGGAGCTGGTTAGAAATGTAGAATCTGGCCGGGTGCGGTGGCTCAAGCCTGTAATCCCAGCACTTTGGGAGGCTGAGGCGGGTGGATCACCTGAGGTCGGGAGTCTGAGACCAGCCTAACCAAAATGGAGAAACACCGTCTCTACTGAAAATACAAAATTAGCTGGGCGTGGTGGCACATGCCCATAGTCCCAGCTACTCAGGAGGCTGAGGCGGGAGAATCGCTTGAACCTGTTAAGCAGAGGGTGCAGTGAGCTGAGATCACACCATTGCACTCCAGCCTCGGCAACAAGAGCGAAACTCCATCTCAAAAAAAAAAAAAAAAAAAAAAGAAATGCAGAATCTGTGGCCCTATGCCAGACCTCCTGGATCAGATTTCCCAGTTCAAAAAGAGGCCCAGATGATTTGTATGCTCTCAAGCTTGGGATGCACTGTCTTGAAGAATGAAAAGAGACAAGGTAGAAGAAACCTGGGTCCCCTGTTGACTTCATGGCCTTCCCATCTTAGACCATTTACCTCTGAAATGTTCAGTAAGAGACAAACTTCTATTTTATGGAGGCTGGCATAACTTGGGAGTCTCTTTCCCACATCAGCTAACCTATATCCTTATTAATATAAGAACAAAAATCATTTCCAGGAAATAAACCTCCTCCATTTTTTTAAGTCAAAGGCTGAGTCACTTGCCAGCTGGACTTACTTAGCAAAGCAAGAATTCCTCCAAGAATCCCCAGAATGGCAGGAATTTGCAATCCTGCTTCGACAGGCTGTGCCTTCCTACAGACGCCAGCGGCCCCTTCACAGTCACACACGCTGACCTCTAAGGTGGTCACTTGGTCTTTATTCTGGTTATCCATGAGCTTGAGATTGATTTTGTAGTCACCCACCTCTAAGGCCATCTTTGGCTTCAAAATGATAGATTCTTGGGCTGGAGAAAGCAATAAAAAGAAATGATGAGACCAGGGGAGGAAAATAAAAAGCTCATTCCAGAATAAAATTGCTAGTGAACTAAAGACACCCGCAAGCCGAGTGAAGAGAGCAGAGCTGCTTGGGTTTTATTTAGGTATGTACTTTTTTTTTTTTTTTTTTGCTGTAAAAAGCTTTATTTCCATTTGGTCTAAGGCTTGGGAGAGGGCTCTAGAGTTGGTTTAAAAAAGCTGCCTAGTGGCTGGAGGGAGAGGCTTAGGCAGAGCGGGGCTCTTCAGATGTCGCTGGGTTCGGTAGGCTCCCGTGTGCCTGAGGGTGAACCTTTTTGCCCAGCCCGGCCTGGAGGCCGGCTGGCCTGTGAAGGTTGGTCAGGTGGTCACCTATCTTCTTGATGAGTTTTACTTTTTCATCTAGGAAGTGGCTCTCCAGGAAGTCACAGATATGGGGGTCTGTGCAGGTGGAACCCAAGGCATGAAGATCCAAAAGGGTCCAGTTCAGGTTCTTCTCCAGGGCCAGAGTGACTTCCATCGCACCCAGGGTTTTACCCCATTCATCTTTACATGGCTTCTGGATGTCCGGGAAGACAGTGCGGCCGCCACACTGGTTTTGCATTTTCAAGGGACACTCAGCGCCCTTGTGCTTCTCCTTGGCCAATTTGTGGAAGAAGTGGTGCACACCTTCCAGATCCACATCGTCATGGTGGAAATAGAAGCCCAGAGAGAAGTAGGTGTAGGAAGCCCATATATGCAAATTGACCAGGCAGTTGACAGCTGCCTCCACCTCGGTAGAATAGTTCTGATGAATCTGGGAGCTCACGATTGGTTGGCAAGAAGGAGCTAACCACAAAAATGGTGTTGTTTGGTCCCAGGAGCAGGAGGTAGCAGAGAAGATGGTCCTGGTTGCAAGTGGAGAGGGGAGTGGAGGGTGGCTAGAGGCTGGGAGAGGGAGCCCTGCTTGGGTTTTAGATTACTGGGTAGCATGCTACAAAGTTAGATACCAGGAAAGGAAAAAGACCTTTGGAGCAAGGCCTCAAAGACAGAAGGGACAAGGAAGCAAGTATCAATGGAAGGGGTGACATCTAGAAGTTGAGAAGGGAAATTGAAAGGTGGGGATCTGGGGGAAGGGAAGCATGGCAGTTGGAGCAAAGTTGCCAAAATAAAACTCAGGTACCCACTTGGGTCGTTGTACTGAATGGTCCAGTTGGCACTCGCCCCGTGTGTTAGTTCTGCTGTGAAGGGAGATGTATTGGGAGGAAGGTCTGCATCAATGATGTTTATGACCTGAGGCTTTGGATTCCTCTCACAGAAGAATATAGTTCGAGGTTCTGGTATGGGGGCGTTGTCATTCACATCAGACAGGATCAGCAGAAGTGTCCCTGTTCCAGTAGCAACTGGAGAACCTAAGAGAAAATACACAGAAAATGTGGCAGCTTGGCAACAGTAATGAATCCCCATTGCCTTCCACCAGACCAAGTCTAGATCTTGTCCTGGCTCTTCAGTGGTCCCTCACCAGGCCCCACTCCACCCGCAGAACCTCCTGTCCCACCAATCCCAAAGGACCTCCACTCCCAGGTGGGCAGGTCTCTGGCCGTTTTACACAGACAACTTATTCCCACCTTGATAACAATTATTCAAGTTATTCCTCACACCAAGAACACACTCCTCCTTCTTCACATATCGTTATTCATTCACTGAATTTTAACTACTCCAAGAAGTCCTATTGCCTGCCTGTTGTTTCCCTAGTTCTCCTTTTTCTGCACTTTCCTGCCATTTGAGGTCATTAACAAAGCATTGAGTCTTTTTATTTATTTTAATTTTAAGCCTGACTAGAAGCTTAAAATCAAAGGGGATGAGTTGGGTCTTTTGAAGTCTCTGCAAATTGGTTTTCAAAATAGATTGGGGAGTTCACATACGCTTTTTTTTTTTTTTTTGAGGCAGAGTCTCACTCTGTCACCCAGGCGGGAATGCAGTGGCATGAACACAGTTCACTGCAGCCTCTACCTCCTGGGCTTAATCTCCCACCTCTGCCTCCCTAGTAGCTGAGACTACAGGCGCATGCCACCATGCTTGGCTAGTTTTTAAATTTTTTTTGTAGAGAGGGGGTCTTATCATGTTGCTCAGGCTGGTCTTGAACTCTTGAGCTCAAGTGATCCTCGCATCTTAGCCTCTGAAAGTGTTGGGATTATAGGCGTGAGCCACTGCGCCCAGCCCATCCACACTTCTGTTTGCATTTCTTTTATATCTTGACACAACACGGAGCATATGGTAGTAGGAAAAATTGGTACCCAGGGAACTATCATCAATATTAGTATACGATACGGATACAAAACAACAGAAGAATCCATCTCAAACCTATAAATAGATATGTCTAGATGGCATGACTGTAAATTTTTAAAACTTTTTTCTCATGTAAATTTTATTTTTTAACAATGAGCACACGTCATTTAAAATTAACTCAAGGAGGCCAAGCATGATAACTCATGCCTGTAATCCCAGCATTTTGAGATTATGGGCAGTATGTTGCCCAGGCTAGTCTTGAACTCCTGGCCTCAAGCCATCTCCCACCTCAGACCCCCAAAGTGTTGGGATTACAGGTGTGACCCTAGCACCCAGCCTATAAATGTATTTAAATACACAGAAGCAGTCTGGAAGGACCCACACCTAACTGATTTAACACCTAACTAATTTCACCCACATGGGTATTAACATTTTTCAGGTAAAGGAATTGAGGGACATAAAAATTAAACAGCAGGCCAGGCACGGTGGCTCACACCTGTAATCCCAGCACTCTGGGAGGCCAAGGTGGGCAGATCACAAGGTCAGGAGTTCAAGACCAGCTTGGCCAATATGGTGAAACCCCGTTTCTACTAAAAATACAAAAAATTAGCTGGGCGTGGTGGTGCACACCTGTAATCCCAGCTACTTGGGAGGCTGAGGTAGGACAATTGCTTGAACCTGGGAGGCGGAAGCTGCAGTGAGCCAAGATTGCACCACTGCACTCCAGCCTGGGTGACAGAGCAAGACTCTGTCTCAAAAAAAAAAAAAAAATTAAACAGCAAATCCAAGGTCACACAAGTATTAAGCTTTGGAAATGGATTGTAAACCATCATTACCTGGTTCCCTTAGGGAAGGAATAAAGAGTGAGTAGTGAAAAGTAAGTTCTGTTTGACCAAAATTACTTGAAAAAACAATTTTTTTTTTGGAGACAGAGTCTTGCTCTGTTGCCCAGGATGGAGAGCAGTGGCGCAATCTTGGCTCACTGCAGCCTCCACCTTTCAGACTCAAGCAATCCTACCACTTCAGCCTTCTGAGTAGCTGGGCCTACAGGTGCTCACCAACACACTCAGCTAATTTATGTACTTTTTGTAGAGACAGGGTTTTGCCATGTTACCCAGGCTGGTCTTGAACTCCTGGGCTCAAGTGATCCTCCCACCTCAGCCTCTCTAAGTGCTGGGATTACAGGTGTGAGTCACCGTGCCCAGCCCACTTGAATTTTTGATAATAAGAATGCCTTTGTTTAAGAATAAAAGAGAAATCTTTTGCAGCAACATGGATGAAACTGGAGGCCATTGTCTCAAGTGAAACGAATCAGACATATAAGGAGAAATACTGCATGTTCTCACTTAGAAGTCGGAGTTCGATAATGTGTACACATGGATGTAGATTGTGGAATGATAGACAATGGCAGCTGGGAAGGGTCCAAGGGGTGGGAGGGGGTAGATGATGAACAATTACTTAATGGGTACAATGCATGTTATTTGGGTGACGGATACCCTAAAAGCCCTGACTTTACCACTACACATCTATGCATGTAACAAAATTACCCTTGTACTCCATACATTTATACAAATCAATCCAGCAAACAAAAAGGATAAAAGAAAAAGAATGAACTCTTCCCTCCAAAAGAAGGGAGGGGCAAGGAACTGAACTAGCTAGGAGGTCGAGGCAGCAAAGGCTCAGATGAGGCCCCCTTACCATTGTCTGTAGCTATGATTAGGGCTGTGTACGTGCTGTTCTTCACGTGCTCAAAATCCTCCCTGTCCAGCTCAGCCCGAGTGGAAATGGCACCAGTGTCCGGATTAATCTCCAGCCAGTTGGCAGTGTCTCTCCAAATCCGATATCTGAACGGGGACAAGCTCTGGCTTTTAGAATAGGACCAGCAAACAACATGTAGCTGAAAACGGCTTAAGCGCTTCTTCAGTTATATGGTTACTTCCAACGTTTTTATTTTGAAAACCAACAATAGGCCGGTCGCGGTGGCTCATGCCTGTAATCCCAACACTTTGGGAGGCTGAGGTGGGCAGATCACCTGAGGTCAGGGGTTTGAGACCAGCCTGGTCAACATGGTGAAACCCTGTCTCTACTAAAAATACAAAAATTAGCTGGGTGTGGTGGCACACGCCTGTAATCCCAGCTACTGGGGAGGGTGAGGCAGGAGAATCGTTTGAACCTGGGAGATGGAGGTTGCAGTGAGCCGAGATTGCACCACTGCACTCCAGCCTGGGCAACAAAAGTGAAACCCTTTCTTTCTTTTTTTTTTTTTTTTTTTTTGAGACGGAGTCTTGCTCTGTAGCCCAAGCTGGAGTGCAGTGGCGCGATGTCGGCTCGCTGCAAGCTCCACCTCCTGGGTTCACACCATTCTTCTGCCTCAGCCTCCGGAGTAGCTGGGACTAGAGGCGCCCGCCATCACGCCCGGCTAATTTTTTTGTATTGTTAGTTGAGACGCGGTTTACACCGTTTTAGCCAGGATGGTCTCGATCTCCTGACCTCATGATCCGCACGTCTCGGCCTCCCAAAGTGCTGGGATTACAGGCGTGAGCCACCGCGCCCGGCCGAAACTCCGTCTTTAAAAAAAAAAAAAAAAAAAGAAAACCAAGAAAACCAACAATACAACAGACAAGTTACTATAATAGTATGATGACCATCCATGAACTCTTCACCTGAGTTTACTCATTGTTAATACTTTGCCACATCTGCTCTGTCTATATTGACACACGCCTACATAATTTCTTGTTCTGCTGAACCATCTGCAAATAAATTGCAGAAGTCATGTTCCTTTACTTATAAATATGTCAATGTGTTATCTCCTAAGAACAAAGGCATTCTGTTATATAACCCCAATTTGATTTTCTTTTTTTTTCTTTTCTTTTTTTTTTTTTTTGGGACAGAGTCTCGTTCTGTCGCCCAGGCTGGAGTACAGTGGCGTGATCTCAGCTCACTGCAAGCTCCACCTCCCAGGTTCATGCCATTCTCCTGCCCCAGCCTCCTGAATAGCTGGGTCTACAGGCACCCGCCACCACGCCCGGCTAATTTTTTGTATTTTTAGTAGAGACGAGGTTTCACCATGTTAGCCAGGATAGTCTCGATCTCCTGACCTCAGATGATCCACCCATCTCGGCCTCCCAAAGCACTGGGATTGCAGGTGTGAGCCACCGTGACCAGTCTTGATTTTCAATTTTAGGAAACAAAACTTTGATAGAATTCTATTGTCGAATATATGGTGCATATTCGAATTGTCAGATTTTCCAAAAATGTCCTTTATAGCAACCTTGCACCCTTCTGGATTCAGGATCCAATATGGCCTTTCGTTGGCATGGCTCTTCCTTAGGTCTTTCTTTTCTGTCACTGACATTTTTGAAATGTGCTGGCCGTTGTTTTGTAGCATGCCCCTTAACTTGGGTTTGTCTGATTATTCCTCAAAATTTAGATTCAGGTAATCCATTTCAGGGGTCGGTGGGGGCAAGAACAGGACAGAGGTGATGCTGTGGCCTCCCTAGTGCAGGACACTGGGAGGCACATGATGTCTGTCTGTGCTTCTATTGATAACTTTGATCACTTGGATAAGGGAAAGGCCACCAGATTTCTTCACAGCAAAGGTGCCTTTTTTCACTGCATGATTAACCTATAATCTGCAGGTAGATAATTTGAGAATATCTTGTTCAGCAACTAATTTTCACCCAATGGATTTGGCATCTGTGGATGATTCTTGCTGAAGCAATGATTACTATAATCCTTATTTATTTTTAAAAGCAGACTCCTGCAGACCAGCTCCCCCAAACAATACAGTAGTTCCTAAATGGTGGCAACATGCCACCTCCTCTCCTGTCATGAACATCTGGAGATGCAGGTTGCCCTGTTGACCTGTGGGTGGACTGCACTATTGCCATTTAATGGGAGGTACAGGGAGGCTAACAGAGATCTACTGCTCAGTTATTTACTAGGGTCATGGAAAGGCTCTGAAAGAGAAACTAAGAAATCAAAGGAGGAAAGGGCTCTAAGAAACTGTGGGCTTGGCCTCACTTCTTTGGAAGTGCAAAGCAATGAATTACATCAAGTGGTCATTGTTCCAGGCGTAAGGGCCTCTGGAAACAGACACTAAAGACCTGGTCCCTGAATCTGCCCCAGGAGATGCTTTGAACTATCTATTTCACTACTGCAAGCTTTCAACCCAGCCTGGAAACTGTACAATCCAGGGTTTCATCACTGAACCTAATCCTACATTATTGTCTTTGACTTTTCATCATTCTTTTAAACTTCGATTAAAACCCATCTTGCCAGGCCTTACAGTTTGGAGCATGTAGAAATATCTCTAGATTATGAGGAGTCCATTGGCTACACATAGAAAATGAGAGTTTTTTTGTTTTTTGTTTTTGAGATGGAGTCTCACTCTGTCACCCAGGCTGGAGTGCAGTGACTCGATCTCAGCTCACTGCAACCTCAGCTTTTTGGGTTCAAGTGATTCTCGTGCCTCAGCCTCCCGAGTAGCTGGGATTACAGGTGTGTACCACCATGCCCAGCTAATTTCTTGTGTTTTTAGTGGAGGCAGGGGTTTCACCATGTTGGCCAGACTGGTCTTCAACACCTGGCCTCAAAGTGATCCACCTGCCTAGGCCTCCCTAAGTTTTGGGATTACAGGCATGAGCTGCTATGCCCAACCCAAAATGAGAGTATTTTAAAGCAAGTGTTGTAGTTGGTTGGTTGGCATGTGGGTTCTCAGTTCTCAGCATCTGTGTGATTTACATTATAGAGGTACCTTCAAGTTTGAAAGGAGAAATACTGATAGTAAGCTACTTAGAACACAATACTATGGGCTGGGTGCGGTGGCTCACGCCTGTAATCCCAGCACTTTAGGAGGCAGGCAGATCACTTGAGGTCAGAAGTTCGAGACCAGCCTGGCCAATGTGGTGAAGCCTTGTCTCTACTAAAAATACAAAAATTAGCCGGGCGTGGTGGCAGGCACCTGTAATCCTGGCTACATGGAAGGCTGAGGCATGAAAATTGCTTGAACCCAAGAGACAGAGGCTGCAGTAGGCAGAGATCACGCCACTGCACGCTAGCCTGGGCGACAAAGTGAGACTCCAAACTCAAAAAAACACAATAGTATGTATGCAAAGTAAAATTGCATTTCTACCATACTACAAGAGCTCAAAGAGAGGCAGCACATCAGACCAAGAACGGCTGTCTGTGAAGGGAAGGGAACAGGTGAAAGGAGCACAGATAAAGGGAATAAAAAATAAATTAAGAGAATGGTCTTGTACAGACAAATGACAAAATGCCATGAAGTACATATTATTGATTTACATATAAAATGATATAAAATAACCAGTTGCTGCAAGTCAGTTGAAAAATCCTCACACTTACGTTATTTTCTGTTCCATAAATGTGTCTGGCTCCTGGGCAGTGTAGGATGTGATTTCCTGGCCCACGCCAAAGTCCTCGGACACTTCCACTCTCTTTTCAGGAGGCACAAAGATGGGGGCTTCATTCACATCCAGCACATCCACGGTGACGGTGGCTGTGGAGGTGGTGAGAGAGACCTCAAAAGGTACCACATTCGTCACTGCTACGTGTAGAATGTACTGCTGCTTGGCCTCAAAATCCAAGCCCTAGAGAGCAGAAACAATGAAGTTAAAAACAAAACGAAACATTTTGTGTTAGTAAAAATAAAATTAAATCCTTAACTGTTGCTTTTGGTAATATATTAGGTTGGTGCAAAAGTAACTGTGGTTTCTGCCATGACTTTCAATGGCAGAAACCACAATTACTTACCATGGCTTCTCAAATCTGCTCACCTACTCAAGAGGAAGGCAAAGCTGGGGCTATTCTAGGGATCCAGTCACTTCAACAAGCAATTCACTCAAATTCTTAGTTTTCAAGTTTCTTTCCTTATTTTATTTTTTTCTGAGACAGAATTTTTGCTCTTGTCACCCAGGCTGGAATGCAATGGCTCACTGCAACCTCCACCTCCTGGGTTCAAGCAATTCTCCTGCCTCAGCCTCCCTAGTAGCTGGGATTACAGGAGCCCGCCACCACACCTGGCTAATTTTTTGTATTTTTAGTAGAGACGACGTTTCACCATGTTGGCCAGGCTGGTCTCGAACTCCTGACCTCAGGTGATCCACCCGCCTTGGCCTCCCAAAGTGTTGGGATTACAGACATCAGCAACTGCACCCGGCCATCTTTTTTTTTTTTTTTTTTTAAGAGATGGAGTCTCATTCTATTGCCCAGGTTGGAGTACAGTGGCATGATCATAGCTGAGTGCAGCTTCAACCCCCTGGGCTCAAGTGATTCTCCCACCTCAGCCTCCCAAGTAGTTGGGCCCACCGCCATACACTACTGCGCTTGGCTAGTTTTCAAGTTTCTAGGACATTTTTCAAAAACAACCATATCTGCCCCACTTCTAAAATAAACCAGCACAAGAGCAGAGACCAGTAAATCATTTTCTCTGTCACCGCAAAATGGAAAGAGCTGAGGGAAGGAGAATGTTTCTGGGAAAGAGCCTATTAAAGCAGATAGTACTTCTTTTTCAATTTCAGGATCCTGTGTAACAGCTTCTTGATTTCTTTTTTTTTTCAGACAGAGTCTCACTCTGTTGCCCAGGCCAGGGTGCAGTAGCACGATCTTGGCTCACTACAACCTCTGTCTTCCAGGCTCAAGCGATTCTCCTGCTTCAGCCTCCCAAGCAGCAGGGATTACAAGTGTGCACCACCACGCCCAGTTAATTTTTGTATTTTTGGTAGAGACAGGTTTTCACCATGTTGGCCAGGCTGGTCCCAAACTCCCGACCTCAGGTGATCTGCCCGCCTCGGCCTCCCAAAGTGCTGGGATTGCAGGCATGAGCCACCATGAGCCACCAAGAAGCCTTAGCTTCTTGATTTCCTTTTTTTGAGACGAAGTCTCACTCTGTTGCCGGGCTGGAGTGCAGTGGCACGATCCTGGCTCACTGCAACCTCCCTCTCCTAGGTTCAAGCGATTCTCCTGCCTCAGCCTCCCTAGTAGCTGGGACTATAGGTGCACACCACCATGCCCAGCTAATTTTTGTATTTTTAGTAGAGATGGGGTTTCACCATGTTGGTCAGGATGATCTCGATCTCTTGACCTTGTGATCTGCCCGCCTTGGCCTCCCAAAGTGCTATGATTACAGGCGTGAGCCACCACGCCCGGCCTCCTTTTCCCCGCCCACCCCTGGAGACTGAGTCTTGCTCTGTCACCCAGAGCTGGAGTGCAATGGCACGATCTTGGCTCACTGCAACCTCCACCTCCCAGGTTCAAGCAATTCTCCTGCCTCAGCCTCCCTAGTAGCTGAGATTACAGGCACGTGCCACCATGCCTGGCTAATTTTTGTATTTTTAGCAGAGACTCAAACTCCTGACCTCGTGATCTGCCTGCCTCAGCGTCCCTAAGTGCTGGGATTACAGGCGTGAGCCACCACACACAGCACAGTTTCTTGATTTCTTACATGAGCAGGAAGAGCCACTGCAAATCCCACATGGTCCACTACAATCTGGGAAAGTCACCCTGTCCCCCTGCCAAAGCGAATCTACTTCTAAGAAGATACCAGGGGACAAGGGTATGAACAGCTGTGAGGATGCCAGTTTCTGCATCTTGCCAGGTACCATACAAACCTTTGCTGTTTTCAAAATGCCATCGTTGTTCACTGGATTTGTGGTGACGACAAATTGTCCACCATCATCATTCAATATGGTGTATACAGCCTCCCACGCTGGGGTATTGGGGGCATCAGCATCAGTCACTTTCAGTGTGGTGATTACGACGTTAGCCTCGTTCTCAGGCACCTGACCCTTGTACTGCAGAGCAAAGAGATGTGTCATTTACAAAGTACCAAGACTGCTAGCAGAGCTGAGTCTCAGGGGGCTAAAGGATTCCTCTTTTTTTGTTGTTCTTTTGAGATAAGATCTCACTGTCACCAGGCTGGAGTGTATTTGAGCGATCATGGCTCACTGTAGCCTCAACCTCCTGGGCTCAAGCAATCCTCCCACCTCAGCCTCCAGAGTAGCTGGGACCACAGGCATGCACCACCACACCTGGCTAACTGAAAGCAAGCTTCAAGGAGAAGATGTGACAAGGAGAGGCCAGGCAATGGGCGCACTGGGGTGCAATGGTACAATCTCGGCTCACTGCAGCCTCCGCCTCCTGGGTTCAAGCAACTCTCATGCCTCAGATGCCCGAGTAGCTGGGATTACAAGCATGCACCACCACGCCCAGCTAATTTTTGTATTTTTAGTGGAGATGGAGTTTCGCCACGTTGGCCAGGCTGGTCTCAAACTCCATCCTCAAGGGATCCACCAGCCTTGGCCTCTCAACTTGCTAGATTACAGGTGTGAGCCACCACGCCTGGCCATTATACAGGATGATTTAAACTTACCCTACTTGGTTCTCAATACCTTCTCCTTGAATGCATGTAATATCCTTGGCATACAATAATTCTCATAAGATGTCTTCCTGGCTATACCAGAAACACCATGAGAATGGAATCTTTGTGTGTGATGGTCTCTCCAGTGTCTAACACAGTGCCTAATATAAACTTAGAAAATATTTGTTCAATAAAGAAATGAAACCAGGTAATATTTGCTATAAAAATGTACCATGAGACTATGAAATCAGTAGGTGCTTTTTGCAACTTCACAATCTTGCACCAATTGGCCCCAGGCCAAGGGTGGAAAAAAGATACTAAAAGACAACTGCCATCTCAAGATGCTTGCTTTTAAGTTTAAAGTTAACATTCTCTAGTCTGGAGAGAGTTTTCAAAGACTTCGCCCATGAGCAGTGGTGACACTTAGTTCATGAACAACAAAAGACCTTTCTTTGGAAACCCTCTAAGGAGTTATAGAATTACCGTGGTGGGATTGAAGATCGGAGGATTATCGTTGGTGTCAGTGACTGTGATCACAGCTGTTGCTGTTGTGCTTAACCCCTCACCTTGAAGGTCAGCAGCTTGAACCACCAGGGTATACGTAGGGAAACTCTGCAGAGAGATCGACACAACCAAGTCAGGACCAGGAACACTAGCCACCTTTGGCCTAGCCCAGCCCAACACATGGAACCAGAATATTTAACCATGTGCTTCATGCCAGCCTGCCTGTCTTCTAGGCACGGAACCTCTGGGCACAAGCTTAGATGCAAAGCTTAGACCATCACTGTATTAACTGACAACTGGCCTAGCAGGATTTTGCTTTGTCCACGGGATTGAGCTAATACACATTTGTCCTCCACACCCTCTGGATCCTCCTGACCCCTGACCTCTCGGTCCAGCCCAGTGGTGACCACACTGATGACTCCTGTGTTCCTGTTAATGGTGAACATATTTTTGTCAGGGAGCTCAGGATCTTGGCTGAGGATGGTGTAAGCGATGGCGGCATTGTAGGTGTTCACATCATCGTCCGCGTCTGTGGCTGTGACCTCCATCACAGAGGTTCCTGGAAGAGTTCAAGGAGATGAAGGTTTAGACAAGCTGCACTTTGGGACTGGGTCAATACTGCTTAATCCAATTCTGCCCTGAGGGATAAAGGAGGGGACATGGGGGTGGTACCGTGTCAGAGTTCCCTAATTCCTAGAATTCTTACCAAAGTGCTAGGGGAGAAAGAAAGCTCAAACTATCAACTTATTATCCAGGTATAAATACACAAATGGTAATAAAGAAAAGAAAGGGAATGATTACCACAAAAGTCAGGGTGTGGTTATCTTTTTTTTTTTTTTTTTTTTTGAGACGGAGTTTTGCTCCTGTTGCCCAGGCTGGAATGCAATGGCGTGATTCGGCTCACCACAATCTCTGTCTCCCGGGTTCAAGCAATTCTCCTGCTTCAGCCTCCCAAGTATCTGGAATTATAGGCATGCGTCGCCACGCCCAGCTAATTTTCTATTTTTAGTAGAGACAGGGTTTCTCCATGTTGGTCAGGCTGGTCTCAAACTCCTGACCTCAAGTGATTTGCCCACCTTGGCCTCCCAAAGTGCTGGGGTTACAGGTGTGAACCACCACACCCAGCCTAGGGTGTGGTTATCTTTATGGAGGAGAGAAAAGAATGTGACCAAGGGGGATTGTTTAGGGCTTTAAGGTACTGGTAAAGATCTGTTCCTTAATTAGGAAGGTTGTTCTTAGCCAGGTATAGTAGCTCATGCCTATAATCTTAGCAGCTTGTGGGGCTGAGGTGGGAGGATTGCTTGGGCCCGGGAGTTTGAAAGTAGCCTGGACAACAAAGCAAGACCCTGTCTCTGAAAAAAAAATTTTTTTTTTTTTGAGACGGAGTCTGGATCTGTCACCCAGGCTGGAGTGCAGTGGCGTGATCTCAGCTTACTGCAACCCCCGCCTCCCGGGTTCAAGCAATTCTCCTGCCTCAGCCTCCCAAGTAGCTGGGATTACAGGCCCCCGCCACCACGACCGGCTAATTTTTTTGTATTTTTAATAGAGACGAGGTTTCACCATGTTGGTCAGGCTGGTCTTGAACTCCTGAGCACAGGTGACCCATCCACCTTGGCCTCCCAAAGTGCTGGGATTACAGGCATGAGCCACCATGCCCAGCCTAAAAAAAAAAAAAATTAATAATAAAAAAGGGAAGATTGTTCTTAAACTCTCCCTATTTTATATGTTTCCACAGGTAGACTGTTACACACATGCATATAACACAACAATGGCTTGCCAAGAAGTTCTGTCCGTAGGAAGGATCAGCTTTAGTTACACAACCTTTGGGCTTGGACAACACTTTGGGGTCCAAAGAACCTAAGAGTCTTTCTGAGTATTCAGATTCTCATTAGTGGATATACCTGGAAGAGCACCTTCCATGACAGACCCCTTAAAGACCTCCTGGGTGAATTCGGGCTTGTTGTCATTCTGATCGGTTACCGTGATCAAAATCTCCATTGGATCCTCAACTGCATTCCCGTTGGATGACACAGCGTGAGAGAAGAGCTGAAAGAACCAAGTGAGGGTGACTTGAGCTCTGATGAGGAAGAAAACATGGGAGAAGGGGCCCAGCCAGAGCAGAGTGCGCCCCCCTGGCTGCCACACCTTCCTAGGCTCTGAGACCCCCAGTGGGTGACTTTTCTCACACATGTGCTGCTGCTGCTTCAGTGAGATTATAACAAGGTAAGAGCCATGGGCTGGAGAACACCCCCCACGGCTCAGACCTCCCATTTCCCACACGAGGACCAGGGCATCAGGCCTAGAGATGAAGATGCGGGCCTGAAAAACTCTTATTCCATGCCGGGTGAAACTTGCTCTGGTCCTTTTAGTCTAGCATTTCCCCCAGATATTTCTGAATTTGGCATCAATATATGACTTCCTGGCCAGGCATAGTGGTTCATGTAATCTCAGCACTTTGGGAGGCCGAGGTGGGCAGATTGCTTGAGCTCAAGATTTCAAGACCAGCCTGGGCAACATAGCAAGATCTTGTTTCTACAAAAAATACAAAAATTAACTGGGTGTGGTGGCCTGCGCCTTTAGTCTCAGCTACTCAGGAAGATGGGGTGGGAGTGTCGCTTGGGCCCAGAAGGTCCAGGCTGCAGTGAGCTAAGATTGTACCACTGCATTCCAGCTTGAGTGACACAGGTAGACTCGGTCTCAAAAAAACAAAAATCCAAAACAAAAACAAATGACCTCTTGTAGGCCGGGTGCAGTGGCTCCCTCCTGTAATCCCAGCACTTTGGGAGGCCAAGTAGGGTGAATCGCCTGAGGTCAGGAGTTTGAGACCACTCTGGCCAACATGGTAAAACCTCATCTCTAATAAAAACGCAAAAAATTAGCTGGGCATGATGGCAGCTGCCTATAATCCAGCTACTCGGGAGGTTGAAGCAGGAGAATCACTTGAACCCGGGAAGTGGAGGTTGTGGTTCCAGCCTGGGTGACAGAGTGAAACCCTATCTCAAAAAAAAAAAAAAAAGACCTCTTGGTTTTCCTAAGCTCTTGCTGCTGCCAAGCCCAAGAAATGGGTTTTGCTCCCTTATATCATCACTGTCCTGTTCCTTTAGGTCAGGGACTTCCAGCCCCAAGAACAGGTTGACATCTTGGGTCTAAATTTGTCCTGGTTGTATGAGGATGCATGCGGATTCTCCTTCCTTTCTTCCTGACAAGGAGAAAAATTAACAACCCCAAACTGTCCCACGTTCTCCCATCACTTCTCCTTAGCAACAGGTCAAGAGGTGTCAAGTTAAGCTCCTCATGTGTTCAGAGCCTCTGATCTGCGGATCCAGCATGGGTTGACCAAAAAATCCTGGGTGGATGTTACCCCGGTGTCAACAAGCTTCTAAGAGATACTTACAGTGTATGTGGCAATGCGTTCTCTATCCAGAGGCTCTGTCACCTTCAGCCATCCTGTTTCTCTTTCAATAATAAAGACACCAACAGGGGGTGTGTCAGCTCCTTGGCCAGTGATGCTGTAGAAAACCTTGCCTTCTTTGTCTTTGTTGGATTTGATCTGAAGACAAAATGAAAGAAAAAGAATTAGTAAAGAAGGATCCCAACACTGGGTCTTTTCCCTTTCTCTCCTTGGTACTTCTCTGCCAAATCCCTCCCAGAGAAACAGAGAACTTCTTTCTCTACCTGAACCAGGTTTTTAGGAAATGGGCCTTTTTCATTTTCTGGGCAGCTGATGGGAGGAATAACCCAGTCTCTCTTCTGTCTTCTGAGGCCAGGAGAGGAGTTGGGAAATGTGAGCAATTCTGCTTGGATTCCAGAAACGGAGGCCTAAAAGGAAAGAAGATGAGGAACAAGATAAGACAATTCAAGACGGATACTTCAGGTCTAACAGTCCAACCTAGCCAGACAGCGTCCCCAGCCTTCTGTGGGCAGTGTACAGTTTGAATTTAATGACACATTCTCTTATCAATGACAAATTATATATATCCACCAAAATGACCAATCAAAACAAAAACCAATGAGACCCTTTGCTATATCGTAAAGACTGCATTCTCTTTTTATCCTTCTTAGTGTCCAGAGCTCAAATAATCATCATGCATACACAAGTATTGGTTTCAGGGTTTGATATTATAATTTACAAGCTGTTTCAAGCCTACATAATCTCATTTTTATTTTTTTGAGACAAGATCTGGCTCTATCACTGAGGCTGGGGTACAGCGGCAAGATCTTGTCTCACTGGAACCTCTGCCTCCCAGGCTCAAGCCATCCCTCCCATCTCAGCCTCCTGAGTAGCTGGGACTACAGGTGTGCACCACCATGGCTGACTAATTTTTGTATTTTTAGTAGACGTAGGGCTTTGCCATGTTACCCAGGCTGGTCTCGAACTTGTAAGCTTAAGCAATGTGGCCTCCCAAAATGCTGGGATTACAGGCATGAGCCACCACACCCAGCCCATAATATAATTTTTAACAGCAACATTATACTCTGATGATTTAATATCAGAGCTTACTCAACAACTGAATATTTGGGTTTTCGATTTCTTTTCTTTTCTTTTTTTAAATAGAGACAGGGTCTTGCTCTGTCACCCAGGCTGGAGTGCAGTGAAGTGATCAAAGCTCACTGCAGCCTTGAACTCCTGAGCTCAGGCAAGCCTCTGACCTCAGCCTACCAAGTAGCTGGAACTACAGGCATCCACCACCATGCACCACCATGTGCACCTAATTTTTTAAATTTTTTAAATTTTTTTAGAGGCAGGGTCTTGCCATCTTGCCCAGACTGGTCTCGAACTCCTGGGCTCAAGCGATTCTCCTGCTTTGGCTTCCCAATTTGCTGGGATTACAGGTGTGAGTCACCGCACCCAGCCTCTTTTATATTTTTCTTGGGGACACAGGTCCTCAACGTGGAGTTATCCCAAAACAAGTAGATTTTGAGAACTTGTACTAAGAACTACTTTGTGATCAATATAAATCTCTTCATCTCACTGTATCATTATGTCTATATGGTTTCCATTTGTTCTAACAGAAGCTGTTGGGATGGAAGCCAAAAACACCCTTTGAGACTTGTATTGAACAGTTTTCATATGCAATAAAGATAACTTTATGCACATGCAGGGAAATAAGAGAGTTGAAAATGGAAGGAAAATATTTGCCAAATTGTTTAAGTGTTTTAAGGTGATTACTGGTAACACAGTAAAGTTTCCAGGGGAAAATTCCATCTCTCACCCTCCACATAAAAACTCACAGTCACTGATCACTGCTTGCCAAGTTTGAGTTCAGCTCTATTTTCTGGCTTTAAGATTGAAGATGCACCAGATACATGTGAGATATGACCAGGTATCATCACAGAGCCCTTCCCCAATGCTGCACACTGGCCACATGTGCACACATGCGCACACACCTATGCTCTCTGCCCTCTACATCCTGTGTTTGTCTCCTAGAGAGGCAGCCCAGCCTGCGCCAAGGGCAGGCTCTGGAGCTAGACTGCCTGGCTTTGAATCCTCATGACAGTACCTCCTTGCCCCAGGCAGATATTACTTAATTTCTCTGTATTACAGCTTCCTAATGTCTGAAATGGGGATAATATTAGAACCTATCTCATATAATTCTTGGAAGGATTAAATGAGATGCTGGTATTGCACATTTAAAGCACTGTGAATACTGCCTGAAACATAGTAAGTGCTCAATAAAGGTAATGATGGAGATGATGGTTGGACTGGTTGGAAAACACTGAGTTATGGTTTTATTGAGATTTGACCCCAGCACATGAACAAAATAAAAAACTGACCATCATCACTGTATCCTGGGCCAGGCGTGGTGGCTCACACCTGTAATCCCAGCACTTTGGGAGGCTAAGGCAGGCAGATCACTTGAGGTCAGGAGTTTGGGATCAGCTTGGCCAACGTGCCAAAACCCTGCCTCTACTAAAAATACAAAAATTAGCCGGGCATGGTGGCACACACGGGGTCCCAACTACTTGGGAGGCTGAGGCGTGAGAATTGCTTGAACCCGGGAGGCAGAGGTTGCAGTGAGCTGAGATCATGCCACTGCACTCCAGCCTGGATGACAGAGAGAGATTCTGTCTCAAAAATAAATAAATAAATAAATAAATAAATAAATAAATAAATAAATATACAAAAATTAGCCAGGCATGGTGGCATGTGCCTGTAATTCAAGCTACTCAGGAGGCTGAGGCAAGAAAATAGCTTGAATCTGGGAGGCAGAAGTTGTAGTGAGCCGAGATTGTGTCACTGCACTCCAACCTGGGAAACAGAGCGAGACTCTGTCTCAAAAACAAAAACAAAAACCAATCCCAGAAAAACCACTGTATCCTAAGCCTTAAAACAGCCACCTTGGCCAGGCCTGGTGGCTCATGCCTGTAATCCCAGCAGGCTTTTTCCTTTGGGAGGCTGAGGCGGGTGGATCACCTGAGGTGAGCTCAAGACCAGCCTGGCCAACATGGTGAAATCCTGTTTCTACTAATAATACAAAAATTAGCTGGGTGTGGTGGTGCACACCTGTAATCCCAGCTACTCAGAAGGCTGAGGCAGAAGAATTGCTTGAACCCAGGAGGTGGAGGTTGCAGTGAGCTGAGATTGTGCCATTGCACTCTAGCCTGGGTGACAAGAGTGAAACTGCATCTCAAAAAAGAAACAAAAACAAACAAACAAAACAACAACAAAAACTGGCCACCTTGCACAGCCATGGTGAGCACATGGGCACTGATGGATGAATGCAAACCCAGTTATCACAATGAAAGGAAAGGAACATGCATGCCTTGCTGACACCAGGACTGTGGAATATTTTCAGAGAATGAATAATGATGAACACTGTGCTGGCAAAACATCACACTAACATTTTCATGTGTTAAATGAAAGGGAGTCATGCCTGAAAACACTGCACGTGGAAGTGATCCCTCAGAAAAATAGGATACCAGGTGGGGCACGGTGGCTCACGCCTATAATCCCAGCACTTTGGGAGGCCAAGGCAGGTGGACTGCTTGAGGTCAGGAGTTCAAGACCAGCCTGGCCAACATGGTAAAACCCCATCTGTACTAAAAACACAAAAGGAAGGGAAATGGAAGAAGAAGAAAAGAAAAGTAAAAAGAAAAGAAAGGAAGGATGCCAGACTGAGAAAACTCACCCAAATAAGATGAAAGGACTAGAGACTAAGATCTATTCTTACACAAATTTAGAGATTTTGAGCCTGCGCAACAAAGTGAAACCCTATCTCTACAAAAAAAAAAAAAAAAAAAAAAATTAGCTGGGCATGGTGGTGCACCCTGTGGTCCCAGCTACATGGAAGATTGAGGCAGGAGGATTGCTTGAGCC